>NC_000001.11:118644744-118947774 GCF_000001405.40 Homo sapiens | reverse complement strand
CTTTGCTTCACCGAGTCTCAGTTTCCTCATCTCTAATGGGCACTGCAAGTATGGATTAAGCATGGTATTTAGAGCACATTGAGAAATCTCTGCAGGGTGAATGATTAAATGTAATGCTGATAAGTTACATTTTTATATGGCACTTTATAATTTACAAAGTGCTTTCCTCTGCATTGTTTTATTTTGCTGGTGCCTCATTGAGTTGCGTAAGCAGTAGGATTCCTTCTCCACTTCTCACAGATGTGTCAACTGAGGCACCACAGGGTTAAATGGCTCCTCAAGATCATATCTCTAGGTAGAGTCAGAATCAGGACTCACACTCTTGCTTTCTGATTCCAAACCAGGACTAACACTCCTACCTTCTGATTCTGAATCCAGAGTTCCTTTCACCATAAAATGACAAATAATGCAGTTGACTGTATTTATTATTCACTTTAATGACAGCAGAGTCTTCAGTGTCACAGTGTGGTAAAAATAGATGTTTAGCTGGGAGGACCAGGAGGTTCTTGGTAGCAGACAAACTGAGCTCACCAAAATGTTCTTCTCATGGGCAGGCTCCATTGCCATGGCCTTTAGGAAAGCCTTGGCAGGCCTACCTGGGGCAGCCTCACTTACTCACTGTGTCCAGCTTTCCCTGTGGAGCTGCCTCTCAACCCCAGTGCCAGATGCAGACATTGCCTTAGAGGACATGAGGTGGAGGGATTTCTTCTGAGATACAGGGACCACTGCCTAAGAGCACATCCCCAGTGAGGGGATTGGACTGCAAGTCCCGCAACAGCAGACTTGCTGTGCAGACTTTTGGCACACATAAGGAGAAAGAACCTGGTAAGCTTGGGGTTCCTGTGCCACTAATGTTTTCCTGGGAGATAGGGGAAAAGAGAACCAGAGTAAAAGCAGCAAGACCAAAGGAAAAGCCACGTTTTCATTCACTCAAAAATAATTTATAATTCATCTACTTTCCCCAAGTAAGTAGGTGAATATGGATTATAATTTATCCAACTTATATATATGTGTATGTGTGGTTAAAATAAAGATCAATGGAAAATAGGGAATCATACAGAGAAAGCAAGATGGTCTCAGGTGGCCATTTTAATACTCATTACTACATAGAGAAACACAATCCCTTCCTCTTCATAATAAAGATAAAATATATTTTTATTAAGATGCACCATTAGTAATCTGTGTCATATTCTTTTGAATCTTTTTCATTGTAAATATCTGGCTGAGGGAAAAAGCATTTTGTTACAGCAGAATAGAGCTTGGAAAGATGGATGTTTATTACACTTGAAGAAAACCTATCAAACCAGTGTAGTCCTTAAGGCCTTTTAAAGTCATAGATTCCTTTGAGAATCTCATAAATCCCATGCATCCTTGCCCCAGAAAAGCACACAAGCTTTTGCAAATTTAACTTATCATTTTAGGTGACTTGTAAACCTCCAAAGCTTGTCCATTGACTTTAGGTTAATAACCTCTTCATTTAAATAATTAGAAGTCAATATTTTATATAATAAATTTTTTCTTTATAAAAATATTCATCTCAAACTATGACTGTAGTTAAAATGTACAAGTATAGCAAGTGTCATATAAAATATTCTGATATCTATGAAATTTCCTAGCCTATAGCATTTGTATTTTAAACTTGTACTCATTGCACATTCACTTATAGTTTTACTGTAGTCTTATTTTTTTAAAGATGCTATATATTGTATACTTTATTGTAATTTGCATTTGATAATACTTGTGTAGTACTTGGTATAAAAAGGGAAATCTGCCTTCACTCATACATCAATGTTGATTATATGTAGAATATGTATATAAAGTAATACTTTAATATATACAACAGCTCATACACCATCAATAAGATCCCATCCTCCAGACTTGTAAATTCTTGGAAAAAATTACTTCCACATGTTCCTAAAAGTACTTAAGGATTTTTGACTGGTTGGTGGACCATTGACTCTGAATATCTGACCTGTCAAAATGCCATCTTTAAACTCCAGTGATGCATAGAGGCTTGGAATTAGCCAGGGTTGAATTTATTACAGAACAAAGAGAGGTGATGATTAACACACCCATCTGAACAGTAGGGGGGGAAAATAATCCTTGAATGGATTAGATGCCATGATCCTAAAACCACATTCTCTGAGTGTTGGGTTCTTGCCCAGGAATGGGAGAGGCCAAACGTTGATGCCTTTTAAATGACAGGGTGTCTCCATGGAGCTCTGGTTAGGGACAGTGGGGTAGAGAGTTTGGGGTCAATTGAGAAAAAGCCTTTCTTTCTCCTGTGACCTATCAGATTGAGGACCTAGACCTGCTCTGTGTGCAGTAACCCTCAAAACTTACAGCCCACCTGATTAGTGTTATACAATTATCAGTCTGCCTGTCTAGGTGGAGATTAATGTGAATATGTAAATAAATGGACTTAATTTTTAACCACTAATCAGAGTTAACTTACAATTTTGGGGGGACTGTAGTATGCTGCTTTAAAGACTGGAATAAATGCTGCCAAAAAGATGAAATGAATTCTTATACACTGTCCCACTTAGTTGTGAAATAGACAGGCTCTCTCAATTCACTGGCAATGTCTGGTAGGTTCTGAACACTCCCAGGCTATGTTTTCAGGGAAATTTATCTTTGTAAGAATAGTCCATGAACAGAGTACTAAACCCATTTTCTGATTGACTTTCCTATTCTCCTCTCTTTCCCCTGCTACGTATTGCAAGCTTTCTAAAAAGTATGGATTTTTAAACAGCATTGTGTAATAGCATTGATGGAGATTGACTCTGAGAAGAGGCCTCCAACAGAAGGACACCATCCTAAGAAGGAAACAGGTCATCAGAGGAAAGTCATTTTGACCCCCATTCCCTGGGAAGAGGAGTGCTCGAATCGCAAGCCCAGGTGCTCAGGAAATCTCCTGTCACTGTGAGATGTGCTGGAACATGGTGCCATGTCCAAGCTTCTAAATACAGTTCAGGCTGGGTCATCATGACAGATGCTGAACTGGCACCACTGTGGGAATTGAAGTGGGAACTCTGACAGTGCTTAAATGCCATGGCCCCTGGGCTCAAAGTCTTCCTAGGCAGGGACAGGGAGAGGCAGGGCAGAGTCTTGTGGGGAGGAGGGTAGGAGCAACTTTGGCAAGGAAATCCTGCTGTCTCGGCGACACTGCCACTCTTTCAGAAGGCAACAGACACTCAACAACACACCAGCTATTTTGGAAGCTGTCAGTTTCTGAATTGCTGACACACTTGAAGGACACTGTCTCTTCAAGGGTCATTCTGACCCTTCAAGGTAGGTAGGCCTGGGGAAAAATAGAGCCTTGTTGAAGCCAAGATGTTGACCATGGAATGAGTGGAATTAAGTGACATGGTGAGGATGACTCAAGGAGTCGGGAATGGAGTTAAGAATAACATGTTCACTTTGCGATTCCCAAATCAGCCTTCTACACAGAAGACAGTGTAAGGCAATTCCTTACCTCACCCCACCCTCCTTTTCTTGGCCATCATAAAAAATCCATCCTGGGGTTAGCATCCTTTGATGACTCATTCCCTTTTGGGAAGAGCTTTAGAGGAAAAAGAAAGACAGGAGAGACTTGGGAGGAAGACTTTTCCTGGAGGGTCTGGGAAGTTGGGATGTGAGGGTGGGATTCTAAGTTTTGCAAGCATCTTAATCTGGGTTTGTTGAGTTGTAAATATAAAAACACTCAATGATTTCACTCTCAATGATTGCCTTGTGCCCCAAAAGTGAACTTCTTTCTGCCATCAAAGCATTTGATTTTAGGGTTTCTGAAGGTGGTGTGGGATGGTGGATGAGGTGAAGTTTTGAAATGGGAGAGACTTGGGTGCATTTGTTCTCTCTAATATTTCTGGGTGGGTGGCACTGGGCATGTTCCCTTGTATAAGTCTCAAAATAGGGTTAAAATGCCTACCTTTCAGGCCTCCTGCTCGTGCTCCCTGGGAGCCTCACCTAGGTACTAGATTTTTTTCTGCCTCCTCAGTGTGTTTTCCTTATCCTGAGCCAGGTGAGTGTTTCTGACAAGGCTATCCATCTGGAGTCAGGGCTTCCTGCAGCTTCCAAGCTCTGCCCTGTCATTTCCACCTCTCATGGAACAATGCCTTTGGGCAGCTTTTTCAGCCTCAGTTGCTATCTCTGCTTCTCTGTTCAAGGTGAGAGTTTGCTCCCTGGCCCATTTTCCTTACTGAAGACCCAATATACCTCTTTTCTTAGTGATCTACCCTTTTCTCTCTTCTTTTAGACCTTATCACTTTCTTTCTCAGATATTGTGCCAGCCATTATGGACCAAGAGAGCATCACTCAAGCAGACCCACTCAAAAGCAGGCTTCCTTACATGGCATTTTCGTTGTTTCTTCTGCTTTTCCCTCTTTCTGCCTTTCCACCATTTCTCCTAACACCATTCAGTTTTGATAGTTTTGCCCTAGGCCCTGAAATATTTTCTTCATCATGTGATCTTTTCCCATTCTATATTTTACATTTTCTTTAGTGAGGTTTGCATTTATTCATTTGAAAGTCTTCTTTCTGTCTCTCTCATAGGGACAGGGAAGTGACTGAGAAAAGACTTAACGCATATGGTCATTTTCTGTTCCAAATGATGGAAACAATTTATATTAAGTATATTCCTATTGTGCGCCAGGGGCTTCACTGAGACACATGGTATCCACTATCTCCATTTTAGATGAAGAAATTGGCTCAGAAAGGTTAAGCAGCTTTCCCAGTCATAATCTGGGTCTGTGGAATTCTAAAGGAGGTTTGTAATCTTTTGCCTTACTTCTTAGCGACTCTGGAAACCCCACTTCACTGCAGACAACAGAGACACCAGATGTGTAGGGGACCTGGTGAGCACAGCAGTCATTCTGTTCCTGAAGGAGGAGGATATCTGTCTCACTACCTCTCCCTTAGCATTACTAGCTCTAGCATTTGTAGAACTTGATCCTTTCCCCATTTTATCCTCATGACTGTAAGCACCTTCTCTTCTTAGGTTAATGTGGAGGAGAGTTAGTATCTGAGTATTTTCTAGGTGTTTGACTGACTGCTTCTCACAGAAGTGACTGAACTCTTTGAACTCAGTTGAAACCCCTGAAAGATTTCGGGTCAGACCTCGCCACTCAGTTTGACACAGCTCACAGTCATGCAAGGAAAAGCTGGTAGGATTCCAATAGTTCAGGTTATGATGTCAGGAGGTGACCCTAGGACTTAATAGGGATTTCATTGGGAACATGTCATGCAATTAAGACACCTCATTACTAGGGATATATTTGTCTCCTGGAAGAAGATGAGAAGAATAGCATTCAAGATTCTTCATCTGGCTCCAGCCTACCCTCCCAGATCTTCTCTGGCTATATCTCTTCTCTTACTTTGCTAAACCTACAGCATTTCATTCATTAATTCATTCAACGAAAACATTTTATTGAGTGCATAATAGGTGCCAGACACTGTTCCAGGTGCTGAGGATACAAGAGGAATAACACAGATGTGGTCAGGATGACATAGATTGCTGCCCTCTAAATACATTTGGTAGATTTTATTGCCACGCCTCTGCCAGAAAATTCCCTTTTCCTAGAAACCCCTCTCTTTCTTCCCCATTTCTGCCTTTGCATCTCACAGACATATCTTCATTAGGCCCAGAAAAAATCCCTGGACTTGGAGAGATTTCTCTTACCTCTAAACTCCCATAGGATTTTGTTGCCATTTCTCTTAGATAATAATATCTGAAAATTAGCATTCGTATGTCTGGACCTTTTTTGTTGATGAAGTATTAATGCAAATACACATACACAGGCACCTTGTTAATAGTTCATAAAAGTTTCACAAAGTAGATACCAATGATATCCTCATTTTACAAATGATAAAACAAAGGCTTAAGAAGTTAAGTGACTTGCTTAAGGTTAGATGGTTGGAAAGAGGAGAGATGAGCTCAAGAACTCAGTCTTTTGGATCCTAAGCCCCAGCATGCTGTGTGCTATGGTGGATTTTGACTATTCTACTTTTATTAGACTTATTTATGGACCTATCCTCTCTCCCTAAATGATTGTATAAGCTCCTGAGGACATGGATCATCTCTTACTCAATTTTGTGCCCCTAATAACACCTCGTACATTGCCAGGCCCAGCCTAGAAAATGAATATTATTTGCTGAACGAATGAATGATTGATTGAATGGATGAATTTTGATTACTGGAGAGGTTGTTACATTGTTGTCAGCCATGTTATATTTACTAAACGGGATGGTTTTCTATGTTTGCATGGTGAGTTGGGTAGATTTTAAACTTGGAATAGTTGGTGGTCTCCTGGGATCATTTGAAGGGCATTCCTGGCTGTGCTCAAATGTTTATCCTACTTACATCTTTGAAACTGCCACCTCCAGAGGCACTCTCTCCAGAAGTCATAGTTAAATTACACTTGATGTTTAGAAATTGGCTTCTTAGTTCTTCCCCTTTAGTGCGTCATCATGAATTTGTTTATTTATTGGTGCTCAGTGGGAACATTCTAACAAGGTATAAAGCAAATGCTTGTAAGGCCTTTGGAGAAAGGCCCACTTTTCACATCATAGAAATTAAAAGACCATAATGGCAGATACACAATGGTGCTATGACAGTGGCTGATGTCGGAGGTGGTGGTGGGAGGTTGGAAGTGGTGGTTGCAAAGAGCAAATAAACATTGACTTGGGGATGAGATAATGTATCGCTTCACCCAGGAAAAATGCCAAGAGCCTTAGGATGGGGCCTGTGTTGATAGCTGCTCACCTGAAATTGGTAAATCTTGAAGACCACCCAGTTTATCAGAATGAACTTTTGAAGGACCTTTGGTGCAAGAGGTACTTAGGTTGAACATTTCCATGTGGCTTGTGGCCAATTTTTGATTATTCCATTTATGCACTGTCTGTGTGTTCATCACGAATATTTTCTAACCCAAAAGTTGGTCTCATAAATATTAATTTTGTGGGAAGAATAAAATAAAATATTTGAAATTTGAAATTAGGACTGTTTTAGAAAAGTCGGGGCCCATATTTGTCCTTTATTTATTTTTTTTTGTTTTTCTGATATGCTTGGTCATTGGCGTAGAATCTTATATGTTAATTTGACACTTTACTGTTTATGAAGTGCTTTCATATACATTATTATCAGCTGAATTCTCTTCAAACATAGATATCCACTTAGGACCATCAAAAACTTTTGGGTCCTGCACTCTGACTTGAGTTAAGCCTAAATAAACCAAATTCTGCACAAGTAGGGCCCACTTCAGTTGCCTTCTGTCTTTCAATGCTTCCATTAAAAATTTCTCAAAGCCCAAACATCTTCCAAGTACCTTGTAATGTTTTGCTTAATGGTCTAGGCTAAAGCAAAAGGGTGATTTGACATTGACAGTGATCTTCAGTGTCTGTCACATTTGGATCTTCTACCTAGGTTGGATTGGGGATAGGAAGTGAAATATAGCAAAAGAGGCCTTTTATAGTTGTACTTACTTACTAAATAATGTTAAGTTGATGAAGAGAGCTAAAATATTCCTGAATATAACTGCCCTTGTACTAACAGGGGAAAATTCCCATCAGACCTTCGTTTGAATTTTCCTTTCTCAAAAAACCGACAGTTTTAATTTCTGTAGCGCTACCTTCTGATTGAGCAGCCTGAGCGTTAACTCTGCATTTCTGAGTTCAGAGTAGGATGTGCACAGCTCTGCAGTTCTAGTTCTGAAAAATGGGCAACAGAGTATAATGAAAAGAGCATCAACTCTAGTGTCAGACTAATTCAATTCACACTCTGACACCTCCCATTTATATAATGTGAGACAAGCCTTTTATTCATGTCATGCCTCAGGTTTCTTATATATAAAATGGCAGCAATAATGCCTACTTTAAAGGTTTCTGTGAAAATTGTATGAGATAATAACGTACATAAAGTGCCTAATACAGTACTTGCTACTTCTCTTCCTTTTTTTCATTTCCAGCTTCAAAGCATGCTGGATCACTAGAGGTTGAAACTTTTGCATATTGTTCTAGGCTAAAGCAAAGTTTTTTTATAATTTCACCTTATACTTGAAATTTCAACTTTAAACAATTTTAACTTTTATTTTAGATCTAGGGGATACCTGTGCAGGTTTGTTACATGGGAATATTGCGTGATGCTGAGGTTTAGGGTATGAATCCCATCACGCAGGTAGTGAGCACAGTACCCTATAGGTACTTTTTCAACCCATGCCTCCCTCTTCCACCATCTAGCAGTCTTCAGTGTCTGTTGTTCCTGTATTTATGTCCATGTGTGCTAAATGTTTAGCTCTCACTTATAAAAGAACATGAGATATTTGGTTTTCTGTTCCTGTTTTTGTTTTTTTTTTTTTTTTTTTTTTTTTTTTTGAGACTAGATCTCATTCTGTTGCCCTGGCTGGAGTACAGTGATGCCATCACAGCTCACTGCAGCCTCGACCTTCCCAGGCTCAGGTGATCCTCCCATCTCAGTCTTCCAAGTAGCTAGGACTACAGGCACGTGCCATCATGCCTGGCTAATTTTTGGATTTTTAGTAGGGATAGGGCTTTGCCATGTTGCCCAGGCTGGTCTCAAACTCCTGGGCTCAAGCGATCTGCCTGCGTCAGCTTTCCAAAGTGCTAAGATTATAGGCATGAGCCATTAGGCCTGGCCTGCTCCTGCGTTAATTCACTTAGGATTATGGCCTCCAGCTGCATCCATGTTGCTGCGAAGGACATGATTTCATTCTTTTTTATGGTCGCATAGTATGCCATGGTATATATGTACCACATTTTCTTTATCCAATCTACTATTGATAGGCACCTGGGTTGATGCCATATCTTTGCTATTTTGAATAGTACAGCAATGAACATACAAATGCATGTGTCTTTTTGGTTAAATGCCTAATATACAGAATCTATAGGGAATGTAAACAAATCAATAAGCAAAAAGCAACCCCATTAAAAATGGACAAAGGACGTGAACAGACACTTCTCAAAAGAAGACATACAAGTGGACAATAAACATAGGAAAAAACCCTGAGCATCACTAATCAACAGAGAAATGCAAATCAAAGTCACAATGAGGTACTATCTCACACCAGTCAGAATGGCTATTATTAGAAAGAGAAGAAAACAAATGCTAGCAAGGCTGTGGAGAAAAGGGAATACTTATACACTGTTGGTGGGAATGCAAATTAATCCAGCCACTGTGGAGAGCAATCTGAATCTTTTTCAAATAACTTAAAACAGAGGTTGAAACTTTAATGGCATTGAGCCTTTGTCTGCTCAGCAAGAAACAGATATAAAAAATTACTACTACCACTTCTTTGCAAAGACTCTCTCAAAGGCTTTGTTCTCAGGATGACTTTGGGTCCTTGCTGTGGTTCTATGTATCGCTGAGAGAGGTGCTGCTTGTTAAGTGGAGAGTGCTGTAGGCAGTTGGTGAGATATGATGTGCCCTTAGTCTCCTTAATTGGCTTATTGGCATGGGAATTGCAAGCTTCAGGTTACTCCCTTTTCCCAAATAGAACTTGGAGGGCATGGAGAGCTCAGAGACACCATTCCATTACTAAAGCCATTTAACAGGCTCATTTGAGTGTTTGCTATCATCATAATTTTAGTTTAATCCATCCCGGGTTATAGTTCATTCCCTTGAAGCTCTGGACTGAGTATCAAATTTGGGCTCAGTTCGTACTCAGGTCAGTGCCAAATGCTCTGCTTCTGCCATATTTAGAGTTACTCTATGAAAAATTTCGTCACCAGCATTCTCTAAGATACTCGATAAAATCTGATAGCCCACAACCAATTTCCACTGCAGAGGTCCTCTGGAAATAGGAACTTACTTGCTCCTGGTACAGACAGGGCTGCCTGGGTTTTAAGATTCTGGTATTTGCCCTTCTGTGAATGGGAGCCCTGAGATAGTCATGAGAGTTTTGGTTTTAGAGACTTTGTGATTTATGAACTAGATCAAGAAGTGGCTGTCCTACCACTATCAGATAGGAAACACCATTCAATGTGGTTGTGTACCAGTATTTGGCAGAAAAGAAAGTAAGATGAATTGTCTATCATCCGGGTTGGGTTTTTCTCCTTTAATTGTTTCAAACTATTTTCTTCCTTGTGGAAAATATGACAGCTGAGCTCCAGTCTTACAGAAGTAACACTGTGCATCTAATCTCAGAGCATTCTACATCTCTTATCTGACTCTACAGTCAGCTTACACATTTCACATAGAAACCAGGCTATCTTGCATCATTCACACATGAGATGGGGCAAAGCATTAAACTGAGCTTATGGAATTCATAGTCTGGATAGAAGACAGAACTATCACTACCTGCACGTTAAAGAAAACTTTAGCATGTAGATGATAAAGTCTAAACTCCATATCCTGACACCCAAGATCTTCAGCCATAAATTTTTGTTTGTTCCCTGATGTCCCAAGAGTTTAGAAGAGTGACTGGCACATAGTAAATGTTCAATATGTAGTCATTTAGTTGAGTTGAACCTGACCTTCCACCTTCATCATTTATCTTACTTCTCCTCTACCTTTACATAATCTAAACTCTGACATACCAGTTTGTTTGTAATTCTCTGAAACTCCAAATCCTTAATCACTGTTATTCCCACTACCTGAAATTCTTTCTCCATCATTTTGTTGTTTGTTGGTTTCAAACTTCTATTTCAAGACCATATTCAAATGTTACCTCATAAAGTCTTCTCAATCCTCTCATCATTGACTTGCTTCCACTTCAAAGCTCCTCAACAATTTTCCCCACCTCTGCAGGCGTATCTGTCACAGTCAGCCTTCCTTAACAGTTTCTATGTCCTTTCTACCAAATTGTGAGCTCCTTCAGAACAAGAACCTGTTTTATTTGTCTTGGTCCATTAATATGTAACCTAGTCAAGGCAAAGCAGAAATATTTGGTGACATAAAAATTGAATTAAATGTAGTCTTCTGTGCTGGACATCCTTAGGCAGTAGAATGGATGTAACCTGGACTCTGGCATCAATAATGTATAAAATGGAGATAATAATAATAACAACTCTTAGGCTTGCCTGTACTAAGTGATGTTTTGCATGTACAGTCTTGGCAGAGTGCCTGACAAATAGTAAGAGCTCAATAATGTTGACCATTAACTCTTTGTGTTAGTTCTTGTGAGCTTATATTCATCTCCCTGTCCCAAGTCAATAATATTATTATCAATAGAACCATTACACTATGCTTTATCATAAATATATAACTTTTTTTAGCAGAAAGATATCTTATACCCCCACCCCCCATGGTAAAGATAAGGAAACTTAGGCCAAGTGAACCAAAGAAACTTTTAAAGATCCCACTGCTGATCAGTAGCAGAGCCACAGGAGTAAATGTGCTTTGTTCACTGCAGTAACGAATAATTCCTCAAAATTAACTGTTAAGTGGAGATGCCAAGACTGTAAAATATGCTTTTAAAATGTCTAATTTGGATATTAAGTTTTTATTAGACTAAAAGTGTATGCAATTTAGGCATTTTCTATGTATGGTAACCAAATGAACCTATTGTAGTTGGTTCGCTTTTGTTAGACTTGGTGGTCTCTAAGCTGTACTACTAATCCACCCATTAGACATTCAAGTTAAAAGGGACCTTATACACTTCCAATTAAATGTGCATGTGCTGTGCCATAAGGATTAAGGAAATTGGGGACCAGAATAGTCATGTGACTTGGCCAAGATCAAACATATTTAAGCCACCTTAGTTGTGAGGATGGTTAAAATAGTTAGGGGGTGTTACAGAGTTGCCAGCTGTTTTGGCTGGGTTGAACCTAGTGTGCTTTTGGGGAGATCTGACCATTGGATCAGGATGGAGAAGATGTGCATTCTAGTACATGTTAGTTTTCAATTTCTCTTGTTTCAGTGTCCTTGTCCACAAAATAGACATAAAAATACAAGCTATGTCTATCTTATCAATGGGAAGACAATATTAGGTAATGTGTAAAACATAAATTAAAAGTTCTTTTATTATTATTGCTAGAGTGAGAAGTGAACGTACTTTAAGCTAAACTCAACTTTCTGTGGGAACTTAGTGTTACAGCATTCATTTTATCAAAGTGAAATAGGTCAGAGATAGAAAGTAAAATGATGGTTAAAATATCTTTTTAAAGGATTTTTTTGGGGGGATGAGAATAGATATGTTGCTTTGGCCCTGTGAGTCACAAAATGTTCTCTAGTGACTTGTAACTGGCTCAGCGCAGGTTACTTAAGTTTTCTCCTTTAGCTGCCTTGGTTACATGTAACATTTTATGTTCCTGATTTACTTAAACTTCTTCTGTTGAAATACTATTCTGACAGTATCTGATAGCCAAGAAATCCTGCATCATTCATATGAGTTCCTAATGGCTATTTTTTGAGGACAGGAAGTCACAAATTGCCAAGAATAAATGACCTTGAAAACACAGAGGTGTTTTTTGATCTTTAAGGGACTGACTGATTATATTTCTAAATGGATGATCTGATTTGATTAAAATAACCAGCTGTGTGTTTCTTCCATGACTTAGATAACTTTATTATACATCCTAATTAATAGCTAAAAATTTTGATCTGGTTAGCCAAAATATTTTCTATAACTATGATTTAGAAATGTATTTTACAAAAGATTAAATTTTATTTTTACCTAGGCTGTTAATCTTGACTCTGAGATTACTATTTTAAGGGTTTTGTAGGGTTGCTTACCCCACGGGTGGCCCTAACCCTTCTAGAAGCTTTTTAAAAAGAGCATCTATAAAAGTAACAGTAACTTTATTTCAAGATTATAATATTTAAGAAACAATTGAGAATAGAAGATTGCATATGCATTCATGTTATTGAACATGTGGGCTGTTGCTTACATTCTTTATATAAAAGTCACTGGATCCTGTTTTGTGAGAGAGTGAAAATCTAGAAGTTCAGGGTATTTCCAGTTAAATAAATGTCTT
Source organism: Homo sapiens (assembly GCF_000001405.40). Classification (NCBI taxonomy): domain Eukaryota; kingdom Metazoa; phylum Chordata; class Mammalia; order Primates; family Hominidae; genus Homo; species Homo sapiens. Next base: position 118,934,847 of record NC_000001.11, on the reverse strand, counting down.
TGAAAATCCTCTTCATGGACAAATACTGCCTATGCCTCCACAGACTTGCCCATTTCCTTTCTAGTAACAATGGGTTCCCCAGGAGTGTTCTAGCCCTCTTGGATCTCTTTCTCTTCTGGACTTCTAAGAGACATCTGAGACAGTATGTAATGGTGTGGAAAACTGTGTGGCAGTTATTTGTGTTGCTCTCTGATTATTTTTGAATGCTCATAGTCTCCACTGTACTGTACTTGAAGAGAGGTCCCATTGTGTACTTTGTTATTTCCCAGAATCTAGCACAGTGCTGGGCACATAGTAAGCACTCAATAAACACATAATTAATCAACACTAACTGGGAAATTTCTTAAGGTCTTGGATTCTGTTTCTAATTATCTGCATGGTACTTCATCTAAGGCCATATGCTGATAGGTGCTTATTGATTGATTTGATTGAAACTATAAACCCTTATAGAATACCCACTCAATTATTTAACTCCTATGGTAATGTGAATCTGAGCCCCCGGTCTTTTCCCTTATTTAACTTGTCTTGTTCAAAGAGTTTTAAATTTGATGTTTCTAATTGAGGTTACCTGGGTTAGCACTTGCACTGGGGAGGATTCTTACATTCAGGTCATTAGAGGTGTAATCCTTAAGTTCATTCTTTTTCATTGCACATTGAGGACCTAGGCCCCCCCTGTGGTTAAATGGCTTGTCTAAGGTTATTCATTAATTCATTTGATGTTACATTTTGAGTCCCTGTTTTGTTCCAGATGACATACTGAGTTAAGGGTAGAGTCTCTTATTTCATAATTCTCTAGCCGTAGTCCCAATTCCAATCTCAGCCTCAATTTAGCTACCATTAATACTTATCTCTTAGTGTAGTGATACCTTTCCTTCCCTTTTCCAGTTCCTAAACATACATTGGAGAAATCATATGTCCAAAATTTCTGTTGGGTCCTACTTAAGGTGTCTCTTTCCAATTTTTTGTAATTGTGGCACTTTATGGTGAATTTTGTAACTTTTTGCTTCCAAAAGCAGGACAATAATATATTTTAAAAATCTTTTTCTGAGGAGGTTTTTTGAAAAATTTACAGTATTCATGATAAGTGAGGAGCTCTTAAAATATCCCAGACACAAAATAGGATTTGGGAATCCATGTCTCAGGGGACATGAATTAGTGTGTTTGGCTGAGTGTGTGATGATATAATGGCTCTGCTACTGAAAGGCCTATAGAATCAGGCTAGGATATAGATTTGTCACTCAGCAACAGCTGTCATCTTAGATAAGTAGTTCTACTTTTCAGTGCTTGGAGAAGACCAAAAATAGCTGCTACTTAGTCCTAGGTATAAAATTATGTGCTTAGACATGTAAAACCTAGTTATAAAACTTTATAGTTTTTTTTTTTTGTGGGTGGGGGGCAGAGGGGGAGGGAGAATGAAGATAGTGACTACATCTTCATGTAGTGATTATGGGTAAACTGAAGTTTTTGGTCAGAAACTTCCCCTTTATTTAGAAGTTTGATTTGGTTCTTTAACAACCTGAATATCTTCACAAGTGACAGGTGAGGAATTAGGGAGATGGAGAGAAATGACACTTTTTCCCCTGTGGGCACTTTATTCCCTGTGGCTTTGACACAGCTGTTAGATATTCTTGCCAGAGATGCTGCCTGGGGTTGCAAGAGAAAAAAGTCAGTGACAAAAGGAAAGAAAAGTAAAGGAACAATGGGGTGTATCTTTCACAGGTCTGCAAACCTGCTGCAGGTAAGTGAGGTTGGCAGCAACGTGATTGGGCATTCTGTCCCATTCTTTTCCATCTTACTAGTGTCAAGGATTGATGCTCAAGAAGCTCTGACCCTTGACACCATTGAAAAGTCACTCATCAGAGTACAACACTTGTTTCCAGCCTTTACTCATGAATATATTTAACTCCAAGGAAAGCAATCAGAATTCTAGATGTTAAGGGTGGGTTAGAGAAATGGATTCTTAGGCTTGACTTGCAGCATCATTTGACCTAAGAAAATTATACTAGATAATCTGAATTTGAAAAATGTTAGGACACACAATTCTTGGCATTAAGCTCCTAAAGGTAAATATTTAAAATTCCAGTAAATCTTCCCGGGTAAATCTGGCTCTAGCCTTCTCCATCAGTCAGCTTCCCCTGCCCCCCAGCCCCACTTGTCTTCATGAGTACAGAAGACACAGGAAAGGACCATCTGGACCAGCATGCCAACTTTTTATTTGGTTGCTCTCAATCCCACCTTCCTGTTTGGATCACCCCTCCCCTCTGCCCATACTTCAGAAACCAATCAAGGTGTCTCCTGAACTCATTTATTCCCTTTGTTTCAACTGCCTTTTTGGGTAACTTTTTCCATATGCTTACATCCTTGACTCACAACAGAGGTTTTTTTCCCATCCAAAATGGCCTGATTAGACTCTTAGGAAAAACCATTTACTCAAATATATGACAAAGTACTTCTAAAGATCCCAAGCAGCTTTTCATTACTTTTGATGGCCATGGCTTATGTAAGTAGAGGAAAAATTTCTGTGTTTAAAAATAACTGACAGGCAGTGATGCTGAGTGGTATGGAATTGAAGAACATAATGTTTGCACTGAATCTTTACTTGCACAAATGTAATAGTCTAATCTAGGTTTGGACCTGTAATTTATAATTATTTTAGTTTAATATGGCATTTATTTTGTTGCCCCAGTTTGGCCTCATTCTCTTCAACATGGTGACATTAGTACTATTTATATTGCCTGTTGTGGACCAATTTTCTTCAGCTGTTGCTAAAACTTACTAAAATGCCAGATGTCATGTTGGAAACACGAAACCTGAAAGAAGGTCATAAATCACAAAAACAAACCATAAAAAATAATAAAATACCCTGAGTGCTGTGCTCTGGAGCTTCCCAGCTTTAAGTCTCCTTTTGTTTACCCCTCTCCCCACTTCATTGCATTTCCCACCCCCATCTTTTAGGGCCATGGGTGAGGGGAGCTCAGCAGTTTCTCACCTAAGGCTTGATTGTTTATTTTGCAGATTCTGAGCAGAGCACTGGTTCAGATTCTGAGGTCCTCACTGAGCGGACTTCCTGCTCCTTCAGTACTCACACTGACCTGGCCTCTGGTGCTGCAGGCCCTGTGCCTGCTGCCATGTCTTCCATGGAGGAGATTCAGGTGGAGCTGCAATGTGCTGACCTCTGGAAGCGGTTCCATGATATTGGAACTGAAATGATCATCACCAAAGCAGGCAGGTAAGGACAAATTCCTTTGAGTGGCCAGATTCAAAGAATTTGCAGAAGTAGGAGCCATTACATTCTTCCATTCTTATTTATTTGTGATGGCATCAACAAAACCAAAGCAGCTTGCACTCACTTCTCTGCATTTGGACATCTTGGTAAAGTTGTTCTGTTGTGTTTGTTGTGATTGTATTATTTTCCTCCAAGGGCCAATCAAATGTAAGTCATGTAAATCACAAACATTTTCCACCTACAAATGTATTTCAGCTAATATTGGAAGTCCATGGGATCTTAACAGCCAAAATATATATTTCCAAAGCAAGTGTTTACTTCACCATTAAATACTTTCAAGAAGTTTGCTTCCCAAATAACAACTTGCATCTTCTAAAGTATTTAAAGCAACAATGCTTTTGTAGTAATTTTTAAAAAAGAATTGACTTGATGCATATTCTGAGCCTGTTGATGTCCATTGTGTTTTATCATTGACTTGAAATTATTACACAACTTTATTGGTGACCTATGGAATTTCTTGTAAAACTGTTTTTCTAGGATTACAAAATTTTAAAAACACAGCTTCTCTTGATATAGACACTTTTAGTTAAGCTACTCCTTTATTGGTATGTTTCAACTTTCCATAGTTAAGTATTTATTTTGTGCTGGACACTCAACATACATCTTTGAAACTTACAGGAACCCTATGAGGTTGGACATAATCATCCCATATATGGATTAGGATGCAGAGGATGAAAGACATTAATTAGCTTGGCTAAGGCACATGGGTACTAAGAGGCAGCTCCAGAATTCTGCATAAATCTGTGTGGCTCTAAAACAGTGGTCTCAACTCTGAACTGTGAAGAAATGGCTGTAGTTCTTGCCCCTTGGATTCAAAATGAAACGATTTAGATAAAATTAAATTTGGGCCGGGCACGGTGGCTCACGCCTGTGATCCCAGCATTTTGGGAGGCCAAGGTGGGTGGATCACCTAAGGTCAGGAGTTCGAGACAAGCCTGGCCAACATGGCAAAACCCTGTCTCTTTTAAAGTTACAAAAATTACCTGGATGTGGTGATGGGTGCCTGTAATCCCTGCCACTTGGGAGGCTGAGGCAGGAGAATCGCTTGAAGCTGGGAGGCGGAGGTTGCAGTGAGCCAAGATCGTGCCGTTGCACTCCACCCTGGGTGAGAGAGCAAGACTCTGTCTCAAAAATAAATAAATAAACAAACAAATAAATAAATAAATACATTTGGACTAAGCTTTTCAGCATATAGGAATAGTTCATTGAAATTAAGCAAAACAGTTATGCTACTTTTGTGTTTTCAAAGCCAGTGTACATAATCTCACATGTCATGGGGAACAAAAATCGCATCTTACTGATTGTGAGCTGTTTTCATGAACATAGCCATTTAAAGTAAAATAATATTTTGGTTGGGTCCAGTTTATCTACGTGTATATAAGGAAACCTCCCAAAACAATAAGATATGACAAAAACATGAAGTTAAAATAAATCTGAAATTTTGTTTATTTTCTTTCTTTTCTGGAGCTCTCTTCCTTCTCTCAGTAGTGAATAAAACCATTAAAGGCTTCCTAGGGGGAGAAGATGGGCTGGATAACTGTGTTCAATATCATCTCTTTTTCGTTGCTTGGGTCTCAGTGTACTTCTGTTCCACATTTTGTGGTGTAAAGGCTTGGAAGAAAACAAAGTAACTCAAGGAAATTTTTTTAAAGTTTTTGGTAGAAGAGTTGGTTTGGAGAGAGAAGAAATATTACATTTTTTTTTTGTCTATAAGATTTTCCGGTATTCTTTTTGGGTTTTTACTTTATTACTCTTGGGTCTCTGTATTCCAGTCATGTTTGTTCCTGATATCACTTCGTTATTCCCTGTGCTTTAGTGAATTGAGTTCATTTGAGCATCTCCTTGACAACCTTCTTGTGACTCATTTTGTAATTCTTCTGCAGTATTTTCATTTCCATATCCCTGATTTCACAAGTTCACCTTAATATCTGGATACTCTACACATTCCCCAAGACAGACACATAGTTTGTTCTTTAGTAATAATTGAAATCCTTTGTTTAAGTTTAGAAACTACATTAATTGGTTCTGTATTCAGTTGTCTCAACTGTTGTTACTACATCTAATTCTTCTCAGGTAATTCTGAAACAACTCTGAATCATACAAATAAGGCTTTCTCTTCTGTGAATTTTCTTCATTCCTTCTCATTCTCCTGGTTAATTTCTTGCTTCTCACTCATTTTTCTTGCTATGCAGTATTGTCAGTATTCTTTTCCATTTTAATTCCAATCTCCATCTTCTTAATTATGTTAGTTATATATGGCTTTCTCTCCTTTTTCTTACTTAGATGATCTTAGTCACCATCTACCTCCTTCCACACCCCAAACTGTGATCCTATTGATTCAGAGCTGCTGAAGTCTATAGAGCCCTCAGTCTTTGAGTGTACCAACCCAACCTGCATAATCAGCACCATGGACAGAGGTGCTTGCAAGGATTAATGGGTTTAGAAGACAAAAGAACTGGCCTAAATTTAGCCATAAAATTAAAACCAAACACATCTCTTTTTGTAAAACATGAAAGGTTAACTTTTCTTTAGACTGTTGTGACTTCACTTGATATTCTATGCTAAAATGTGACAAAAAGAAAAAAAAGGCTTGCGAAGTTTTTAAGAAGAGAATTCAAAGGTAGTCACAGAATTTTAAAGCAAGGGGGCACTGTAGAGATTATCTAGTCGATTTCCTTTGTTTTATAGGTGATGGGGTTAAATGATTTATCCAAAGTCACATAGTTCATTTATTTTAGAAGTCAGGTACTGGAAAGGGATGGGTAGCTTCTCCATTAAAGGTCATATAATGGTTCCAGACAGAACAGATATTGAATTAAAAACATCTAACACCTTTTTTTGTAAAGGTATGAATAAAAGAAATCTCTCTCTTTCGTGTAATACAGCCTCTCTAGGTGACTGGGGGAAACCATATTTTCTTATCTCAGGTAGTAAATGAGAGGACTTTTGCCCCATCTCTGGCAAGATGCCCTCCAAACATTTACATATACAGGGAAGCTATAAATCAGTGTTATTAAGAAGGGAATTACTTATCTGTATTTAAATGTGTAGATCAAGTTTCCCAAATTTTTGGAATTAATTAATGCAAATTAAAGTGCCTAACCTATAGTGAATGTTAGATTTAGTCAATGTGAGTATCCCATCATCAAATTTCATTAGCCCACCATAAGACAAAAGTATGAGGCCTTTAAATAAAAATTGTGAGGTAGGGGGAGAAATTTTTAAATGATAATATATCCTAGAAGCTTCTGAAGAGTAATAAGGTGAGAAAGATGAAATAGTTATGCATTAATTTTGTAACCATATAAGAATTAGCCACCATCTCTATTAAAGGACTGTGATCCTTCTTGTGCTTTCTCTCAGATATGATTATGATGTCACTGACCTACTGCCAGGGGATATTAGCCTTTTGGGTTGCTTCTCCTGGATGAGTAGTGAGTGTGTAACTAGCACAGAGAGCCTCTCCTGTGACCAACCAGTACATATTTGCAAGATGGCTGTTTGAGGTCAGGGTATGGTCTATGGCCATGAAATGGAGCAAAGCCAATTAGGCCATATGTGGATCAAGCCTGTGACCTTGACCTCATTAGCACTGTGCTCTGCCCAGCTCAACTAACTAGCCCCAGATGGTTAAGCTTAATGCAGCATTTTGCATACAAGTAGCCTAGAGCACATTCAGGGCAATCCAAATTTTTGAACTGAGAACTTTTTATGTCCGGCTTGATACAAAAGAGCTTGAGCTTGATGTTTTTCTTCTTTCTTATGGTTAAAGAAGAATGGTGAACTTTATTCTAGACTTATTGAAACTCAATACCTCTTTTGGGCTGCTCTGTCTCCTCCTCTCTTCAATTATGAGAGAAGTCGTAAAGTGCTATATCCTGACCTCACTTGCTTTGGCAAGTTTAACAAGCCATTGTGGTAGAAACAAGGTATTGCCCAGAGGCCACGAGAATTCATTTGGTATTTGCTTCCAATTCCACAGGGTCCTTCCTCTGACACACACGTTGACAGCCTGAGAACTTGCAGAAAATTTTCTACAGTTTTATGCACTAAAAAATCTTGGTGGCTCTTTGTTTGGAGACTGGTAGCACCTTCCTTTTTTTCTTTTACACTTGAGAGACTATTTTTAGAGTGGTTATTTTCAAATAAACTCAGTTGAAAATATTTTATGATAACTTGCAATAAACTGAAAAGCTCTTCAGATTATAAGAAGAGTGTAAGTTGCTATACTAACCTTTAAAAAGATTATAGCTAATAGGAAATGTATGCATGGCTACACACATGCACACACATGCCTGTGCATACATTTATATCACAACTAAGATTAACTAAAAATACAAAGCAGGGTTGAACCCTTGGAGAGTATGAATCATCAAATAGGTCAATTTAAGTTAAGAAGAGATAGTAGTTCAGTAGTATAAGTCTATTGTATATTTCATAGTGATAATTTCCAAAGTGAAAAAAATTAGTCAACTTTGAGAATTAGAGGACATTAGAATTTGATATGCTTAGAGTACCTAATAAGAATACGTTGTTTAGGCTGGGTGCATTGGCTCACACCTGTAATCTCAGTACTTTGGGAGGCCGAGGTGGGCAGATCACGAGGTCAGGAGTTCGAGATCAGCCTGGCTAATATGGTGAAACCCCATCTCTACTAAACACACACACACACACACACACACACACAAATTAGCTGGGCGTGGTGGCTCATGCCTGTAGTCCCAGCTACTCGGGAGGCTAAGGCAGAAGAATCCCTTGAACTCGGGAGGTGGAGGTGGCAGTGAGCCAAGATTGTGCTACTGCACTCCAGCCTGGGTGACAGAGCGAGACTCCATCTCAAAAAACAAACAAGAAAACAAACAAACAAAAAAACCCACATTGTTTAAGCTTTTACCCCTGCTACTTCTCCCACCCTGATTTCTGAGCTTTCTGTTTTATTCATCTTCATAGGAGGATGTTTCCTGCCATGAGAGTGAAAATCACTGGCCTAGATCCACATCAGCAGTACTACATAGCAATGGACATTGTGCCTGTGGACAATAAAAGATACAGGTAACAATAACTCTGGGATGTGGAAATGTGGGTATCACCAGCATTCCAAGACAATTCTTCAAACTCCTTAGAGGAAATAGTTTAGCAATGCATGCTGTACAGAGAACAAGGAATGGAGACTATGTCAATGGCCTGTGGCAGAGCACCAGGTGGAAAAAGTGTTAACTTTGACCTGGGATTCCCCCCTGTGTCTCTGGATAGAATGGGATTGTATAGTGTCTCCTAAGGTAGCAAAAATCAAGTGGATCTTAAGTCTAAAATTAATTTAATTAACATTGGAAGTGATTAACATATTGAATAATTTGGTTTGTGAAATGCTAAATAAATTGGGGTGATTTATTTTGGAAAGAGGAAGGAGAGGTGGAACAATAAGGCATATTAAAATGTATATTTGATGGATCGCCCCATAGATGATGGAGAGGAAGAACAAGAGAACTGGGTAAAATTTCAAGAAGAATATCTACTTATGGAGAATTATTATTCATTGATATGGGTTGTGAGTGAGATTGTTAAGTAATTTTCCCTCAAACTGATTAAAAGCCAACATAGTCTCCATGTCTCTTGGATGGCTTATACATAGTTCTTGCCAGAAAAAAAAAAAGTTGTGGCTTATTTCTTCTCTTGAGGTCTCACTCAAATCAGTAAATCATTACTCATTTTTGAAATATCTGAAGTCTAACAACTTGGCCCTAAACCCATGAATAGGGAGGCAAGAGCTGATGAAAAAGGCCAGGACTAGTATGGCAAGTGGGGAGAGAGATGGCTGAGAGAGACACGGTCTGGATTTCAGGACTTAGGAGAAAAGATGCTTCCAGCGTGTTTTAGGGGATCTTGGGAGTTGTGATTTGGACTGGGTGCCTCTATTTCTCAGGGTCCAGGTCCCATGTGGTCCTTTAGAACTGAGAAGCAGGAAAGTACCAGATCCATGGAGATGTTTCTTCTGAGCTATGAGAAAATTGGCAAAGTCGGGAAAACTGACTTCCTTTGCTACCAAACAATGTCTTTTTTCCAGTGACTTTGTGGGAAAATAGTGTAGAAGATGGTGTTCAAAACGGGTTCATCAAAGGCAATGTGAACTGGGAGTATTTGGTGGTGCTTCTGAAATGGTTGCAGAGAGGCAAAGGCCCGTCATAGAAATGCCTCAAAGTCCAGATTCTTAGCAAGGAAATGGTTAACCAGTGAGAGGCTTGGGAGGGCTCTGCACATGGCTGCATTTTATAGGACAATATGGAAGATGTTTTTAATAAGGAACAAAATCCTGAACAAATGGCCAAGGGATTATATGGTTTGCATTTGAAAGGTGAAAGGTTGCAGTAAAATGCCTTTTCTATAGCTAGACATGTGAGTTCAGGATGCATGTGTGCACACAGGGGTGCACGGCATGGAGAGAGGGAAGAAAGGAAGACGGCTGTGAGAATGTTTTCCTTGCGAGGGCTGAAGATTTGATCATTAACCACAACACTTCTCTGCCCTCCCCACTCCATCTTTTTGTCCATTTCTATCTCTATTTCATTTCCCTGGTTATCTGCCCTTCTCTTTTCCTCCTTTGAGTCTCTGTTTCTTTCCCATTACTTCTCCATTCATGTAATCTCTTTGTTTTTCTCTCCTTTCCCCTGTCTCAACTTGTTTCCTGGGCCTCTGTCCCTTCTCTGCCTCTGTCTCTGAATTTTCCTCTCTTCCTCTTTATCTCAGATATGTGTATCATAGCTCCAAGTGGATGGTGGCTGGCAATGCTGATTCCCCTGTGCCCCCAAGAGTTTATATACACCCTGATTCTCTAGCTTCTGGAGACACCTGGATGAGACAGGTGGTCAGTTTTGACAAACTCAAGCTTACCAACAATGAGTTGGATGATCAAGGACATGTGAGTCAAAGAATCCTATCTCCCCTTTCTTTCTCTCTTCCTCTGTTTGCTTTAGAGCTGGCTAGCCCCAGTCTTTTTCAAATAGGTAAAATAAGGAATCTCTATGCCACTTTAAGTAATTTTAAGTAAGTAAGCATAAAAGTGTTTTTTTCCAGTTAAATTCCATTTATTACAAATCTAACATTTAGCAAACATCTGTTATACATCAAGTTGTGTTTACCAGACAAAGTCCTTGTGCTCCAGAGGCTTACAGTCTAGTCGAGGAGGCAAGAGAGCAAAACAAGACAAATCAACCAGTGGTAGAAAAAATCACAACATTCAGTAGAATAACCCACAAGGCTATAAAACAAGAGAAACAAGTGAATGACAGTTTCAGCTAATTTGTCAAGAATTTTTTTATAGGGAAGACTAAATCTTAAGGCTTTCCAGGTATAATTGGAGCGTGTGATGTTATTAATTTATCTTTGGCAGTGAAACACATACTGAATTTTCACTGAATGGCAGGACCCATACTGGGTGCTATGGGAAGATTGAATAAGCTAAAACCATTGCTTCCATCTTCAAGGAAATAACAATTTTCTGAAAGAGTGAAAACCCATATCTACCATTTACTCTCACATAACAAAATAATGTTCACATATTCAATAATGAATGCAAATAATAGGATGTAGAATTTAAAGACAGCATGAATACATGCTGAAAATTTGAAGCTGGAGGGAACAACTTGTCACATGGCAGAGGTTCTGAAACCTTTTAGTGACATGTCCATTGGTACTAAAGAAGTCATTCAGCATTATCCAATTGAAGCAAACATATTACTTTTACCATCTATGATAAGGATGTCCTGCTATTTGGTTCCATGTAATGCTATTTAATCACTTAGTTCTTCCTGGGCAAGTATACTGATTTCTAGTTTTCTGTACATCTCACCTCCAATCTGTGCTTTTCCTATAGTGCTTCAACTTAGTGATTTATTTTTGCATGAGAACAAAATGTAGGTTCCTTAAAGCCAAGCCTGGTACAATTCCCCTTTTTATTTCAGATCATTCTGCACTCTATGCACAAATACCAGCCTCGAGTTCATGTGATTCGCAAAGACTTCAGCAGTGACCTTTCACCCACTAAGCCTGTTCCTGTTGGGGATGGGGTGAAAACGTTCAACTTTCCTGAGACTGTGTTCACCACAGTTACGGCCTATCAGAATCAGCAGGTAAGAGGTGGCCCTTGAGAGTCTTCTGCTACATCTGTTTTTTGGTCCTTCTGCATAAGATTCCTTAGGTATTATTTACTTTCAGGGGAATTTGACATACAACAACCCTTAGTCCACTAAATGTTAAGTACTATACAGTGTTAGAGTTCTCAGCAGCTGTAAAGTGTTTTCAACTTCAGATTTTCCTTGTGAATGCCACATTTGATCTAAAATAGAAGAAGAGCTTTAGTTTGGTTTGGGTGCTATTTAAGAAGCTATTAAACCATCTCAAATTCCTTAGATAGTAAAACTGCAGAAGCCATGGAGGGTCCATACAGAAAACTGTAATAATTAAGATTTTTCAAGCTCTGATACGAGATATAGCATCAACATAGACAAGGACTTTGGAGCAACCAGAACTTTGGGATTAGTTCTGGCTCAGAAGAAGGGGAGTAAGAGTCTGAGTTCTTTGGATAACTGATTATAGACTTTCCTAAGAATACTCCAGCCACCATTTAAAATAGTTTCTGATGAAGGCAGTGATGTGACAATAAATATTTCAACATCAGAATTTACTTTGTAGAACACTGAAGAACAAACATTCTACTGCCTCATTGAGATCAGTTACAGAGACTAGGAGAGCCATTATTGTAACCCAAGTTGAAACTAGAAAGCTACAACTCACTTTGACAATGAAAGAGGACTAAGCATGGGTTTCTGACAGCCTCTTCACATCCTTTACCTTCTTTTATAGACAGTGTTCTAGCACATGAGTACATTCTACTCATAGAAATATTTTGTTTACATCTGGGCTGAAGTGGGAGCAGGATACCATGGTTAAGATCATAAAATTTGGCAGCAGATAAACTTGGTTTGATTTCTGATCTTTTCACTGACATTGTGTGGTATTAATTTCTTTCAACTTGTGTTTCCGGTCTTGAAAATGCGCCTGCCTCGTAGAGCTATGAGGACTAAATAAGGAAACGTGTATAAATTCACTGACACAAACCTGACATCTAATTAATAGTAGTCAGCCTACATTGCTCCGTGGCTGGGTCTGAACAGGCATGAAAAGCGGGGCATAGAAGCAATTTTAAAGAATAGATTGCTTATTAAGGAAAAAGTGCATTGTTCGAAATTGGAGGAGCTGCAATGGCTCTCAAAGGAATTATAATCCATAGGTAACTACTTTGATCTCTCTGTCGTCATGTCATATTGGTGAATTCATGATGTGCTGACATGCAAAATAGATGAGTCATACTCAATTCTGCCCATTTTGGGATCAAGATGACAGCTTTTGCCTGTTTAACAAGCCTCTAATCCCTGGATAAATCAACAAGCATGCTTATTTAACATTCCCTTTGGCTGCGCAGATATGATTTAATATAATACAGTACCTTCTAGTAATACAAAATAACCTCGGGTCTTTCCCCCAGGAATCCTGAAGTTTGCATCCTGTAGGTCAGAGCTGTTACCTAACTATACTTTTCGGACTTGTTCTGAAGATGCCAGGTAGCATAAATTGTTCTCTTTTGTGAGCTATTTTCACCTCTTACTGTGTTTTTATTCTTCATAACATTCTAGAATGAGAACAATCAGTACGTCAAAATTATTTACTTCATTTATTTCTTTTTAAGGAAACGGTTAGGAGGCCTGTGAAATAGTAAAGAGAAAAAAATTTAGTGGTAGGTCCTTGGTGTTCTTAGGAACTTGTTTGGGGAAACACTGAAGAAAAGACAATAGAGGGAATGTAATGGAAATGGAACATTACCCAGACTTTCTAAGGAAAAGCAGTGTCCTGCTCCACAGACAGCAATGGGCTAGACATTTGGAGACCTGGGTTTTAGTCTTAAATTTTCTACGAGTTACACATGTTGCTCTGAGCAAGTTGTGTATTTTTACAATAATTGTGCTTCAGTGCTTCAGTTTCTTGTCTTAGAAAATGAGGAATTGGCCTGTGCTTTACAAGGTCCCTGAAAGCTCTGGAATTCTAATTTATCCTTCTTTTTTTCTGCATGATTTTAAATGAGGATTGGGAGCAATTGTTCTCAAACCAAGGCAATCAACACGATTTTCAACTACTGAAAATTATTAGAATGTTCATGTCTGAAAATTGTTTTTATTCACCAGATAATCTTTACCAATAAATTTTTAGTAAGTCTACACTTGAGAGGTATGAACATGGTGTTTTGTAAATAAAATATTCCCCAAGATACTGTTTATTTATGACTCTTTTCAATTCTCCTGTTGTTTTTATTTTTTTGTTTGTTTGTTTTTTGGGACAGGGTCTTGCTCTGTCACTCAGGCTGGAGTTCAGTGGTGTGAACATGGCTCACTGCAGCCCTGGCCTCCTGGGATCAAGCCATCCTCCTGTGTCAGCTTTCTGACTGTAGCTGGGACCACAGGCGGGTATCACCATGCCCACCTAATTGTTTTGATTTTTTTTTAGAGATTGCCTCTCATTTTGTTGCCCAGGCTAGTCTTGAACTCCTGGGCTCAAGCAATTCTCCCACCTCGGCCTCCCAAAGTGTTGGGGTTATTAGTAGCATTGTTAAACCTCCTGTTTCTGCTAACTTCCATTTTGTCACCCAGGTTGAACACCTGGTTGTCACAACATCCAGTCTGTCACTAATGTCTTTTGCTTCTACTGACAGAATATTTTCTTCTTTCTAATCTGATTGATTTTGCCCTTGTTCTGTTCCTGCCTTCCCCCAACCTTGGGTTCTTATGATAGCTTCCAATTAGGTCACTTGGACTGCAAGCTTAATGTCTCACAAGCCATCCTATACATCATTGTAAAGCCCAGTGATAATTGCACCATTTCTATGCCAAAAATTGTCAATGACTCCTCAGTGCCTAGGGAGTCAAGTGCTGGACCCCGAGTCTTTCCAATAATGTCCTCTGTGGCTAATGACCAACTACATTTCTAGGCTCAATTTCTGTTATTCCTCCTCACACATCTGCAAGAGTGTCGCAATCTGGTCAGATTTTTACTGTTGCCTGAACTTTGCAGCATCCTTGCCTTTGTATGTCCCTTTTTCTTTTCCAGGAATGCCCTTCCCTTTTGTTTTTATTTGTCTTGATTCCTTCTACTCTTCAAAAATTCAGTGAAAATACCATTCCCTACCACTTCCTTTCCTTTTTTCAGCTGCAAATGAGCTCTCCCCAGTTAGAACTGTTAGGGGACTGCACTCTCTCGTGACCTCATCACATTGCAACTTTGGCTTGCATGTCCAATCTTCCTCTTGATATTTTGAGCTTTTTGAGAACAAAAGTTGTACCTTTTACAAATAAACAGTATGATGTAGAAAACACGAAGTTGGGAGTTAGGAGACTTGAGTTCTAGACCCAACTCTGCAATTGACGGACTGTACTACTTTTGACAAATCACTCTACCTTAGTATTCTCATTTACAAATTGATGATTTTGTCTGAATCAGTACTAGTCTATGGAGAAGTTTTTTATGGTCCACTGAAAAATGAGAAAAATAAAGAAATATGGGTACTTTTATGAATGTAGACATTCAATTTAATAGACTATTTTATTTTGTCTTTCCTACTTTTTTGATATAAAAATGTCACTTATTTTATGAAATTATGAGACAAGAGAGAGTAGATAGATGTTAACTGTCTCCATTTGGTAGAATGAAAAATTCGGATGTAATGTTGATTGCTCAAATAATGGGAGGGGGATTAGAATTGACCTAAAAAATTCTGAAGCACATTTCTGTAATTCTAAGATATTTGCGTCTGACCTATATTGCATAGCACTGAATATATATGGTTGGCAAATGACTGAAATGAAACTGAATGAATGATTAGCCAACATGACTCTACCACTGGTTTCTTTATATATCTGTGGTTCTGTTTCTTTGGGTGTAAGTAGTAGTAAAGAGAGCTTTTCTATTTTCATGGAATATGTTATGCTTTTCTTTCCCCATTTTCCATTCCTTCCTTCCATCCTTGCTTACTGACCAATAGACTCTTAGGGCTGCTAGCATACTGAAGTTATTATTACTATTATTGGCTCTCTATGTGCCAACTTGGCAGGCCTATGGCAGAGAGAAAGGTGTAGCATGCCCAGAATCTCTTCAAAGAGAATAAAATGGTAGATGTGGGAATAAAGGTGACTCAACACTTCATGCTTTTTCTTAGAAGAATCTGATGCCAACATATCCTCACAGAATTAGCAAGAAATTTCCATTGCAAAGTCTTTGTCTTCTCTGGGGGAAAAAGAATGCTGAACGTTGATTTTTGTTTTCGAACAGGAAACTAGATTTCAAAAAGACATGGCCTTGTTTTCCCAGGTAACACAGTCTTATTTCTTGATGAGAATTGGCTACATGAACCAGATAGGAAGTTGGAAACCACAGCCAGGTTTGTGTGAGCAAATCCAATAGGATTTCTGAGCCACTCATTATGGTCTAAACTAGAGAGCCATTTTGCTGGCTCAAATCAGTGTGGAATCTTTTTCATATGGGCTAAGGTTTTTTGTTTTGTTTTGTTTTCCCCCCTATGGAAAACCTTTCAAGCAATATAGTATGAAATAAAAATAACGAAGAGTGTTAATAAGAGAAGGCCCCTTCAGCCTTCGTGCTGTAAAACCATACTCAGGATATTCAAGTTTCATTTCCTTTTCAGGTTGTGCTATTTATGTCTGCCTGGTGCACTGTGAAGTATACCTCATTTATTAACTGCCTCCATGTTACTAGGCAAGAAGTCCGTGACAATGATTAACATTAATGGTGGCAAGTCGGCAACCACCCCCTTATGTGCCTCAGTGTTCTATAATTCAAACTACACAAATTAGTATAAGGTTATGGAAATAAAATCAGTAAAGTAAAATGCTTTTACAACCTCTGTATTTTCCCTGTCTTCTCATTATCACTGGACAAAGTTTGGACATGTAGACTAGCAGACTTGTTTTAGTCGCACAGGAGATTACTAATAGACCTTGTTCTATTAGTATAGGATTTTTGTCTCTAATGCCTCCAGTGAAAGCAAATAGAATCAAGAGCATTGTTTGGTCTAGATTCTCTGAAGCTTATCATGGTTTTGGGACTCTTGATCCCTGGCTCTCACATCATCATTTATTCATTCACTTGCTCATTGAATAAATATTCAATGAGCATGTCACACTAGGTTCTGCTTAATTAAATGGTATATAAAATAGACATGGTTCCTACCTGTGGTCCGGGGGGAGTTACATTTAGTAAACATGTAAATACAAAAATACATGTGTAATTACCAATTGTGTTAAGAGCAAAGATGGAATTTAAAAGGATGCAGTTAAGAAGAGTAGCAGAAGTATCCTATTTTGGAGAGATGATCAGAGAAGATCTCTCTCAGGAGATAATATTTTTGACTGAGGCTTAGGACGAGGAGTCAGCTATGTGCAAAGTAGAGAAATGAGCATTTCAAATTTGGTTGTAGAGCAAATGTGAGTGGCCTGAACACAGAAAGAGCTTGGCACATTCCAGAACTGGGAGCATCTCAGTCTGGCTGAGTTGCTCAGTCTGTCCTGAGCCTGTGGATCAAGGCAAGGGAGTGTGAATGGGTTGGAGAGGCAGGCCAGAGTAAGGGCCTGCTGGCTCTGCAAAGCTAGACAAGGAATTTGGATTAAATTCTGAGCGGTAGTGGCCACTAAAGAGAATGACATGGTCCAGTTACATGTTAACGAAGACCAAATGGGGTGCTGGATAGAGAAGAGATTGTACAGGGACGAGAATGGAAGAAAGGAGTTCAGTTCTAAGGCTACATAGAATAGTTCAGTCAAGAGATGATGATGACATGGGCTAAGGTTTCTGGAATATGTGTTATTCTTTCCCACTTTGATATTCATGCTTACATAGGGCCTTTCTTTTAAAAATTTTAAATTAAATTTTATTTTAAGTTCCACGACACATATGCAGGATGTGCAGGTTTGTTTCATAGGTAAATGTGTGCCATGGTAGTGTGCTGCACCTATCAACCCATCACCTAGGTATTAAGCCCCACATGCATTAGCTATTTATCCTGATGCTCTTCCTCTCCTGCTCCCTGACAGGCCTCAGTGTGTATTGTTCCCTTCCCTGTGTCTATGTGTTCTCATCATTCAGCTCCCACTTATAAGAGAGAACATGTGGTGTTTGGTTTTCTGTTCCTGCGTTCGTTTGCTTAGGATATTGGCTTCCAGCTCCAACCATGTTCCTTCCAAGGACATGATCTCATTCCTTTTTATGGCTGTGTAGTATTCCATGATGTATATGTATCACATTTTCTTTATCCAGTCTATTATTGATGGGCATTTTGGTTGATTCCACGTCTTTGTTATTGTGAATAGTGCTACAATGAACATACACATGCATATATCTTTATAATAGAAGATTTCTATTTATTTGGGTATATATCCAGTAATAAGATTGCTAGGTTAAATGCTATTTCTGATTCTAGGTCTTTGAGGAATCCCTGCACTGTCTTCCACAATAATTGAACTAATTTGCATTCCCACTGACAGTGAAAAGCATTCCTATTTCTTCACAGCCTTGCCAGCATCTGTTTTTTCTTGATTTTTATTTATTTATTTTTATTTTTTATTTCTTTATTTTTTTTGGAGACAGAGTCTTGCTCTGTCATCCAGGCTGGAGTGCAGTGGTGCAATCGTAGCTCACCATAGCTCCCACTTCCTGGGTTCAAGCAATTCTCTCGCCTCAGCCTCCCAAGTAGCTGGGACTACAGGTGCACACCACCATGCCTAGGTAATTTTTTGTATTTTTAAGTAGAGATGGTGTTTCATCATGTTTCCCAGGCTGGTCTTGAACTCCTGAGCTCAGGCAATCCATCTGCCTCGGCCTCCCAAAGTATGAGGATTGCAGGCATGAGCCACCACGCTTGGCCTCTTGACTTTTTAATAATCGCCATTTCTGACTGGCGTGAGATGGTATCTCATTGTGGTTTTGATTTGCATTTCTCTAATGATCAGTGATGTTGAGCTTTTTTTCATGTGTTTCTTGGCCACATAAATGTCTTCTTTTGTGAAGTGTCTGTTCATATCCTGTGTTACATAGTGCCTTTCTTAAGAAATGCTTCCTTTGTCCTTTTTCCTTCTCTTGTGTTTTCATTAAAATCCTACACATCTTTCAAGGCCTAGCTCACATGCTGTCTCTAACATGAAACCCCAGAGCCCTTCAACATGGAGTAATTCCTACTTCGTCTAAGCTTTCAGGGTACTTTGCCTTTATTGTGAACTTTATGACCTTCTTTTTTATATTGTAATTGTTAGTGCACATCTGCTTCTTTCTTCTGGATTATAAGCTCCTTGAGGAAAAATGGATGACACACAGCTATACACTGGCTGTACACCATTCTGTCACCTGTGTTGCTTGTCACACTGCTTTGCACACAGAAGGCACTTGATGATAAATGATAAGTGGCACAACCACTCTCTTCATAAAGCTCCCTAATTCTCACATTAAAAGCTTTAAAACAAGTGTACAGATATTGTTTTTTTCTAACACTTGAGACATTTGCTATTAAATTTCCATGCATACCCATTGGCCTGGGATCCAATGAGCTGTGGGAAATATATTTTTAACCATTTCCCCCGGGCCCATGAAGTAGAGTGCTGTTATATTTACAGGGGTCTGTGGAGACCCCCAAAACATGGTATCACAGTCATGTGTCAGAAATCCCTATCATAAATGAGTTGGACAGGATAAACCAACTTGAAAGAGAAAATAAAATATTATAACTCCAACTTGAAAAGAAAATATGGTGCATGGTTTATTGCTGTGGATTATGGAGGAAGAAAGAACTGATTTTCGGTCAAACACAGAAAAGCAGTGACACTCTTTAAACTCAATACAGTATTCATATGGCAGACACTCGACTTTAGAAAGCCAAACCTTTAGACTCCTGCTATGGTCTATAAAATACATGTAAAATTGCTTTTGCTACATTGTTGGTGCTGCATAATTAGTGTGCAATTTTAAAGGCAAGGAATATTTAGGAAGAAAATAACCTTGAAGCCTGGAAGACTCTTTCAAGTCAGAGTCTGTTTGTCAGAATCTCACATTGCTTTGAAAGACCTTTAAAGACTGCGGTCTTGGGAAATTCCACTCTGATAAAATGAGGTGAAAGAGAACTAGGAAAGATTTGCAATGTAGGAAACAACTTTAGCTGTCCTAGTGATACGTTCTACAATTATCAAAAATATGAAGATGGTCTTAAATAATGAGATTCCCTTATTTCTAGAATCACCTTGCATTGGGAGTGCCTTCCTTCCTTCCTGAGCTCCCTAGCACCTATGCCTAAGTCTCCATTGCTTGCATGTAGTGAGTCATTAACAATTCAGACACAAAGGTACCAAGGCTGAAAGTGGAAACACTAGAGTGCATGTGACATATGTTGTTCAGGCTTGTTCTAGTCTACAGGCATGAGGGCAATATATACAACCATGGCAGGGTTTGCCAGAACTAAGATAGGATGCAATGGATGGGGACTTATGCATTGAGTGGGGGTTGAACCACATGGCCCCTGAGGACCAAGCTGGTGACACAATTGGATGTGCTAGCTTGGTCAGCCTTATGAAACTGGCTCTTTGTTTCTGATTTGCTTGTGAGTCTTGGAGACTGGATAACATGTACTGCATCCTGCCCCATTCAGTCTCACATTGTAGATTTTCCTTTGGGTAAGACCCTGGCAAAAGTCTGCTTTTTCTGTCTTCTACATGAACATTTCAAGTCATTAAATGAATAATTTCTAGTGGTAGGAAAGGCATGCCTTCAGTGAAATGGCAAATGCAGTCAATTTTTTGGGTCTTTCAGGCTAAGGCAGATTGTCTTGTGGTCTGATTCCACCTAACTGAATTGACTGAGTCCATTATTAATTATTAACTCACTTACACATCATTTGTTTACTCACTCATTCAACAAGCATTTTTTAAGTGCCTCCCGTGTGTCATGTACCATGGACGTGACCATTGACCAATTTTCCATTTCAATATCTGTCTAGGCAAGTGATTTACCACCACTCTGGGGCAAGGAAGGTGAGTAGGAGAGAGTTTTTAGAGTCACATACTGGGCAAATTTTAGTTTTTATAGAGAAGTGAGTCGGGTGGGTCAGACATCTGTGTGCCAGGCCAAGTTCTATATCCAGCTTCAAATTAAATCTTGAGCTGAAAGGAAATTAAATAAAAGCAACAACTGTTATTAAAAAAGTGATTTTTGTAATTTTCTAGGAGTACTAAGAAAGAAATCAGTTAATATAAAAGCAATTCATACTTATTTGTTTGTTTCCAGATTACCAGATTAAAAATTGACCGAAACCCTTTTGCTAAAGGATTCAGAGATTCTGGGAGAAACAGGTAAGAATCACTGGGGAAGAGGCACTTCTTTTCTATGTGACATTACTTCCCTCACATCCTGCTGATGGTTGATGGCTCCTGCCTTTTAGAAAACACCTGTATGCTCCGCCACTGTGTACACTTCGGCAAAGAGAAATGGATAGCTAACGTAAGAATCAAATTCTTTGTTGCATAGTCTAAATCACCAGATCAAATCCCTCATGCTGTTTTCTTCCCCACATCATATTTAGTAATTGAGTCACTTAAAACAAATTTTATGGTAATTTATTATCATTAAAAGATTGCCATTTTTCTCTGATAAGTATCTATAGGTGGCTTCAGCACCTGCAGTGATATCTCATATATTTCTCATTCCCAGGAAACAAGGAGTTGTAGACAAATAACATTTTTTCAGAAAATTACTACCTTAAGAGCTAAAACAGTGTGAAAAAAAATGTAACTGTTTTTCTCCTGGGAAATAGTTCCAAAATATATCAGATGCTTCCTGCTTTAGAAAAGAGAGTTTACAGAACACCCCTTTCTTGATGACTTAGCCTCAGTCACTATGACTAGGTTATTATATAGTGAATCTCTTATTGCTGAAGTTTATAGGACCATTTGCTCCTGCTATAAATGTCCTTAGAGACTGTGTCATTTCTCTTGTTGATACTTCTTTCTTTTCTCGAAATTCTTTCTCACTCCTCCTATATAAAATTAAAAGCTGTTACCTATGGAAAGTTAGGAGAGAATCAAAATGGGTAGGGAAACCAGCTATATCTAAGATTATTCAATCAGAAAATTTCATCTTGTATAGACAGTATTGAATCCACAAATGTGACACATCTGTCTCATAAGTGCGTAGGCTTTGCAATGACTGTTTATTTTAATAGATTTTTTTTTTTTATAGTTTGAGGGCATTTATTTACATTCAAATGACAGATTACCAGGGGTTATCTTTGGTATTCTGTCTGTAAGAATTTTCAAATAAACCAAAAACTTTTATTTCAAACCATTTTGTGAAATGTGCAGTACATTATATTAAAATCCAGATTTATGCTAAAAATCAGTTATGGCAATCATTTTCTTTACAAAATGACTTATGAATCACTTCTCTACTAAACTTATGTATATTTAAAATATATTTAGATTTGAATAAAATGGTATTCACCTCAGAATTTTTAAAAATTGTATGTACTGAGAAAAGTAAAAATCACTCAAAATTCCAGCTTGTAGACAACAAAATTGAGCAATATATTTTTGGTCAAGCAACTACTTGTTAGTGGTAGAGCGTAGTAGAACTCAGGCTTATGGACTACATGTCAAATGCTCTCCTTTTGATCATTCTTTGTTTATAACAAGACAAAGGCCGTCATTTTCAAAATTTAGCCAGTGAGGAATGAATACCTACTACTTTCATTTCAGATGGCCCATCCTCTTCCTTCCCATTAGCTTATTTTACATGTCCAGGTCAGCAGAATGTGCTTGCAAGCCATTTCCTATTGCCTTTTTTTCCAAGGTTCTGCACTATGGGCTAACAGAAGACCTTGTTAGTGATAAGGAGATCAAAAATGAAGCTAGCCTTTTGTAAAGAAGCCTCTAGACCTGTCTTGGTGGTGATTCTTTGGGGCAGGACTTTCATGACAGGCTATTTCTGGAGGTAGGCCATGGCATGCAAGGGCTTTTAAGACCTTCAGCTTGAAGTACATGGATAGATTTTTCAGGGGTTCCAGATATTGTAGGTAAAATTGTGTTTGAATGAATAGATGCACATTTTTCCTGGAGAGAGGTCTATATCTTTCTTCAGATTTTCAAAAAGTCTTAAAGTTAAGAATTTCTGCTCTAGATACAACTCTCTCTCTCTCTCAAGGGTTCCAACCTACTGGTGTTAGTTATTAAACTATTTCTTTCTTTTTCCTTCCTTCTGTATCTCCAATAGCATTTAGTATTTGCTTATTTTATTCTTGGCACTTGAAATATTTTATTTTCTTTGCTTTTTTCTCCCATTTGAGTCATTGTTTTTCTGAGTTTTTATTCGTTTTTCTAAAGTTGAATTTGATTTCTAAATAAGTGCTTTCCTATGAGCAGCCACCCTATCCTTGGAAATTGCCATCTGAACATACTTTAACCATTTATTGTCTGCACTGCAAAGGCATCAAGAAATATGTATGTCAATTATTGATAAATGCAAAGAAGAAACATAAATCAGATTAAGAGGTAGAGTGAGAGTGGAAGACACTTTTACAGTGTGAATAGGGATGGTGTCCTGATAAGATGCCATGAATGTTGCAAAAGAAGCTACCAACTATGCACTCTGGGCAGTAGAAACAGCAAGTGCAAAGACAGACGTGTGCCAGGCATGTCTGTGCAACATCAAGGAGGCCCTGTGGCTACAAGGCGTGACCCCTGCCCAGGAACATGACTGAGTATCATGAGAATGAAGGTGCTGAGGCATGATTTAGAACAGAAAAGTAGGCTAGATAAGCTAGTGTTGACCAGCATTAGATCTATGTTGTAGGAATTAGAGCCACTCTTTAACTTTGAGAATTAGACTGTTGCATCTTGAAGGATTTGCTTTTGGTTAGGAATTGTGATGACATCTCAGTTCAAGTGCTGAGGCCCTCGTTCCTCTACTGGCCTGAAGGCTGGTGACTGTCTTACTGCTCAGGGCAGACAGTTATGTGTGTGTCCTTCCTAATGGGCTCTATTCTCTCTAAGGGATTCAGGAAAGCAGAACTATGGATCTTCGTTAATCCATTTCACAGCATTATTTATTTATTCTTTTCTGATACCATGGGAATTCTTCATTATGTTCCATCAAAATCTGAGGGCTACTTTAAGTACTATCAGAAATTTTATCAGTTAACTTACTGTGTTCCAGACCTTTAATTACGCTTTCTCTAATCTTCAAAACAACTCGTATTTTACAAATGAAGCAATTGAGGCTCAGAGAGGTTAGGCAGTTTTCCTACTGTCACAAAGTAAAGCTGGAGCAGGTATTAAAACCGACTCTGCCTGACTTCAAAGCCTGAATGGTTTGTGCTTTATCATGCTAACAGTTTACACTTGACTTATTTTATCTTCAACAGATATTGAGAACAGAATTCTAACTCTAAAAGGCAGAATCCTACCTCTTAATCTGTGTAAAAACACTATTCAAGTCACCTAGCACCTTTGCTTTTCCAAGTAAATCAAACTGTATATTCTCAGTTTGTCTTCGTAGTCTACTCCCCATGACTTCTTTATCAACTTTCTATCCCCATGTAAGTAAGTGTTTTCCTAGTAGAGAACAGGAAGCCAGCCTGACCTTCCCTAGCAGGTGAAACTATGATATAATGACATTGAAGTCATGTGTCTCATGATGGGGCAAGGATGAATTACTAAAGATAGAAGCCATTTTTGTCCTTCAGCATTCTGGAAAACTAGATTAAAATAAATTGCTACGGCAAGTAAGGGGACCCTTGTATTTTTCTCTTTAAATATCTCAAAATTACCTGATAATCACACTTTAATTCTCACTGGCTACCCACAGGATCTGATAAGGGCAACAATTATTAATGCCACCTTGCAGGTGGGAAATATTGATAGATGAGGATACAGAGAATTATTTGCAAATCTTCTGGGAACTGGTGGTTCTGTGCCAGAATCAGGACCCAGTTCACCACCTTCCATCAAGCACCTCATCTATTGCCCTTCTGTGGTAAAACAACAACAACAACAACAACAACAAAAATCTTGTAAATCTAAGATCTTCCCCATGCATTTTAGACATCAAGTGACTACTCATGCAGAGGAGCATGGTTTGATGAGTTGCATGTAAATGTACCCAAAACATACGGATTACATTTCCTTTAAACACACATGGGCTTAAAAATTAGGAGGGAAAGTGCTTGTCCAATGTTTTTTGGTTTTGCAGAACACAAAACATTTGTGGAAGACTTTGGAGTTACAGAGTTTGCCAAACCTCAAACCAAAACATGTTCAGGTTTGTCAATCTCAATCCCTCCTAGTACAATCCAGAGGCTCAAGAAGAGGGGAATGAGAGGAAAGATGGGGAGGACACAGCCACCCACAACACTCTCCTCAAATGCCTATGAGAGTCTCTCTCAGCCCATAAGCCTCTCACACTCAGAACCATCCGAGTGTAGCCCCCTGGCTGACAACTATGTCCTCCGAAGCATAGAAAAGAGTGCTTGAGGGACCTGTGGCTGAGCATACTAGCTTCCCATTTTTCATATGTTGATGTAAAGAGACATCTGGCAGGGTGCGGTGGCTCATGCCTGTAATCCCAGCACTTTGGGAGGCCGAGGTGGGTGGATCACGAGGTCAGGAGTTTCAGACCAGCCTGGCCAACGTGATGAAACCTTGTCTCTAGTAAAAATACAAAAATTAGCCGGGCATGGTGGCGCGTGCCTGTAATCCCAGCTACTGGGGGCGCTGAGGCAGGAGGATTGCTTGAATCTGGGAGGTGGAGGTTGCAGTGAGCCGAAATCATGCCACTGCACTTCAGCCTGGGCAACGGAGCGAGACTCCGTCTCAAAGAAGAAAAAGAAAACAAACAAACAAACAACAACAACAACAACAACAAAACAGAGATATCCATGGAGAAGTCCTCCTGGCTTCCAGCCCCATCCCTTTCTCATTCCTCTCAATGGGAACCAGAATGACTGATCTGATTCATGAGTCTGGAGGAAGGAACCCCCCAGATTCTTGCCTGCTTGCCTGCAGAACATACATTCCCAGCTGTCTTTTCATTATGTGGAAAGTCTAGCAGAGGAGGCCTACATTTCTGGGGCATCAGCTTATTTCAGAGGAGTTCAAGCCAGCTCATTCAGCCTTCTCGCTTATGCCACAACCCCCAAACACCTTTATCTATAGTAAAAATGGTATTCTGGTCTCCATGGCATTAGGCTCCTGTGCCTTCCACAGAATAGATTCTGAGCTTGGGTGAAACAAGAGGTGATATTCATTGGACTGTGTAAGACCCCAAGGGGAGCCCCAGTGAGTCCACATTTCAGTCCTGTGGTGCCACCATCATTAGAGCCTATTGTAGTTCTCCCTGCTTCTTTAGGAAGTGTCAGGTGAGAAGCATAGGAAGGTCTCCACCCTTCAGACTTGACTTATGGAACTGCTACTTTCCATTACCAAGTAATTAAGCCCCTGATGAGAAGTCTTCACTGGGAGCATGCATGCATGTGTGTGTGTGTGTGTGTGTGTGAATGTTGAGTGTGCGTATGTGTAAGTAAACCTGTATATGTGTGAGTGTGTGTCTATGTGTGTATGTATAAATATTGTAAGTATTCATATATGTGTGAATGTGTGTGTGTGTGCAAGTATAAGTATACCTATATATGTGTGAGTGTGTGTGTGTGTGTGAGAGAGAGAGAGAGAGACAGGAGTAGGTGTACGTGTGTGTTCACGTCGTGGGGAAGCATAGCAGATGGCCATTTATTCTGGAGTGAAATCACTGACAGATTTTGCTTCCAGGCATTGTCTCTGCAATAGGAGGGAAATTGTTTTATTTTCTTTTTTCTAAGTTGTTTCTACTTCTAGATTTCTTAGAAATTGTGTGGCCCAAATCTGGTTTTGGGTGTGTGTGTGGGATGGGGGCAGTGTTCACCTATTATCAGGCCTGTAGCTGTCAGGCACAATATCCAGGGTTGCCTCTGGGAGATTTCTCTTACTTGGGGAGACAGTAACACTTGCCTGTTTTCAGGGAGAAATAGCTTTTCTCAGCTTGAGATTTTTTTTTTTTTTTTTTGGTCTTGTGCTCTGTGTTCCTGGGCTCTGCCCCCTACTAGAATATAAGCTCCTGGAAGACTGGGACTGTACCTATTGCAGGTTTCTGTTCTTGTATTTTTTTTCCATGGTGCCAGGAATAGAGAATAAAACAATAATTTTTCATTTAGCTACAAAACAGTAAAAAGGTGTTGATGAATGGCACAGAAATTAAAAATCAGGAGCTCTAGAGAAAGAAAGCCCTATCCCAGCCAGGGGGAAATCAGGTAGGTCAGCAGTGAGGAGCTAGTTTTGAACACCACATAAGGAGGGAAGAAGGAGCAAATCTCTAAATAGGCTTAGTTTAAAGATTAATGGCAATTGTGATTAAAATCGGAGACTGATCACTGCTGTAAGACATTGATTTAGCCTAACTGTAGATTAGACACACACACCCTTGAGACCCTCTGATCTGGCTCTGGGTAGCTGGGGCATGTCTGTGTGTTCTGGCTCCCTGGAGAAAGATACCTAGCAATTTTCAGTGCCTGCGAGCTTCAGGAAAGAAGTGGTTCCCAGAGACTGAGCTAAAGCAGAATGAGGTTTGGTTGAGAAAGGACACCCAGTAGTGAACCAAGAGGTAAAATTATGTCTTTGAGGTTGGCCACCCCAATGGGGAACCTGCACCAAGGAGAAGACAAAGATCCTGAAGCTAAAGAGGAGCAAGAGTCTTTGCACTGGGTCTAATTGTTGAGAAGCACCTATGGGAGGTGCATGTGCACACATACCTGGAGAGTCCACTGTGCTCAGCTAGAGGGAGCATGACAACTGCCAAGACCCTGCACATGAAAGAGATAACCAAAGAAGTGGAAAGAAAGAGACTGCATCTTTCATCCCACATCTGATGTGAAAACTTCTTCCTATCAAGCCATCCTTGATAGGGTGGCTGCCAAGATTTTACAGAAAGCACAAGTCAGCTTGGAAAATTTTATATAATAATTCTCAGGGACTTCCTCCAAAGCAAACACATACATAAAAATGAGATTATTAAGGTTGTGGTCTGTCTGAGTAGTGAAGGGTTCTATGAACTTGTCTTAAAAGTGCTATGGAGTGAAAGACTCTGGGATTTCCTCTGACGGAGCCTTCATCCTGTCTGTGACCTTGGGCTTTACCCTTACTCCTAGCCTCCATTGCATCTAGTACAGCTGCAGGTGGGACTGTCCCATCTGACACAGTTTCCTCCAGATATTTCCAGCTGGTATGGCACCCCAAAGCCACTGCTGTTGGTCCCATGATAGGGCCCAAGTGGAATGGCCCTTCTGTAGCCCAGGGAATTGGTACAACTTTTTAGGAGGGTATGTTTTTCTCTTTCGAATCCACCATTGGAAGCCTGAGCCAGAAACTCAAATTCTATAACTTAGAAACTGTCAGAAAGGAGCCAGTGGCAGGCTCTGTATCACAAGGAAGTTGTTTTATATGGGTAAGTAGTTTTAATGAATTGCCCCTCACTGAAGAAACAATAGGGCTTGCAGGATGAGGTGCAAGAAGAAATCTGAGTCTCAGTTCATTCTTGGAGTGTTTGCAGCCAGCAGTGCTGTTTGCTGGGAATGTGGCTGGTGGCAGTCCTTCTTGGTGCCTAGTGTCCTTTTACATAACATGTCAGAGGATGCTGATCTAAGACTGGTGCCACTCACTGCATTACGGGAATGGATATATTTGCTCACTGAAAGAGAATGTTTAATGAGGTTGATACTTAACCTGAGAGAAATAATTTCTGTCTAGGGGAGGTGGAGAAAATATCTGGGAGTAAAGAACTTTCCCATGACCCCCTCTTCAGCAGCTGCTGTCCCATGGCCATGTTTATAAAGAACCACCTCTCTTGGGCACAAATAGGCGTCCCCTGTTGGAGGGCCAGCCCCTTCTCACAACACCCAATGGAAGGTGGAATGTAAGATGAGGAATCAAAGTGCCTAATATTAGCAGAAGGAAAAGAAGGGACGAGGAAAAGTAGGCTAGAAATTAATCCCAGGGCCAGTTTGTTTTTGCTGAAATCTGAAACAACTTGTCATTGGGGGTGGGAGGAGAAAGGGTATACAGAGGATCTCCGTTAAAATTTGCTAATAGAGCTCTCTATTATAACCAAGTAACTCAAATCTTATCTATACCTTTATCTATTAAGTTAAACATAGAAAATTACTGTATTTATAGGTCAAAAATGGCAAAATGCTAGCAATTTCATACAGTTTAACCTCATATATTTATTGTTAGCCATTCAAATCATAAGTATACAAGCAATAGTAACAATTATTTCACAGAGTATCTGTGGTCCAAGTTGTCCATTTTTATCTCCAAGTTGATGACGTCAATGCACTATTTCCCATTTTACTGATGGTAAGACTGAACACCATGAGGTATTAGCTTTCAGAATTTGTAAATCCAGCTAATGACAGTGTACAGAGAATGGTTTCACTCTCTTCTGCTAGGCATAGCTTGCTAGTTAACAGAAATTGTATCTTTGTCCACCTCTGGCTCCCTGTCACTCCTGAAGACTCATGTAGTGAGCTTAGAGCCAGTGAACTGACCACTTGTCTTTAATTCAACCAGCATGACATCTCAAGTGTCTATCTCACTTTCAATTTCTATATTTTCATTTGGTTTCCCTAAAGCCATTGGGTATATTTGTCCAGCCAATCTCTTTCTACTCTTTCCTGGCACTCTTACCAGCCCCCCAAAATTTTGCAAACCCTTTTGTTATCCCTGGCATGGGTGGCTTATGCCATTTAGCAGATCTATGGAAGTAATCAGTGCTGGACACTCCAGCAGGCACTACTGCATCTACAATTCAAGGTAGCTGGCCCTGTGCTGGATTCTGGCAGATGATCCAGCTGGACTCCTGCTTTTCATGCAGGCCATAGCTGTTTATCATATTCTTTGGCTTGTAGTCTTTTATCCAGTACTTAACATTTTTTCTGCCTTATTTGTTCGCCCTCCCTTGTCATGAGCCTTTTCCACCATTGTCCTCTTGGCTGTGTGGCCTTGCCAGAGAAAATTGGCGATCATTTTGTTATCTGTGGCTTTTGCCCAGGGATGGTGTCATCGAACAGAGAGACGTCTTTTTAATGGCTAACATATTGGAGTCTGAAATATCTGCAAGATAATGAGGCCTAGAGGGACTTGAGGGACACGTTTTTGTTTCTTTGAGAAGACAACGAAAAATGGAATTAGGTACCATACAGCTCCCTCCACATTTAATCCAGAGCCAGAGGGCTGACAGAACTTTGGATTTCAGTGAAGTAAGAGTATATTCTTCTATTATAGGTTACAGTCTGAGGAGAATGATTGTAATTCTTTTGCTTGAGTTAGACCAATGGTCCTCAAACTTTCATTATGTTTTCTCTCTTTTTTTGATACATTTTGTCTTTAATCAGTCTGCATTTATTAAATCACAGTTAGGAGGAAGTATTATGATTATCTCCATTTTACAGATAGGCAGACTTAGAAATGAAGAGGTTATATAACTTGGCAAAGGTTGTACTAATAGTCAGCAGGGTAGCAGTTTGAAGCCAGGTAATCTAGCCCCAGAGCCTGTGCTCTTAACCATTATGCTATTTTGTCCCTCATGTGATTTTAGCATTACTGAATTAAAGTTAGACAATTTCAGTCAAATGCAAAGAAACTTAATATTCTAGTTAGCCAACTTTGTATGATCATGGGTTATTACTACACTTATTGAGTCAATGAAAACTCTTTATGGACTGCCATTACTGCTGATTCATACTCCAAGGGAGGACAGGGTTCTTAAGTTGGGAATCACTTGGTAAGGAGCAATTTTAACTCAACTCCAGGCATCTGTCCATTGGACACTTGTTCTCCCAAACCATTGCAAGGCACATTAATGACAGCTACTTCATCATGTAGATATACTTATGGTACTATTTAACACCAAGTTTTGAATGATGGTTAGGTTTTTAGTCAATTTGCACACCTCTGCTGGGAGGTCTTTTAGAATATCCCTGGACAATAACATTCCTGAGTAATCTGGATATTTTGATCTGAGTAATTCTATTTCAGATCCAGTGAAGGAGAAAGAAGTATGGAAGGTTTGGCCTTACCTAAACCAAGCAAGAAAATCTATGAATGTTGAGATGTGATAATTATATCTGAAGGAACAGTATATTCTAGTTATATGTCCTTTCAAATACTAGAAGGGAAAAGAAAGGGGATCAGAGGCATAGCACCACCCATGGGACAAAATCTAAGCACCTGTCATGGAATAAATGCTCATGGTGTCTACTGCCCTTCTCCCATTCTGTACCCTAGGCTCCAGTCACCCTGAACTATGTCCCCAAAACATGCCTTCTCTTGCATACCTCCAAGTCTTTGCACATACTGTTAAGTCTACTAGAAAAACTTTTACTGACTCTTTTCTGGATGGAAAACTGCTGATTACTCTTTAATAGTAAGCTTAAATAACTGGCCTTTTGTGGAATCTTCCTTGACTTTTTCAGGTATATTAAGTGATTCTTGCCCAATATTCCATGGCATCTTGGCATACATGCCTTCAGTGTAACATTTACTGCATAGTTCAGAAACTAGTCATTTATATCTTGTTCCTTTTTTAAAAAACAAGACAGTCATAAAGGGTAGAGACCCTGTGTCTTTTCTGTCTTTATATTTCCTGAACTTAGTATTATAAGTATTTTTTTCTGGTTGGATAATTCTCTTATTACTTCAAGACCTCTGTCTCAGTAGGCTTCCCTTAGTCCTTTTCCATCTTCTACTGAGAAGACCAATGGCCTTATCAACCTATAGCATACGTTGTCTTTGTTACCAGTGTCACCAGCAAATAGTATGGGGAAGAGTAAAAATTAAGGAAGTCAGAACTAAAGAGAAAATAAACAAAGGAAACATTAAAAAGCAACTCCCTATCTCAAGACAAAAGAAAAGCAGAAATATGCATTGGAGTGCTACCAAGTAGGGTCATGAAATTTATTATAATTATTGTTGTACTTATCAAATATTTGCTGAACTTTGAAGGAATGATACTGCCATCTTTTTTGGATTGAAAATGTTGCAAGGATGTTTTTTTCTGTAGTCTGACTATTTTTCCAAATAAATTGATTTCAAGCCATCATCAATTTGCAAAAGAGGTCCTTGGCTTGCTTTCTCTTCTTCCTCTTTCTCCTTCTCTTCAGCACATTCTGTTGGTTTGGCTAGTGAGCAGCCTGAAAAGCCTAAAGAGAAGAGGCCTGGAAACCGGAGAGGTGATTACAGCCAAAGCACTGAACAAAGGTGGTTTGGATACGGCCTATGTTGTCAATGGAGCTAACAGGGAAAAAATGAGCAAGAGGGGGACACTTGCCAACTTGACCGTCTCTGATTGGAAATCTCAGAGATGACATCAGGTCTCTGCTGTTCAGCAGACCTGAGAGGCTCACCATGTGGAACACGTTAATGGCATACCATT
Source organism: Homo sapiens (assembly GCF_000001405.40). Lineage (NCBI taxonomy): Eukaryota > Metazoa > Chordata > Mammalia > Primates > Hominidae > Homo > Homo sapiens. Next base: position 118,902,956 of record NC_000001.11, on the reverse strand, counting down.
ACCTAGGACTGCTTTTTTCACCCGTTAGACAATGAATTCACTTTTAAAAACTTGGAGATAAAATTTTACAAAACTAGAGTAAAATGATGACAAATGAGTAAACAATGTGTAGCACAGGGTAAATTTTGACTAGACATCCAACTGGCTGAAGACGTTAATAGGTGGTTGGCAAGAACTCTCAAAAGAAAAGATGGGAGGTGAAATGACTCACCCCTGCAAGGGAACTCAGACTCTGCTGAAGCTCAGAAGTTCTATGGCTGGAATGGAAAAAGACAAGGAAAATGCAAACCTCTCTGAACCTGAAGTTAATAAAGGCACAATCGCAATCAGCTATAGAAACAATTCCCAAATCTCTAATACTGGAGGATGTCTTCTGTCTTCAGATACTTTATTTTACACCAAGTTGTGTTCCTAAGTTTTAGGCTTAGAAAAATGAATGCTTGTTAAAGTGTAAGAATGACTCAGCAATAAAGCATTCATTCTTCTACTTATTAATTCAATGCATATCATTTGAGATCTTATCCTGTAACCAGCACTGTGCTAGAAAACTGGGCATAGAAGAACATGGGACCTAAGCCCTTGAGATGCGACCATACTAGTGGTGGAGAGAGGTGAATTGTTTAATCTTGCCATGGCACTACACCAAATATTGATATATAGAACTAGTACCTTCTAATAATTAGATCTATCCAATGAAGCATAATAGGGTTGAGGACAAATAAAACAGGTAGAATATGGTAAATAAATAGGATTAATTTTTCTAAAAAGCAATACACACTGAATACATAAATAAAATCAATAATATAAATCTATGAGACCAATATTATTCTCTGTAGGATAATATATATTATAGGATCATTTCTATTATAGAATAATTTATATATATGCTATGTAGGATATATTTATAAGACATAGATCCACTGTGGATTAATAAGACATGGTTAGGCATGTATGGTCTTAGCCATTATTTTTTTGGGAGCCATAACCCTCCCCACACAATTCCACTACCAAACTGATCCTTGCTGTAACAGACCCCTGGATGGATTACATATGTGTCCATAGGTGGCATGTTGTTCTTTATGTTCGTTAGCTAAGGAAGGTCTCCCTGCTGAGGATGTGGCAGGTGGACTCCTTGTGGGAAATGCCTGTCACTCTCACTATTTACTTATTGGTAATGGAACCAGAGGGTGAAAGTTATATCAGATCAATCAAAAAACTGAAAATTTTCCTGGGGATATATATATACCAACAGAGGTGGATAACCATTCAAGATGGTGTCATAAGAGTTATAGTAGATGACATCCAAGATTCTTCCTAGATTTAAAATATGTGATTTTACAACTCAGTTCTTTTATTTGGATTTTAGATTTGAATTCATGAGTAAATAGTCACTATTCTATATAGAGTTAACTGCTTAAATAAAATAAAACTATTAACACTTTTGTCACAGTCTTCTTGCCTATTATGAAAATGAAACTGCTATGGTTTGAATATGTCCCCCAAAGTTTATGTGTTCCAAACTTAATCTGCAATAAAACAGTGTTAAGAGATGGGACCTTTAAGAGGTGATTAGGCTCTGAGAGCTGTGCCCCATGAATGGCTAATTAACACAGGAGTGTGTTCCTGATGAAAGAATAAGTTTGGTGCCTTTCTCTCTTGCTCTTGCCCTCTCTTGACCTTCCATCTTTCACCATGTATGACTCAGCACAAAGGCCCCTACCAGGTGCCAGCACCTTGCTCTTGGACTTCTCAGCCTCCAGAACTGTGAGCCAAATAAACTTTATTGTTTATAAATTACCTAGCATATGGTAGGTTATAGCAGCACAAAATGAACTAGGATAGAAAATGAAGTTCATTTTCTATTTATTCAACAAATAAAATATTGGCAGTGTATCAGTATATTATTGCAATTTCATAGTCTTCCAGCACTTCATTATGAACTGAGAAGGGACTGTTCTTTGTCCTTGAGCTAATATTTTGTCCTCATCATCAGTACATGTTCCTGGGAAGAATGAACTAGGAGGTGGAACAATAAAGACTCTGCCATTTTCAGTGAGCCTCCTGTGCCATTAAAGGGAATCCTAAGATATTCTGGTGGGTGGCCAACATTCCAAAACAAAGCAGTAAGACCTAAGCCTGGCCTATCTATTTCTTCTATCCATCCAGGCTCAGTGTGGCTTTATCTGCCTATCCCCTTATTATTCTGAACTCCCTAATTGCCTGGGCTCTTTCTCTCCACAAATAGTTTCATGTACTGTATTCAACATTAATGTAGAGTGACTATGTGGAGATGTCTCCTATTCCTACTTCTAACAGATTAACAGCTAATAAACACCATGTAACACTCTCTTCTCTGAACCTCTTCTTAAAATACAGAGTTTGGTTTGCCAACATTGGTGTATTTAAAGCCTCCAAGATTCCAGGGAAGACTTTAGAAAGTTAACTGTGCAAGTGAGGCCTGTTCAGAGAGGAAATTTTCCAACACAAAGAGTCAATCAGCGTATCAGCAGCTCATCTGAGAAGAACCTCAGGGTATCCTATAGTTGTTGATAAGTAAAGGATATTTGTTCTCACCTAAAATAAAATTTCTTTATTCTTGTTGTGTAAGGCTGAAGAGAACTCTGGAAATACATTACCAAGAAAGAAACACAGGCAGCAGAAGTTTCATCTCAAAAGGGGAAGCTAATCCATTTCAGGAAGGGATGCCATACCACCCACCTTCCAGTGACCTTGCAATGAAAAGATTTATGCCATCTGCTCTTTCCTATTCTCCTCCCACCTTTCTCACAGGTCCCACACTTCTCCTCTCTCTGTTTAGTTAAGTGAAGCAGTTTTTTTTTTAAAGAAAGATCAATAATTAGAAGCTGTGTTCAAAGCTTCAAACAAAGCCCCAGCTGATATTTTGTTTTGAGGGTATGGATATCATCAAGAATATGTCTGAGATAATCTCAATAATCATGTGAAAATGATGTATATCAGCACTTGCATATGTGTTAGAGACATAGTTAATTGAAGGGTAAAAAGACAGTATGCACATAGTCCAATTTATGGAATTTCCAATACAAATGAACCAGGAGCCTTAAAGGAATGTACTCGTAAAATGTTGGATACTTCCTGAACTCTGACAGTTTGTGATGGCCAAAGACCAGACTGATTATTAGGTTACTAAAATGCAGATGAATATTTGGAGAAATGTATTAGTCTTTTTGCCTGAGCCATAATTTTTGAGACCAAGCCCTTTCTTTATCTTCAGGTAGGTGTTTCTTATTGCAGCAGAAACCCAAGTCTATTTCACTGCTTACCTCTCCTTTTATTTCTGTTGCCCTATTCATCTCTGTTGATTTAAGAAGCCTTTAAAACCACAGCAGTTTGACAGTTCCATTCGTTCTGTACATACCCAAGGTGAGGAGTTGACTCTCGGTCAGGCTGTGTCAGTGCAGTGTGGTAATGATGACGACATTGTTCTGTGCTAGAGAAGCAGTCAATGTTACTTTCTGCACAACTGTACTCATGATATTAGTGGCCTTGACCTTTAATACTTACCATGCTTTTTTGCCTGCAGACCTAGCCTCATTTAAAGGAGGGTCAGAATAAAATTCCATCATAGTTGTAGATTTGCTTGCAAATGATCTGAATTGGGTTAATTTGTTATTCCCCCTGCAGTCCAGCATCATTGTACCTTGAGTTTTTTCACCCGAATTTACCTTGATGGTGGTAGCTTAGTATCTATGTTTTTATTACCTGTTTGACAGTCCACCTCTGGATCTCTGAAAAGTCAATGCATTTCTTGAAATTATTTATGACTTCCTTTGCTGGCTTTTCTCTTGTCAGAACTGGACTTGAAGCCATCATGGAGACATATGCATTCTGGAGACCTCCTGTGCGCACACTCACCTTCGAAGACTTCACCACCATGCAGAAGCAGCAAGGTAAAGCCCTGGAGCAAGGCCTCTGCTTAGTGATAGGGCCAGGGACAGAGTGGGAGCTCAACCGAATATAGCACATCTGGCCTCAGGCCAAGATATGGGTTATACCAATTCTCCTGGAATGAAGAGAACTCAGGAGCTCTGTAAATAACCAAAGCATCACCACTTGGGTAAACAAGCTGGTCCAAAGGCAGCATTTCATCTGGCACTCAAAATGCTCTCTCCCTTCCTAAGAGTGCAGTTATATATTTATAATGATGATGATATTATTATTAATATTGCTAAGCATTCACATATGCCTTGGTATTTGAAGAGATTTTTTTAATAACTTCATTTATTCCTCATGGTAGCCTTCTCAGTTTTCTTAGAATAAGAAAAGTTTCGTGATGAGCAAAATCTTAGCTCTGGACAATGGGAATAAATTGTATCAGGTCTCCAGGTGAGGAATGGGCTGCTGCAAGCCTATCTGGACCTTGCAACTTGTGTTCTTTCCTTTTTTGCTTATATAAAACAACACCCCTCTCAGTTGGTGGAATAAGTAGACTTTCCCCCCTACTGCTTTGAACTTTGTGCTTTTTATCCAATTTATAATTTTTCTTTCCTCGCAGCTCAGGTTGGGAAACCTGTGGCCAGATGGGTTGTGACTTATTTCAAATTTTCTCAGTCTTGTCTGTAGCTTTCCCAGGCATAGCACCCATATATTATATTTAACTTACCCTTTTCAGGGGAGCTTCTAACATTTTGCACACTGAATTAGGTTTGTAACCTAAATTGCTGAAATCTGTCAGGTTTTAAGATGAGTGTAGTGATTAAAAGCATAGACTCTGGAGTTAGACTAGGTCTAGGCTAGGCTCTTATCACTGATCCTTTCTAGCTTTGTGACCTTGGTCAAGTCCCTCAACTTTTCTGACACCCAGTTTTATCGTCTGCATTATTTGGAAAAGTAGAATCAAATAGAATTCTTGAATTAAATGAGATAGTGCATTTAAAATCATAGTAAGCATTTAATACAACTAGTTATCATTGTCTTCATCATCCTCATTATCTTCACCTTCAAGGCCCTTATGTCCCTGTATGTAGACACTTAAGCAAAGTTGTGTCAGGACCAAGGAATATTGCCTTTCTGACGATTAATTATTTAAAACATGATTAGACTATTCATTTTCACAGCGATCTGGTGAAGTAAGTGATCCAGAATTTCCATCTCTTTTATATATTCCTCCCTACAAAGCTGTGATTAGAAGCAGAGTCAATAGTTATTCAAGGTGTCACCATGGCTTTGAGGCCCTCACGGATGGCCATTAAGAGACAGGGGCTTAAAGAGACTCAGGAAAATCTAGGCCCCCGTCTTTGATGGTCATGAATTCTCTACATTGAGGCAATTTACTTCTATTCCTGCATGCCAGTATTCTCACCTACAAAAGAGGGATAATTTTTTGGTGTGAGGAAATTTATATAAACATGCTGTGTATACAAAAATGTGTCATTGATTTGATTTAGTTCTCTGGTGGCTTCTTTGCTTCTCTGCCCTTGCTTTACTCATTGCCTTTCCAAGCTCTAGCTAAGCAGGAGTTTGTATCATGGAGGCTGGTCGGAGAAGGTTGGCAGGGATATTGCCAGTTCCAGAGGGCAGGCATTAATGGCAACAATTGTGTTCAATGCTGTATCCCCAAGATCTACTACAGGGCCTGGCACCCAGTACGTACCCAATGAATAGTGAATGGGATCACTTGCTGGCACTGTGGCTCAGGTGGGCAGAGCCACTCTCAAACTTCTTCTTGGAGCACAACCACCTAATATGTATGTAGACATTGATAAGGAGTGATCATTGAGGGACGCCATTGGGCAGGCACAGACACAGGAAGCTTGCATGGGTTACTTAGATGTGCAGCATAGCAGGCTTCATGGTACTTATACTAAAAATTTACCAGTATGAAGGGTTATTATTGACATTTTGAAAACAATGGTTTCAAATAAACTGAACTTTCAAAACGCTTCAGTGACCCTCACTTTTATCGGAAGAGAAGAAAGAACTTGAATTATTGGATACATATGGTGATGGGATGGGGTTAGAGAAAAAGCCAGGACTCTATTAAATAGTTTAATTGGAATATATTTTTGAAATATCCATTGAAGTTGATCCAGATTCTCATTATTAAAAAATATGTGGCTTGGTTTCTTGACGTTAACAAAGGATGTAAAACCAACAACACCCATCCCCTCTTCCCTTAAGAACTAAGAGTTTCAGTGACTCTGGACAGTATCATGAATGAAGAGAAGAGACACAGCCATGCATGCTGAACTGCTTTGCATCTTAGAAGGAATAGAGAGGAATGAGCTTCTAGTGGAAACTGCAGTGGTAGGCTATTTTTTACAGCAATTCCCTTTTAATGAGGTGAGTATTGGCAGTGTTTGCACCAAACCTAAGATTGGTGCCAAATAGTGACTGACTTATCCAATTGTCCATATTACCTCATTGTTTCAGCATATGAGTATCTGTCATGTCACATAGCAGTCCTAGACAGTTTTGTGCTGCTACTGGTGAGGGTGGATCTGTCTTTCTGCATAGATGAGGTTAAGAATGCTTTTTTCATCCTGCCTTGGCTGCCATCTTTTATTTCTCTTGTCATTAAGACTCATCTGCTGATAAAACTTTGAAGAAAGCACTTAGGTAAATTCTCCACAGTTTTGCAAAAATTTAAGTCTTTTTATTTTTAAAATCACATTGAATGGAGTATTGTAAATAGTTGTTTAAGGAGAAGAATGCATGAGATTCATTATCTTCTGCCTTTGACACAAAAAAGAAACTGAGGCATGACACAGTCTAGTACAGGGGTGTCCAGTGTTTTGGCTTCCTTGCACCACATTGGAAGAAGAAAAATCGTCTTGGGCCACACATGAAATATACTAAAACTAATGATAGCCGAGGAGCTAAAAAAACTACAAAAAATCTCATAATGTTTTAAGAAAGTTTACAAATTTGTGTTGAGCTGCATTCAAAGCTATTCTTGGCTGCATGCAGCCCTTGGGCCATGGGTTGGACAAGTCTGGTCTAGTATCATATCTGTAGTTAAGTGGTGGCAGAGCTAAGTTCAGAGTACCAACGCAGATCTCTTATTTGACAGGACAGTTTCCTTTCCACCAGGTTACATTATTTTTCTTATTCTTTCTTACTACAGCTTTAATTTTCCACAAAGATTTTAGTTTGCTCTTCCTATTGATGGTTTTTATTGTTCAACAACTTGAGCATTAACTCTCAATAGGTCAATTTTTTTTTTATAAGTCAAGTATATGGTCTTCAGATGTCTTCAGTTAGACTCAAGGGTGTTTATGTGTTTGGAGAGTCCAGAGAGGCTGGAGGTTCTGGAGATGAAGATTCTACCTCAGGAATGGCTTTTGCCTGAACACTGCTAGTGACAAGGAGCAAATGAACTAACCAGGCAAGTTATGCTTGGAGAAAGTGACTGAGGAAATATAAACATAGAAGGAAAAGGAAATAAGAGTCCAGGTCAGTTATAACTAAATACAATGCAATCCTGTTGTTGTTCTGATGGATATACTTGAATAAAATCTGTGCCTCAACTTCCTCATGTATATAATGGAGCTATTTGAGTGGCCAAAACCGAGAGCTTTATCAGCAGTGACTTCAAGCTATTTGATAACTGTTGTTCTAAAAGGAATCATTCTGGACCAATGACACCAGAACTGCCAACTTTCCATCTGTGGACATGAGGGGATCCACCATTTACAAAAGCTCTCCATTCCCCAAGAGAGTTGGTGGACATCACTACCGAGTTCAGTACCATTGGGTGTTTCAGTGTTTGTCAGGCAGTTAAAGAGTTAGGATTATGAGGGTCTCTGTTGATGATTGAATTTTCATCAGTTTGACTTGTATTAGTTGAGGTTGGTTAGTGAGAGGGATCAGCTACCGATCAAGTCATACAAGTAAGATACTGGGAAAGAAGGACAATTTAGTGGACATGAGCCATTGAACTATGACGTCACTGTAATGATAAAAACATAGCTGATTTATACAGATCTCATTTATCACTGAGGTGAGGAATAATGCCCATACGTATGGCTTATCACATAGAATTTTTTTTAAAGCACTCCCTTTTTAGCTATAGGAGAGCAATATCCTAATTCTGCACTATAATCATGAAGAGCTCCTGATAGGGGGTAGGGAGCATCTCAATTCAATCCATTAAAACAAACAGTAATTGATTACATATTTTGTTTTGTCCCCGAAGTTCCTTATGCTCAGCATGTCCAAAACTGAGTTATCATCTACCTCACAGCCTGGTGCCCTCTCCATGGGGAAGGAGAACACTTGATATCCCGGAAGTTTCCCTCCCTGCCCTACCCCCATGCTCAACCATTACTAAGTTCTTAAATCTGTCCACATCTCTAACCTTCCTTGTTACCATGCCACTCTGCACTGACGTCACCTCTCACTGCATGACCTTAATGTCTTCCATAGTTTCTACATTTTCTTCCAAGCCATTCCTCATGTAGAAATGAGAATCATTTTTTTCAAAACACACATCTTTGCACCTCAACCTTCTATCTCCAGTCTGCTTAAAGCTGCTCAATGGCCACAGTTTACTTTCACCTATGAAAGACATATTCCTTAACATTGTCGCTAGACCTTGCATGTTCTGGCTTTTGCTGCCTCACCTCTAAAATAGGGATAACAACAATGAGGATTAATGAATGTAAAGTGCTTAGGAAAGAGCCTAGGATTTACTGAGTGTTCAAAAATGTTCTCTATGATCATCCTCATTATTGCTATTATTACTACTCTAGCTTCAGCCTATATCACCTCCCCTCGTTCTCTCTGTTGTTTCAGCATCACTCATCTTACTTCCCTTTCTCAAACATGGTGTGCTCTTTCCTGCCACGTTGTTCTCTTTCTCTGGAAGGCTCCTTGCTACCCACTTGCCTTCTTAGTGCTTAGTGCTATCTGTCTTTGAGATCACAGCTTAAATATGACTTCCTTGGGGAAATTCCCTGCCATCCAGAGTAGGCCAAGTATCCTTAAGGTGAGCTCTTGTTTATTTGTGTCATTCTTTCATTAATGTCTCTTATCCACATTTTTCTCACTATTTTTTTCCCGCATGATTAAATCCCTGGATCCAAACACTCCCTGTTGGTTGAGTGTATATTTAGTACTCAAATAGTGATTGAATAAGTGAATAAACTCTGCTAGGTTCTGTATCATAGGGACTAATGTCAATGTGTTTGGCAAACATTAACCAGAGACAACTTTAGGATAAAATTTGAAGGGCATGATGATTAGAAAAGAAAAAAGAAGAAAATAAGTTTTGTAAAGGATAGTGAAGAAAGTACTCAAAATTCTTTTATTTTCCTTCCTTCCCTCCCTCCCTTTCTTTCTTTCTTTTTCTTTCTCTCTCTCTTTCTTTCTTTCTTTCCTTCCTTCCTTCCTTTCTTTCTTTCCTTCCTTCCTTCTTTCCTTCCTTCCTTCCTTCCATCTTTCTTTCCTTCTTTCTTTCTTTCTTTCTTTCTTTCTTTCTTTCTTTCTTTCCTTCCTTCCTTCCTTCCTTTCTTTCCTTCCTTCCTTCTTTCCTTCCTTCCTTCCTTCCATCTTTCTTTCCTTCTTCCTTTCTTTCTTTCTTTCTTTCTTTCTTTCTTTCTTTCTTTCTTTCTTTCTTTCCTTCCTTCCTTCCTTCCTTCCTTCTTTCTTCTTTCTTTCTTTCCTTCCTTCCTTCCTTCCTTCCTTCCTTCCTTCCTTCCTTCCTTCTTCCTTTCTTTCTTCCTTTCTTTCTTTCTTTTCAACAGAGTTTTGCCCTGTCACCCAGGCTGGAGTGCAGTGGTACCATCTCGGCTCACTGTAACCTCTGCCTCCTGGGTTCAAACAATTCTCCTGCCTCAGCCTCCTGAGTAGCTGGGACTACAGGTGCACACCACCATGCCTGGCTAATTTTTGTATTTTTTGTAGAGACGTGGTTTCACCATGCTGGCCATGCTGAAACTGGTCTCAAACTCCTGACCTGAAGTGATTTGCCCACTTTGGCCTCCCAAAGTGCTGGGATTACAGGCATGAGTCACCACACCTGGCCCCCAAAATTCTTAAGTGAAGATAACAACATAGTAAGTTGGGAACAATTATTTATGGTCTCAGGAATCCATATGTCAGTGCGTATAATATGAGGAGTGAGTAAAATGACCTTGAAGCTTTAACATTAAGAAGTAAGAGTCACTTGTTCACTCATGCAGTCAATTAACATTAGCATTTCTCATGCTGTCGTGGGTAATGTTAAGTCTTCTTGGGACAGAAATAATGACAAGAATAGTAAATTAAAGTGATACACTTTGAAAGAAATAAACCCAGTAGGAGAAAAAACATGAGTATTACTGTTAGAGAAGACTACAAACTTCACTTAATTCTGGGCATCCTAATGTTATTCCCACAAGATCACACCATTGTTTTTCCTGCTTTTATTTATATATTCTTCCTTTTATGTCTTATCTAACTGCATTTCACAAACCTATCAGAGAATGGCCACTTTGACTTTGATGTCTTTAGACACTCCTCTTTTATCTTCTTACCATTTGTGGGGTTGTAATTGGTTTTTGAAATTACCTTTTTGTTTAGATTTGTGCATTTCTTTCTACTGAACTTTTAGAAAACTTAAAAAAAGAAAACAGCAGCTGTTGTTTTTCTATTCTGTACATTATCTTCCTTATTTGCCAATTTGCCAGGGACACTAATATGAAAAAATCATCTTGAAAAGTTTCCAGCATTTTTACTTCATTGTTTAGCCTGTTCTTATTGATCAGAATGAGGCCAGCAACCATTTAAGAGATTATGTATTTTTCTAAAGTAAAGTCACTATCTTATTAGATATTTTTTTTACAGAGCTAGATGTCTATTTACGTAGCTGAAATCCCTTGTTCCTACTCATAGGTAATTTATCATGTCTTAGGAAGGAATCATCCATAGCTTCCATTTGACAAAGTGGTTCATAGTCTAGTCCTACCATTCTCATTTTTATTTCTCTCTCTTCCAGCTTTATCTTAATATTCCTACCCCTTCAGATTCATAGTGGAATTACCTATAGAATTAGGGATGTATATCAATTAGGATTCTTACTGTTGTAAATAAAATAAAACCCAAATGGCAAAGCAAAAAAGAAACTCATTGGGTCATGAAACTGAAATGACTCAAATAGGCAGTTTTAGGCAAAGCTTAATGTAGGCACCCATAAAAGATCATCAACTCCATTTCTCAACTTTGCTCTCTATCATCCTGACTTTATTCTCAGTTTCCCCATGGTATAAACATGCTTACCAGAACCCCTGGCCCTACATATTTTGAGGTTTAAATCTGATGGGAAAAGGCATGTACCTTTCTCCTAAGATTTCTACCAAAATCTCATTGAGTATAATTGTCTTTAATTGAGTCATCTCCATTTTAATTACTGTGGTAGGGGGGAATATGATGCTTTGATTGTCCAGGCCTGAGTCACATGCCTTCCCTGAAGGTAGGGCTAAGGCAGTGAGAGTGGGAGAAAGTGTGTAATAGTGGGAAAACTAGATACTGTTGCCAGAAAGAAGCAGATGAATTCTAAATGAAGATAACAGATGCATGCTGCAGCAAGGAAGGCAGTAAAACAAGTAGGGGAGAAAACAATTAAGTTAATGGAAAGTGAAGAAATGCTGCAGTCCACCTAAGGAATGTGGTAGATACAAAATAGGACCATCTAAGAAGCGGAGACACTCAGAGCACAGAGTACCAATGTGCAAAATGAGAATTGGATGAATATATTCAAAGCAATTTTAAAGAGAAGGAGTTTAGGTCTGTGCATACCTTTAACTTTTATGGAGAATGATTCACTAGGAGTCTTTCTAAGATTGAAACCACGCAATTCCTATTAGCACTCTAATGTTCATGTTTGCATTATGAGGATGGTACTCATCTCAACTAAGTAATTCTTTTGTTGAGATGAACAGTGCTGTGCTCATTAAACTTTACGATCTCTGGGTTTATTCTCTGGGATCAGTCTATAGGGTGCTGATATTTTACCTTTTACCTGTTTGAAAGCCTCAAAGAAGACTTCTCAAGGATACACAGTGAATCAGCACTCCTCAGAGACAGATGCCATTGAATTATACGAGAGAAGAGTCTGGCTCATGGAACGAAGTAATTACATGGAAATTTATTCTTTACTAGCCTAGATGGGGTTTTGCCTTACTGTTTTTCAATTTTGGGGGAGGAGGGAGAAAAGCACAGCAAAATAAATTGAAAAAGAAACTGTATGTGAAAGCCCTTATATTACAATCTGGAAATGATCAATTTAGAGATGCAAAAGTCAGCAGGTTTAGTATTCAGGATTTTCATGGTCACGTTTAACTTGTCTTTATGGTAAAAACAAGTATATTCTAGGTTATTGTCCTCATACGGAATTACTGCTAAACGTATCCTTTTTGGTTATTTTGGCCATTAGCCTTGGATATTGGAGCAATTTAATGTCATATATGAATTTTCATGTGTGTCACCTCATATTGGCCCATGGGTAAAATAGGATGAAGGGAGCTGGTGCTGTAGGAGATTGATCCTACAGATCCTACAGATGCTACAGAACTCCTGAAAGTTTTAAGCTACTTAGGGCATTATATTTTAATCACTTCTCAGAAGTGAATTAAGACCTCTAAGGATAGTGGGAAAAACACCAGTCTAGCTATTTGTGTTCTGTCAATCCCACTTTGCTTCATTTGAGGAAAGATGGAGACACGGGCAGCCATTCTTGTCCTGAACTGGAAGTGAGGGAGGAGGGACAGATAATTCAGAGAGGAACCAGAGTTAGGTTAGCCTTTGGGAATATGGCACAGGTAGGGCCTTAGCTGCTACCTGGCCTAGTGCTCCATCATTCACAGTGATGGAGGTTCCTCTAGCATGTACAACAAACATGTAGCTGTTGTGACATAATGCTCATCAGGGTGGGGAGAGGCCAAGATGCTTAGCTCCACAGACAGAGGCCAACACCGCAGAGCCATTCTCATTAGAACCCAAGTTCCTTTCTCCTTCCTTCACTCTTCTCTCATAGAAGAGAATAGTTAATGCTTTTGTGCTGGGCTAGGTGCAGTGGCTCACGCCTGTAATCCCAATGCTTTGAGGCTGAGACAGGAGGATTTCTTGAGCCCAGGAGTTTAAGACCAGCCTGAGCAACATAGTGAGACCCTATCTCTACTAAATTTTTTTTTTTTAAATTAATGCCTATGTGCCAGATACAGTTATGAGCACTTTGTAATGTATACTATTATATCTTACCTATTTCTCAAAACATCTCTACAAAATAGATATTGGCAATTCCTTAAAATGTAAAAGGCTTGGAGTTGCTAACTTGCTAAGGTTCTGTCCTTAATCAGTAAGACATCTGGGATTGGAACTGGGTTTTTTGGACCCTATAGAACACACTCATCCATTAAATAAAATTTCTGTCAAGATGCTCAGAGCACTCGGGACCTGGCAGGTACAGAGGGGAGGAGGGCACAGGGAAGAGAGTCATGCTTTGCTTTGAGAGGCAGCTCTGACCCTCCTGTATCAGTATGGCCTGGCCTGGACTGGTGTCCCACCCTGCCCTAGCTTTTCTGTGATGAGAATCTCTAGTCAGCCAAGTGTTGTAAATGATCAAAGAGGATGGGCTCCCTCTTTGTGCTCATTTTGCACTTGGCTGGAAATTCCAATCTTGTTTAACATTCGACAAGCTGTTAGATCATAGGAGGAGAAAGACTTGTCAGTATCTCGGTTTGTTCTCTGCAAAATGAATACCATAGTCTTCTCTTTCTATGGGAACTTTGAAAAATTGCTGTTATCTGTATTGAGTACTTTATGTTCACAAGAGCATTTCTTCAAAGTGCATGGAAGCAAGGTGACCTTTTCTTGGACAGCCTTGCCCCTGCCTCCTTCAAACACTAGTTCATATGGAGGCTTCACCCACTCAAGCTCAGCAGGCCACCAAGTCTCATTTCCAGTGAATGTCATTTAAAAGCCCAAGCAAGCTGACTACAAACTTTTTAACATTTGCCTCTCATCTGGTCAGCAGAAATCCCTGTAACTTGTTAATAGTTCCACCCCCCACCTTTTTTTTTTTTTCTTTTTGTAGTGAAACCAGTTGAGGCCTTAAATCAGTACCATTCCTTCCATCTTGGGCCATCAGAGAAAACCATTTAGAGTTGTAGGAAGTCATCTGCTCCATCTTGCACTTCCTGCTGCAGGGCTAGGACCAGTGCCTGATAGAACATACCTGTGACAGGACAGTATGACATGCTGAACAGGTGGTCTCCTCAGGGACCACATAAACACCAGATCAGGGAGAGCAAGAATGAACTTTCAAAGAGAAGTGACCAGATAACTATCCCATAAAACAAATCTCTTTACAGCTGGAGTCAGGTTTCTCCATTTGTGCCATAGCCTTAATTTCAGAGAAGCTCATAGCATTTGGAGTGGAAAATAAGGAAAATGTGTAGGATGCCTCAAAGAGGAACCACACGCTTGAAATGAATCCTTGAGATTTCTGCAAGGCACAGAAGGCCTGGCCATTCAGCTGTATAGAAACAAGACAGATGAGATGTTCTGCCTCCTCCTTCTAGAATCTTCTCCTGCCAGAGATCCTTCATTATATCAAAATAATTCCATGGAAAGTACTTGTTGTTGGCGATTCACACTTTATATTATTTGAAACCTCAGTTACAGATATGCTGAGAAGGACAGAAACTGAGGCCCACTGGTTCAAGCCCCTGATTTCACAGCTAATGAGAATGAAGAGGTGGCCTGCATTGCTAGTGGTCATGAGCTGGACAGAGGTTAATAGGCCTAGAATCAGGCTCAGGGCTCTTTCCGACATGGCCAGCTGCTGTCTTCCTTCTCTCAGTGGTATTTACAATGTTAGCCTTGTCTCAAATTGTGGAATAAAAATCATTTTACTTTTCTTAAAGGATTTTAAGTTGAGTATTAGAAAGGAGGAAGGAGAAGTTTTGAAATGTCTCTAAAATCAGCAGCTATTTATATCTAAATACAATTCTTCCTTGAAGGTTCATTGGGGGGAATTCTTTTGAAATTCTTTCGTTATTAGTTAGGCTTTGTCAAAATTTACCTCTGAAGAAACTATTATAATAACAACAGCCAAATTTGTACTTCTATAGCCAGCACTACTACCTATGCCCATGGATGTAAGATGAACGCTTTTTTTTTTCCTGCTAAAAATTAACTTTCGGTTCCTCTTTGAGGGCATCTGTCTCTTAATTGACACATCTGGGACCCCTGTGTCCTTAGCACACTGTGGATGGTTTCTTTGTATTCCAGTGTCTCTGGAATCCTGCTTTTTTTTTTTTTTTTGAGAGTTTTGCTCTTGTTGCCCAGGCCAGCGTGCAATGGCACTATCTTGGCTCACTGCAGCCTCCGCCTCCTGGGCTCAAGAGATTCTCCTGCCTCAGCCTCCCAAGTAGCTGGTATTACAGGCGCCCACCACCACACTCAGCTAATTTTTGTATTTTTAGTAGAGACGGGGTTTCACCATGTAGGCCAGGCTGGTTTTGAACTCCTGACCTCAAGTGATCCACCTGCCTTGGCCTCCCAAAGTGCTAGGATTACAGGCATGAGCCAGTGTGCCCAACCCCTGCTAGTTTTTATAACATTTTCTTCACTGAGAAAAACCTTATTCCTGCTCTTTTATACCTAAAGTGCCCTTTACCCTTTTATAATGCTCAGCTTCTAAGAGTCCCAAAATGAGTGGGTAGGTGATCTAAAGGATATTACATTCCTTGGGGGAATCACAGCTCTTGACAATGCTGGGAAACTCCTAACCTTGCTGTGAAGGAGGAAGTTACATCACGGAAGATTCCCTATGGAAGACAAAGCAGCTGCTCTTTCCAGAATTCAAATAAAGGGCCCCGCAGCCCTAGCACTCACCCATGTCTTTAACTTCCATTGGATGAGACAGGAGGCAGATGCTGCACTGCTGCTTCCTGACTTTGGGAAAGAGGAGGCTCGTAAAGGTCATTTTTGGCCTTCTTAAATTATCTGAGAACACACTGAAGGAGGTTGGATTGAACTGGTCCTCAGTCTGTCGGTGCATCATCCACCTGTCTAGCTCTAACATTCACACATCATAAGATCAACTCGTTCAAATACAGATTTAGGGACTTTTGGAAATGAAAGGAATCTGGAGTTCCTCTAACCCAAAGTGTGGTCTCTGGACCATCACCTGAGAACTTGTTGGAAATGCAAATTCTTAGGCCCCACCCCAGACTTACAGAATCAGAGACTCTAGGGATGGAGTCAGCAATCTATGCTTTAACAAGCCATCTAGCTGATTCTCATACACACTCAAGTTTAGGAAAGACTATTCTGAGTACTTAGAAATGAGGAATTTGGGTTGTATGATTGGTTCTTAAGCCACACTACACATCTGGGGGAGCTTTTAAAACAATACTGATGTGGAGGTTCCATGCCCAGAAACTTTCCTTTAGTTCATCCGAGGTAGGATCCTGGAACGTCAGCATTTCTTTTAAAAGCTGCCAGGTCCTCTATGCCTGAGAACCGCTGATCTAAGTTAATTCCTCATCTCTAGATGAAGAAACTGTAACCTGCAGAGGGTAAGTGATGTGCCTAAGGTTACCTGGGCAGTTAGTGTGGCAGAGTTGTGAGCAGACCCAGATCTCCTGACTCTCAGGTCACTTTAAGGCCTTTTTAGCTTCTTGTTCTGATAAATATTAAAACTCCAAAGGCTCCATTTACAGTCTTTATTCCAGTCTCTGAGAATGGACATGATCCTATAAAAGGAGATCAGCAGAGCCTCTGGTTCATAATGATTTTGTTTTGGGTTAGCCCTGCTTTATTCTAATCTAGCTCTTATAATTGTGTTCCCAATGTCTTTTATGTGATGCAACTTCAATCTCATACCCCAGGCTCCACTGCTCTGCACCCCCAGGCCTCAATTTTGACTTGGCACTGTCTTCCATTACCCCATTTCCTCTGTGATTAGGGTCCCGCGTTGGTGTCCTGCATGTTTGGCTGGAAGACTAAAAATGGCAAAGTAGGCAACAGCCTTTGAATAAAATACATATTTAATGCATTTCCATTAAGAATGGGAAAAGCTGAGCTAGTGGATTTTAATGCTGACATCAGAGGTCTTATTAGAAAGTGAATTTGATGGTGAGAAATGGCAACGTGAATCTTGGAAGGTTTATTGTTATTTTTATACAAAGGACTTACTAAGGCTCTTACAGAGAAAACAAACAAAAGAGTTTAGTGTTGTTTTTGATCCTTCTGGAGTGTGTGTGTGTGTGTGTGTGAGAGACTGTATGACTGTGTATATGTCCACAGGTGGAATCGCTTAGCATAGGTCTGCTGAGTTAAGAGGAAAAATGGTTCTGTAAAAATCAGCCCTATCTTGGACATTTGAAGGCACCTCCTGTATGGCTTGCATGTGACTTAGGCAGACTCATCTTAAAAGACTCTGTCTCAATAGTATTCACGTTTTATTTTTCAGGAGGCAGCACAGGCACTTCCCCAACCACCTCCAGCACTGGGACACCATCCCCTTCGGCTTCTTCTCATCTTTTATCTCCATCCTGTTCTCCTCCAACTTTTCATCTGGCCCCCAACACTTTCAATGTGGGCTGCCGAGAAAGCCAGCTGTGTAATCTAAACCTCTCTGATTATCCACCATGTGCCCGAAGCAACATGGCTGCCTTGCAGAGCTACCCAGGGCTGAGTGACAGTGGCTACAACAGGCTTCAGAGTGGCACCACTTCAGCCACTCAGCCCTCTGAAACCTTCATGCCTCAGAGGACTCCATCCCTGATCTCAGGAATACCAACTCCTCCCTCGTTGCCTGGCAACAGCAAGATGGAAGCCTACGGTGGCCAGCTGGGGTCCTTTCCCACTTCCCAGTTTCAGTATGTCATGCAGGCAGGCAATGCTGCCTCCAGCTCCTCATCACCACACATGTTCGGGGGCAGCCACATGCAGCAGAGCTCCTACAATGCCTTCTCCCTTCACAACCCTTACAACCTGTATGGATACAATTTCCCCACTTCCCCTAGGCTAGCTGCAAGCCCGGAAAAACTGAGCGCCTCTCAAAGCACTTTACTCTGTTCTTCTCCTTCCAACGGGGCCTTTGGAGAGAGGCAGTACCTGCCGTCAGGGATGGAGCACAGCATGCACATGATTAGCCCTTCACCCAATAACCAACAGGCAACCAACACTTGTGATGGCCGGCAGTATGGGGCAGTTCCAGGCTCCTCCTCCCAGATGTCCGTGCACATGGTTTAAAGGCCAGTCCAAACACCACGGAGCATTTGGCAATCAAGGCCCCAGAGTCTCCGTGGTCAGATCCTCCTCTTTGGGAGTCCAGTGTCTTTGAAAAACAGGAACCGTGTTTTTTTTTTTTTTTTTTTTCTGGCCGAAGACATATACCCAAGAACAAGAGATACCTTTAAGCCAGTGAAGGATACTTGCGATAGAATCATCCGCAACTCAGTGGCCATTCTTCTGCCTTCCCAGACCTTAGTTTTATAAAGCATTGTCTGTTCCAGAGTGGCCTTTGAAGAGACTGAATAATCACTTCGTCATAATGTTAAGGGAGATGCTAGTGTGTGGCAGCCATGAAAAGTTACACATACACACCCACATACAGACAGACCTACCTATACATACGTGCACACACACATACATATTCATACACAATTCATACACATGCAATCATACATGCACACTGACTCTGAACTGGGTGAACTCTGTGGAGGGAGGCCCAGAATGGGTGCTTTCACCAAGAATTTGTCTGTGTACAACTCTAGATGGAGTGGGCCAGCAGTAGCTGCCAGTCTTTCTCCCCTGCAGCTTCCTCTGCTTCTGGAATGAACCATGTATCCTGGAGACCCTCCCAATGGATGAGAGTGGAAAGACATCAGTACAACTGGACTTGGCTTCCGGAAAAAGATTGCTTTTGAACTTTGGCTCTCTTCACTTGTATGCTATCATTGATATTCCCAGTGGTGCCCGTGGAAAGAGGGAGAAAGAGAAGCTGAACAGGAGAAAGACAAACAGAAAGAATAGAGAACAGGAACGAGGTGGAGAGCAAGACTGACAGAGAAAGTGTGAGCAATGATGAGAATTTTAATTCACCAAGGAGACGTGTTTTTGGTTTGTCCCCCCAAACCCCGCCCGCCCCACTACAGGTTATGGAAAGAATCATGGCATTACTGAGGAGTAAACCTCTCTGGCACACTGAGCATGGTCAGGGCATTGGTCAGAGGGACAGAGCAAGGAATGCATCCTGAGCCCACAGCTTTGACCACTGTGATCCAGAAGAGAGGTGCACTACGTGGGAAGTGCTGATTCCACAGCATGCAGCCTGGTAGGGGAAGGAAAATAAAAGGGTGTGAAGAAGGAATAGTTTTATAATCTCGGAAGATGATACCAAGAGCAGAGGCAACAAATAGAGGCCTGGCCTCCAGGTGCCGGATCCAGACACCTGACCTAGAATGCCTGCCCGCTATCCCTGTGGCAGGAAATATCCCCTCATGTCCCAGGGAATTGCAGATGGGTCTTCTATACCCTTCTACCTGCCCTTAGATCTCCATTTTTATCAAATAGTACATTGCATTTTGAAGTTTTGGGTTTTGTCCTTCATCTTTCCCTTTCCCTTCAAATCTTTTAATGGTAAGAAAGCAAGTGAAGCTTGGTGCAAGCTAAAATTTTTAAATGGTGTGGAAATGCAAATAATACCAAGTAAAATAATACAGATATTATTAAAGTTTCTGGTTTTGAGGTGTTGTAGATAAATGTATTTATGTGCCTAGTGGGGAATCCAATATTATGAATATGAAAAAGGGGGCAATAAAAGGGTATGTAAAATATGTATGAAGAAAAGGTGTACAAAAATTTGCCCTTATGCACGGAACTCTGTTTCTAAGTGCCAAGCACAGAAAGCCGCTAAATAAAATCTTTGCAATTGTTTTCTGCATGTTTGTTCATACAGAAAAATCAAATAACAGCCTTGTGCATTTTCATCGTGCATTACAGTGAGTATAGAAGTTATATATATATTACTCTATGTGATTTTTATATAGGCCCCATGAAGTGAATATTAGCATCCTTTTATAAGTAGTAACTGCATTCCAGAGAGATTGAATGAAATTTGTAGCATTATCCAGCCTGTCACAGAGGGAACGAGGACTTGAAACCAGATCTTCTGACTCTAATGGGATTTTTGCCTTCATATTAGCTGCAGAAACCTGTGTGAGGCTAATAGTAATTGTCATTGTTACTGTGTGCCACCTGATACTACATCATGTGTTTTACGTGATTATCTTATCCTCCCACAATTCTGTGAGATAGGTAACATTTGAATCCTCATTTTATAGATCCAGTAACGAGCTCATAAAATGTTAAATATTTGACCAAGTGGGGAGCTGGCAATCTGACCTTAGGGTCTGTGCAATTAGCACTGTCATTCAGCAGTACCACGAGGCACTTGGACAATCAGGAAAGAAGACATATCTTAAGGGATTGAGGTGAGAGTGCCTCTGGATTTTGCTTGGTATATTGAACAATAAGTATGTACTATCCTCCTTGAATGCATCACTGCAGCATGGGGAGAGTGGTTTTGAGTTGTCATGCACCAACTGACAACTTAGACTAATAAAGAGGCTAGGACTATGCCATTTACAAGAACTTTCATATATTATCTCACTGGAGCCTCACAATAACCATGAAAGGTGGACAGGCCAGGAAGTATTGTTTTGCAAATGAAGAAGTAAAAGATAAACTTTGTGACCTGCCCATTCTTAAGTGGCTGGGAAGCAGCAGAGCCAGGACTTGAAACCTCTTGCTCTTGCCCCTACTCCAGACTGTTTCCTGGTGGACAGTTACACTGGTTGCTCACTGACCCATTTCATCAGGGTTTGATTTGGTGGGCTCAGGTTGCCAACCACCACAGCCATTCACTGGAAATGGAGGTTGGTTTGGGAGAGCAAAAACCTTATTCATTGCTCTGGTTTTATAAATAACTGCAGAGGGTGGCATGCTAGTTAATTCCATTAGCCATCAGATCATTGCCAAAATAGCTGGACAATGACTGACTGAGTACCTCCACGGATTGTAGGCTCTCTGGGAATGACATGCCTCAAAACTTAGAAAACCACTCCTATTTGGAAACCTTGCATCACCCCTTGGTTTCATAATGGTATAACAAAAACAACTACATGTGAAGCTTACGGTTATTATTATTACTTTTTAATTTAGCAGCATACCAAACATTGTTCACTGATCTAACACCCTTTGAGGTTTGGGGTAATAGATAATCATAGTATGCCAATCAGAAAACTTGACATAAAAATCTCCATATTTTCACCCAATAGTAAGAATAATAATTTCAATAATCATTTAGAATATTAAGTACAGAACATTTTTGTAATTTGGGTTAATTAGAACAATCCAAGTTAGTTACATCTGAATTATGGCATATGTTTCCATGTGTACCTGAAGAAGTAATAAAAATGTTTTTTAAAAGACAAACTGGATAAAGAATTGTGAAGAATATGCTCTACGCAATTCTCTTTCATGAAATAGTGAGCATTCATTGTAATTGGCATAATGATTACACAAAGGGGTGTTTACTAGAAGGATTATTCTTCTATAGTCTAAGGTGCTCCACAATTGCTCATTTTTCTGGGGAAAGGCTATCTTATTCATCTTTGCATCCTCAATAGCTAGGACAGTTCCTGATCTATTATAGAATCTCAATACATACTTATTGTTTAATTTGTTGACCAAAGCCTTTTTTTAAGGATAAGAAATGGTTGCATGGCTAAATAATATTATTTACTCCAAGTTAAAGCTACCTAAATTAACAAAGGTTTATTGTTCTTCATATAGTATTCTGTAATAGATTAGTGTAAATGTAAATAGTAGCTAGCAAGCATCCGTTATACATAAGGAAGAGTAAAAATCACACCATGGTTTCTTTCTTGAAAGGGCTAGCTTTTTAGGCAGCCATTCACAATGAGGTGCATGATATAAAAGGCTCTGGAAATTCAAAGAAGATGTTTAGGGTAAGAAGAGGTTAATTGTTTTCATTGGTGAGGCAGAACTTCTACTGAGCTTTTAAGGATGCTCAGAATTTTTATAGAAATAAGAAATGGTGGGTTAAGAACAAAATAAGATTTTAAAAGACACTACAATGAATAAACATTGGAGGAAAAATAATAGCATTTCATTTCAGGGAGCAATTTAGTAAAGATAGAGATATTCAGAACTTTCTTACAGCCTATAGATTAATATCTTTTTCTATGGAGTATTTTTTCATTAGTGGGAGTTTTGAGAGCTGAGATCCAAGAGCAGAGCTGTCTGGTTGACGTGATTCACTGCTTAGTACTTTGAGCATTTCAGAGAAGCTCTGTTGTACCAGTTTGCATTCAGTAAGCTAAAGGAGAGTTGTTTTCCCAAGGAAACCCAGCCAAAAAGATGCATTTCACAAAAGCTTTTTTGCTTATGATCATCAATTGGAGATTTGTTCCCCACACTTATGTCAAGGTTCATCAGATTCAATTCAATACATATTATATAATGCTCTTTGTTAAGCACTGCTCTGGGCACTGAGAACGTAGCAATGAACAACCAGACATGTTCTTGCCTTTAGGAGCTCATGGTCTAGTGAGAGACTGACATTGAATACACTAGCAAGTAAATGAATAATTTCAGATTGCATTGATGACTTTGAGGAAATTAAAAATAATAGAATGATAGAGAATGACTGGGCAATGAGAACGAAGGCTTATTTAGATATGATTTTCTAAGAGGGCTGCTCTCAGAGGGTGATGTTTGAGCTAGTACAAATATAGCCATTTTCTTAGAATTGGCTTACTCTAACTCGTGCTGAGGGCAGCCATGTGTCACTGGAAGATGTGTTCAGCTGTTATTATGTCAGCGTAGGCCAGGCATTTTTGTCTTTACAATAGCTTTGTATAGCATTGATACTAATTTTTTGAAGTCTTCTTGGGACTGGAGTAATTTAGAGACTCTTCAAAATATGAATCTATCTTCTACACAGCCCGAGTAAAATCATATTTTCATGACATTCTTAGAGGATGAGAGGCACCTTTCTAACTAACTTTGTAAAAGGTTAAAACTAATGATCAACCAACCAATTGATATCAATCAGACTAATGATGAACAGTAATTAATAAGCAAAAATATTAAATATGGCTTGGTAGTCTATAATGATCTGAGACATTATTCTGTTCTAGAAGGGGATTTTACCCTGGTTGAAGAGTCAAGCTACGTGCATAAGAAACAATAAAAGTATTAAATTGGTGGTAAAGACCATATATGCTGCAAAATTTCAGAAGAAAACTAATTTTTATTGAGTGTTTATTACATCTTACACATTATGCAAGGTAATATCCTGTAATCCTTGCAGCCATCCTGTAGGATTTATATTTCAATCCCTATTTTAGAGATAGGGAAACCGAAACTTACAGAAGTTAGTAATGTGCACAAAATCACAGAGCTTGCAAGTAACAAAGGCAGGGCTCCAACCCAGGCCTTTCCACTGCTATATTTTTCCAAAAATGAGATTTACAGGGACTATAATAAAAAGTCGTGGGCTCGTGGAGAAAGTTGAACTTGAATCGTACTTCGAAGAATTCATGGAAGCTGCCTAAACCTAGGAGGAGGAAGGTGTCCCGGTGCGAGGTGGGGGCCAGCACAGTAAAGACACATGTTCTCTGTGTGGTATGAGCTATGGTAGTGGGATTGAAGCAGAGGATATTCATTTTCTTGAGTCAAATCTCATAAAGTTCTCCCTGCTGTTCCTGGCACCATGACCTCTGGGTTCCCTTTCCCTATGTGAGGTGTCCTTGCTCTGTAACTTGGGCAATTCAGGATTTCCTCCAGTGTCTCAATGGGAACCTTCAACATGGAAAGCGTCAGTAAGGCCTGGGAGGTGATGAAGAAATCAAGTTGCATCCCTCCACCCACCCCCAGCACCTCCACCCCACTCTACTCCCCCAGCCGGGGCCCCAGGGTTAGGCTCAACTGCCACACTCCCTGAGTCAGGCTTTGCACAGAGGCCCTTGCTTTTTCCAGCCAGGCACACAGTGCCACGTGGGATGCTGAAATGGGATCTTGCTGCTTAAGGCCGAGAAAACATTCATCATGTTTTCCTTCTTAGCTCATTTTACTGCTCATAGCACTCATCTTTTATGGGCCAGCCTAACGGCATTTCCCACTTCAGATGCTTCCTACTCACAGTTTCTACTTTTATTACACTTTACTGCAGGCTCTGCAGAGGCACAGAAAACCAAAGGGGTTTTGAGTCATTTTTAGTATTTTCACCTAGTGAAGCCAAAGTGGACAAAGGGGGCTATCAAAGGATTGCCAAGTCAACCTCTGTCAGCTCTTATTCTCAGGGAAGCTTTTGAACTCCACGAAGAAGATTCTTGGAGTTCTCCTCATCTTGCCCACACCATGCATCCTTCCTCTACACATGAGCAGGTAGAGCCTCTCTTAGGCTGTCTCTAGATGAGGTAACAGATAAATCTCCAAATCTTAACATAA
This sequence comes from Homo sapiens, assembly GCF_000001405.40. Taxonomy (NCBI): domain Eukaryota; kingdom Metazoa; phylum Chordata; class Mammalia; order Primates; family Hominidae; genus Homo; species Homo sapiens. The sequence continues at coordinate 118,878,443 of NC_000001.11, read as the reverse complement.
TAATGTTCATTTCTCACTCATCTCACAACTCAACATGGAATTTCTCATTGAGTGGCTCTTCTCCAAGCAATGATTTAGGAAAACAATCTTCTTCCATTTGATGGCTCCAATATCTTCAGCACTTAGCTCAGTACCTCTCCATTCAGCTAAACTATGAGGAGAAAGAATAAAAACTTGTACATGGGAGATATTCATAAGCCCAGTCTTGTATTGATGCATGACTTCCTCTCTATTCTAATGGTTAGAACTCCAGTGACCACACCTAACTGCAAAGGAAACTGGGCAATATAGTCTAGCTGAGTGCATAGGAAGAAGAGGAAACAAATTTGTTAGGCATTAGGGAGCTTCTGCCAGCCCCTGAGCCAACCTAGCCTGAGCCAATCTCAATCTGCTTTTCCTATAAACCCAGCAGTCAAAGATAAGGCTAATTTCTAGTCCCAGCTTCTCAGATGCTTTGCAAAGCAATCTGGAACAGTTAACTTTGCCCCACTGGGGTTCGGTTCATCTGTGAGATATATCTTTTAGTAGGATTCCTTCCCGTTCTCCTAAAAGATCTTGAGGATTTATAAAATGCTGAGTAAGCTTTTCTCAAGTGATAAGTATAAAACAAGAAACATTTATCAAGTGCTTATTCATGCCAGCTTAAGTGCCTTAGTTAGTACCATGTCTTATTTAATTCCCAACGACTTTATGAAGCTGACAGTATTATTATTATACCCACATTATAGGTGAGAGAAAAATGCAGAAAGACTAAGAATCTTGCCAAAGGTCACACTCAGGCAATCTGAGGTTAGAACCATTAATATTTGATAAGGCAGACTTTTAGAAAATATTTCTTTTCCTGGGCAAAATTCTGAGAATGCTACACAAGCCATGTTCCCTGGCTTAAATAAGCTTGTAGTATAACAGGAATCACCTCTTGTTTGGTTTCATTCAGAAAGAGCTCAAGTATGACTTGCATATGGAAGTCATCTCTAGAGTGTCAGGATCACACTCCACTCAGCCTGTAGTTTTTGCAGGTCTTTGCATAATACTTCCTACCTCAAGGCAGGAGTGTGGAAGGCCTGAACATGTAATGTTATTTGCAGTCCCCAAAGATTCAGTCTGTTTGGAAACTATATTCATACATGGCTTCTAGACTAAGCTTCTGGAATTAGGCTTTGTCTAACTCTGTGACAATGCTCAGGCCTTTGACCTAAGGGTGTTGCTGGTGGTGCTCCTCAGAAAGGAAGCTCACAGGGTGAGGCACCCTCTACAACAACAACTATCTTGGGTCCCATCACTAATTAATCTTCACAGAGAAAAATTAGCTATCCCTTCATCCAGAATGGTGCCCAGAACAAATAGGCAAAATGCCACTGGTTCCATTTTCCATTTCCAGAGTGTGCTGGTCTCAGGAGGGTTTTTGCTTCATCAACAGAGCCTTTTTTCTGTATTCTTGTTTTGTCTCTTTGCAACATGGGCTTACATACATCTTCTCATTAAAGCTCTCCAAATCTTATCCTGACAAGGGCTCATTGTTCTCAACCATGGCAACAGAAAGACTTTTTATTAACTGTTAAGAATTAGAGAAGAGTAAGGCCCTAGTAAAATAATCAGGGCAAAAGCCAAAGGATCCAGAGTTGGAAAAATCTCAGTTTTCTGGTCAAACCTCTGGTATACAAAAATTCCCCAGACTTAGTCTCTCAGGGACATCTTTACCATGTAGCTTAACAGAGAAAACTGGAGATGCTGAGATTGGTAAAGATTATCTCTTGGGCTCCCAGTCTATATCTGAGACAAAGGCATGCTTGCGTTTCAGTGGAGGGTGGGAAGACGATAGATAAAAAGTTGAAACAGAGGTTGAGGGGTACATACGTCTTATCAGGCAGTTTAGTTTGGTAATGTCCATGAAACCTTATACAGACTTTTGGGAAGATTTAAGGAAGATAATACTGAAGGATACTGAGGTATAGGCAAAACTAAAGGCCAATCTATGTGGCCGCCAAATTCCTTGTCTCCTACAAGGTGAAAGCATGGGGAAGTCAGTCATTCTTTCAACACCTCCCCTCCAACAAAGGCATGGTAAATAAAGTTACCCTTTGAGAGTTAAACTAATTAGCCTTTTTGCAGTGACAATTCTAGTGGGCCATATGTCCTTCTGTCTGAGTGTCAACACAAGTCATACTTAATATTTCATCACACTAATATTGGCAACAGAAAGAGTTCTGGAATAGAATTAATTCACAGGCCTGGAAATAATTTTTACCTTAACCCATTCAACTAAACCTTCAACAATGGCTCACCAATATGTACTGAATGTATATTTTCTGCAGGACATAGTGCTAAGTGTTGGTAATATGCAGATAAGTGAGAGCTAGTCCATCCAACTTAGGAGCTCTAATGTGTCTATTGTGGTGACAGACCAAAAATAGAAACAATTACTGTAGTGAGGAAATGCCAAAATAGAGGTAAATATGGATACTATGGGAGCAGTTGGGTCAGCCTAAAGTTCAGGGGAGGCTTTCTGGAGATGACGATGAGTAGTTGAAAGTGAGACTGCTTAACACAGACAGAGGATAAGCTGACAACCAGTGATTATAATTAGAGTGGCCTGTCATAATGCTCCAAGGAAATGCAGAAGCCCACTGCCACGTGATGCAGTATGCCTATGGATTTCTGGAAATTTTATATAAGAGGAAATGGCTCTGGGGTGGTATGAAATAACAACACATGGTCTAAGATTTAGAGTCTAAGGGACTAAGCACCATTAGACATGTGGAAGCTCACTTTTATAAGAAGTGCTGTGCAGCTCAAGGGGCTACGCAAATCAGAACAATAGATATACGTAGGGCATTCATCATCTTGCCATATCCTTATATCCATACTTATCCCAGAAAAGACTGCAGGAGCCTGAGCAGAGCTTCAATGTCCTTTGAATATTTGGAGATCAATAGCATGTATGACCATGTCATCTTCACATCGGGAACATGATGATGTGAATGTGTGCAGACACTTAACCCACCACAGAAAAGCCAAGCACAGAGTGAAAAGGTCACTTGTGGGAAGGTGTGAGATGTGTGGGGAAAGCCAAATCACAGAAGAGTTACCCATGAAGGGGCCAAGTCAAGCAAGATTCAACAGGGGCCGTCTTGCCCGTTCAGGAATTTTATAAGCCCACACTCAAGGGTGCTAGTGGGACCCAGAGATCCAAAATTATGGGTTATTTAACTTGGCCTTCAGCATGACTAGCTCTTTTGTGACTTGGCTGTTCTTGGGGATGTCACACCTTGATTCTATTGGGCTTTACTGAAGAATATTTTTTTAGGTGCATTTTATGCTTTCAATGGCACTGTCCTTTCTGTTTAGAGAAAAAAATAAAGAAGAATCAGCAGTAGGGGATATATATTTATTTCAGCTCACTATCTCAGGGAAAACTTTGCTTTGAAAAGAGTTGCACTACAAGAACACAGTCACAATGGGACCTGCTATTGTAAACAAAACATCATTTTTCTCTTACTGCATTAAGCAGTAGACCCTGATTAGAACTAGGTGACATTAAGATGGAAGTGAGAAGATGGGAGAGTAACCCTTAGATTTAAATGAGCATCTATTTTTGGCTTTAGCACTCCTAAATGCCCACCACAAAAAAATCAGTGGTTTAAAGTCTAAGTTCTGTCATCTGTCCAAGACAGCACAGATTTCTTATGCTTGGACAGGATGGAGTGCTGCTGTGATGAGAGGAGATCAAGAAACTGGCCTGAAGACAAGATTGAAAAATCTGGAACAACGAGAAATGAGCAGAGACTCCTGTAAGGCCTAATGGCAGCAACTCTCCAGGAGTCTGGTCTTCTAACTCTGTTTTATAGGTCAGGAGATGACAGAATGAAATACATTCTTATTTGATTTCCATTGACTCCCCCTCTGGAAACCGAGATTTTATTGGCATATTTTGCTTCTAAAGAAGCTACAGTCTTTGGGATAAATTCAGTGGTTTTTCTGCCGTACCCTGGAAGGCAAAACACAGAGAAAGAGCCCTAGACCTAGCTTTTTTTAAAAAAAGTCCTGGATTTTAGCCTTTGGTTCCATTATTTATTAGCTATAAGATAGACTTCAATACCTCATAGACTATTAAAGATAATGTTAAAATAATGCAAACAAAAACCCTAATCTCATTGAGGGCCCTATAATAGATACTTGATAAATGCTAGTTGTGCTGGTGTTTGCCTATCTATCTTCTGGACAGAAAACAACATGTCAGCCCAAGCTATTTAAAGAAAGACATGATTAGATGAGCATGACTGCCTATTCCATTAATGCCAGTCTGCAGAAACATTGAACCAGTGAGAATTTTGCTTAGGTCAGATTGCAATTGATGAGAGCACCTTCCTGGTAAAGTGGGGCACTGAGGAATGCTATATGGATGTTTCACTGGGTCATTCATAATGATAAGCATGGCATGGATGGGCTGAAAGAGTAGTAGATTCAAGTCCCAGCTCTGCCACTAATCACCAGTTATGACAGCCTTCAGGACTTTCTGGGCTTCAGTTTCCTGTCTTTAAAATGGAAGTGTCAAAAGAGAGGATTTCTAAGTTCTTTGCCATTGCTAATGCTCCATGAAAGATAGCCGGGTCTTGTCCATGATTTTTGGTCAATCTTTGGAGTAGATTCTGTTTAAAGAAATAAATAAGAAAGATGAGTAATAATAAGCTGACAAATCTCATTTGAATAGAAAATTAAACTAGAAAACTTGGGTACATCATCTCTGCCCAGGCACTTGTAAGTGCTTCTTAATACTTAGTTTTTATTGAAATATATTTTCTCTTCATAGCCATGGCACTCTGAGAAACAGAAAACCTGAAAGAAGACACTTACCCATCAGCATTCGGTAGAGAAACTCCTGGATTTGGAATCACAATAGAGTTCTCTCACTTGCTGGCATCAGTTTCTCTGCATGTCACCTTCCTTCATCTATAAAATAATGACAGTTGTTTTTTACTTATGAAAAAGAAAGGACTGCTAGAATTTGAAAAATATTTGTAAACTATCCATACATATAGGCTCCTCTACTGGATTATGATGCTTAAGGACAGAAGTTTTTTCTTTTATGTTTTTGGTGGCATAGAGTACAGTTGTGGGGTCACAGTAGGTGCTAAGTTAATGAGCTAATGAGTTAATGAGTTGATCTGATAAGGACTAAATATTTTCTTTATATATTCACTTTTAAAATTTACAAAATGACTTCTTGCTTGTTGTAACAAAACGAAATGCCAAAGTATATTCAACAAAAATAAAAACTTTCCCCAGATGTACTATTGTTAATGGTTTGGTATGTAGCTTTCCAGATTTTTGTCTCTAAACCTGTTCAACCTATGTGCTCACCTATATGTTTACTCTGACACATATATTCACATAGATTTTTATTTCCTTCCTTTTTTTCTTTATTTGCTTTAACCAAAAAGGAATAATACCATACATATTATTCTATACATAGCTTTTGAAAAATTCACTTATCCCATAGCTGGCTGCCTATGATTCCATATTATTGATGTGCCATAATTTTTTTTTTTTTTGAGACAGAGTCTCACTCTGCCACCCAGGCTGGAGTGCAGTGGTACGATCTCGGCTCACTGCAAGTTCCGCCTCCTGGGTTCACACCATTCTCCTGCCTCAGCCTCCCAAGTAGCTGGAACTACAGGCACCCGCCACCACGCCTGGTTAATTTTTTATATTTTTAGTAGAAATGGGGTTTCACCATGTTAGCCAGGATGGTCTCGATCTCCTGACCTCGTGATCTACCCGCCTCAGCCTCCCAAAGTGTTGGGATTACAGGCATTAACCACTGCGCCCGGCTTATGTGCCATAATTTTTATGCAGTTCACTGCAGATAGTCATTTAGTTTGCTCTTATTTATTTATTTATTTATTTATTTATTTATTTCCAGTATAAATAATGATGAAATAGGCCCGGATGGTGGCTCATGCCTGTAATCCCAGCACTTAGGGAGGCAGAGGGGAGAGGATAGCTTGAGTCCAGGAGTTTGAGACCTGCTTGGGCAACATAGTGAGGGCTTGTTCTCCACAAAAAGAAAAAAAAGCCAAAAAATGATGAAATAAAATTTTAAAATATATTTTGACTACCTATAGGCATTAAATTTTAACTAACCCTAGCTCTAGCTCCCTGTGGATCAAGTCTGCAGGAAAATTATGCAGGATTCCAAAGATAGACTTTGCTCTTAGCGGCTTATCAAGGCTTCCTCAGCTCTCTTATAATCCCAAAATGAGCAAGGCTTACTCAACAGCTGCTGCCAGCCCTGGTTTCCCCAAATGGATCATCTTGTGGGCTTCAGCAGACTTGAGAGTGAACACGTTGGATGCTGGCCCCAATAACCTCCTCGTCTTTTCCACAAATGTCCAGGGCAGGGGTGGGGTTCTCCTTGTCTCTAACCATACATAGGCAATTTTAGCAACAGCTTCTCTGGCATCTGTTTTACCGGGTTCTTAATCTCAGGAGCATTAGTAATTGATACCATAAATAATATCACCGGTGAGTGGCTGGAATCTTGGGATGGGCTGAGAATTTGACCTGGAGGTTCCGGGGGATCTTACAAGAGTAGCCTTGTGGTAAACTAATATCTGTGGCAAATAAAAGGGTGACTCTAGCACATAGCTGAGTGGACACGCAGGTTTCCTAGCCTGGAGGTGCTCCATAAATAAGATAAGGTTTCCTGACCTATCTCTGGGATTATTTGTAGTCATGGTAACAGCATGTGGTAGCTACAAGTCTGTTCTGTGACTAGGGGAGTGGGGCTTCAGACTTCAGGCTGCAAGCCAGAGGTTGCCAACAGGTGGTATGTTGTTAGTAAGTACGTAAGTGCTAGATATTGAAAAAATAACTTGATGCCATTTAAAAATTGAGAAATTTTACATAAAAGTCTGGATTTCCGGTATCTCTTGGGACAAATGCAAAGGAAGATTTGGTAATTTTGAGGTCACAGTTTTATGTGGGTGCCAAGTAGGGCTGCCCTCTTGAAAGTGTCATCAGTTATCCAATTCGACAGTCGTCATGTAACCTGCTCCACTGGTATTCGAGTTTGCAACTTTTGGCTTGGATGTAATGATATTTACAACTCAAAAATTATGTTGCTGCTTATTGCTAAGTGGAAGAGGTAACCACTCACATGATGTAAATTTAGTGGCAAACTTCAGAGTTCTCAATCCTCAATTATTTCTTCTTTTATTTACCAGAGGACAAAAATGCCAACATTAAAATTGATTTGACGATAAGTAATAGCTGACATCTGTCCTAGAAGAATTGTTATCCCCATGCTACGGATAAATAAACTGAGGCCCAGAGAGGTTAAGTACATTGCCCAAGTTCACCAAGTTAAGTACATTGCCCAAGTGTAAGTGGTAGAGTCAGTACCAGACAGCATCTCTCCAGAAATTGTACTTGGAATCAATGGGTCTCATTTCTTCAGTTCCTTCCAAAGATGAAAAATGCCTCCAGGTAGAGGGAAACTTAGAGTGTTTGTCAGCTGAGGCTAAAGGGTAGTTAGTTGACAGCTGTGTCTTCAGCTTACGGGTATCCTAGGGCATAGAATGCCCTGATGGAGAGTGGGCAGGGCACTGAGAAGAATCTCCTAGTTAAAGATCACGACTGCACAGAGGGCATGGGAAGGGCCCTGATGTTCAGGAGAATGGAATTCAAAGAACAGTGCTGATAGAAAAAAGATAACCTTAGGATAAAGAGCAAAATGCGCATCCTGAGGACTCAGGGAAATCAAGGCTCACCAACAAGACCAAGGGGATTTTAGGCTACATGTGGAGGGTGAGGATGGAGTCAAAATAAAAATGTAGAATAAGTTGAAGCTTATGAAAAAATAAGAAAGTTTCTTTTGCTAGAATATGCTCAGTCACTTGGGGGAGTGCCTATAATGTATGACAGAGGAGAGGGGAGAAGCAAAGTGGCCTCAGTTTCTGACAAATCCCCACTTCCTTCACCAAGAAGTGTCTCAGTACTGGAAAGTGTAGAACAGCATAAATGAACAGGAATTGAAAACCCCAATAGGCAAGAAGAGAGTATAAGAGCCCTAGAAAAAAGGGAGGTGTGACTCAGTGGAGAGAATCTGCATTTGGGATTTAGAAAGACCTGGTTGATTCCAGACTCAGCCTGACTCTAGATGTAAAACCTTTGTCAACTTTTTTTTCTGTGAACCTCAGTTTTCCCAGCATTGTGGTTAGGATTAAATGTGCTACATGTATTAAATACCTGGTACATAGCAGACCCTCAGCACAAAGCTGGGCGGACATGCAGGCTTTCCAGATTGGAGATGCTCCATAAAGGAGATAAAGTTTCCCAACCTGTTGCTGGGATGATTTGCAGTCATGGTTACAGTATTTTGTAGCTGCAAGTGCTTTCTGTGCCTCAGGGAGTGGTGCTCCAGATTTCGTTAAGCTCAATTCTTCCCAGATGAATCTAAATATGTGGGCACTAGAGAAATGTATAGATGAGATGAGGAAATGGTTGGTAATTGTTAAGAACATGGATATTGAGAGAAGTCCTGGAAGAATTGGAGAAGGGCAAACATCATTATTTTGAAAGAGAAGTTGGGAGGAAGAAATTTTAAATGCTATAGACTTGATGTGAAACCCAGGAAATATTCTGAAATGTATTAGTAAGCAGATGACTTGAGAGTACTTGGAAAAGACAGCAGTGATGTCAAGGAGTCAGCCCAGGATCATTAAGAAACAATTATTTCAAGCAAATACCATTTTATCTTTATGTCAGAATACTGAGCTAATTGGTAAGGATAATGCTATCACATAGCAAATCATACTATGGATGGGACATTTGACAAAAATTTTAAGATATTTTGGGGATAAAATGGTGAGTCATGGACCGAAAGACAATACAGTCCAAGCTTGTAGAACTGAAATACTGTTAATGAGCTGACCACTCTAAATTCTCGAGGGAGCCCCCAGAGCTACACTACAGTGGATTTTGTACTTAGCCTTATCTTCACCAAAATCTTTGTTAGCAATTTAGGAGAAGTAGATTGCATATCAGAAAAATTTGTAACATATTATCACTGAGAGAAGAAAATAAGACACTGAACAAGGGGATCAAGATGAAAAATATGTTAACAGTCTTCAAAATGCGTCAGTAATTAAAATTAGCGAACTTAACAGAGGTGTGTATTTATTTTTACTTTTGAATTCCAAAATGTTTAGAATGTACAGAAAAAGGGGAGAACTATGTTGAAAAAGCACAAGTGAAAATAAATCTGTTTTTCTCTTTCTTTGTGGAGTTGTTGACTGGAATTTCAATGCAAGTCAAAGTATGTTGTGATTCTTAAAATAGCGGGTTCAATTCTAGGCTGAAGTGACCAGATTAAGTAAGAGAATACAGTAGACTCCCATCAGACTATGTGTATGGTAGTGGCAATAGTAGCAGTGGTGATAGAGGTGCTGTTAGTGGTAATGGTAGCTAATATTTATGGAGCATTTCTCTACCTGACACGGTTTTTCCATGGAAGTATTAGCTTAATATACATAGCAGCATTAGACTAAGGGCTGAAAGAACTTTAAAATCTCAGTGACTTAATATAGTAAAATTTTATTCTTGCCCCTGTTGCATACCATGGGTCAAGGGAGAGATGGGGGTGAAGAAATGCAGTCATGCGGAGACTCAAGTTTTTTTAATTTTGTAGCTCCATCCTCCTGTAAGTCCTTGGAGCTGTTTCCATTCAGTAGGCAGATGAAGAAAGGGAGGGAGGATCACACACAAAAAAGATGGACTAAACCAATTAGTGGGGAAAAAATAAGAATATGTGGAAATTTGCTTTTAACCTTCTTGCATGAAAAACAACCATTTACTCCATGTAAAAGCACTGATTTATTTGCCAGAAAAGCACACACACAATGTCAGACTTAGTCTGAAAGTGGTATATATCCTTAGGCCCACCTTCCCTTCCTGGAAGTCAGTCATATGGTCTCTTCTAACTACAAGGGAGGCTGGAACGTGGACTCCAGGGTGCCCAAGAGGATGAGCAGAGCACAGATGCTGGTAAAAACAAACTGTTTTTACCAGGCATAAATGAACAGGAATTGGTGCTATTTCTTTTAATGTTCAACATACACCTATGAGGTAGAAAATACTACTAGCCCCATTTTGAAGAAGGAGAAAAACAGATTCAATGGTGGCACAGTCCAGAGCTGTGTATTATACTTAAAGAAAAATAATGGCAAGTAACATATTTCAAAGCAATGGGATCTTCATAGGTATTTCATGGGATCTCTATACATGAAATAGGATCTTCATAGTAAGTTTGAGGGAACTGTTTATATATAACCTGGAAAGGATAAGATGACATGGATGCTATGATAAATATCTTTCAAATGGTTGATGAGTTGATTTCAACTTGACTTGAAATTATTTTCTGGAAGCTAGGGGCATTCTATTAACAGCCATGATTCCTGGCATTGGTAAGAACTCTTTGAACCAATCTAGATGCCCATCAATAGTGAACTGGATAAAACCCAGAAATATGGTACATATACACTATGGAATACTATGCAACTATTAAAAAATGAGATCATGTCCTTTGAAGCAATGTGCATGGAACTGGAGGCCATTATCCTAAGTGAATTAATGCAGGAACAGAAAACCAAATACGGTATATTCTCACTTATTAGTGGGGACTAAACATTGAGTACACATGGACACTGGGACGCATTTGAGGGTGTCGGGTTAGGGGAGCAAGAGAATTGAAAAACTACCTATTGGGTATTATGCTGATTACTTGGGTGACAAAATTATCTGTACACCAAACCCCATGAGACACAATTTACCCATGTAACAAACTTGCACCTAAACCCCTTGATGTTAAATAAAAATTTGAAAGAAAAAAAATGTTCCTATGCAGGCAAAAGGAGTACCTCTTATGGATATTGTTGAAGGAACTCCCAAATTGGGTAGAAGCATCTGTTCTATGATTTTGTGGGATAAAAAGACACTATCTGTACTTTAAACTTTTGCCATGGGGCTCTGCTTTCTTACTTGGCATTATGGCTGGAAACAGTCTTCTACAAATTTACCATTTGAACACAGTAAAATTTCTTTAATTTAGATGTACTGGGCAGGGTGTGTAAGTGTGAAGTTGTGGGGGTGGTGGTAAAGAGGAAGTAGGATATAAACAAGCTGGTCTGAATTAGGTATTAAGAATGAATAAAATACTATTAAAAATAAATTTAGTTTTATTCTATTATTTTGAACTGGATTAATATCACCTCCTTTTTGGATCTATTTTTAGTGACTAATCCTGATATTTTGTATGTGCTTTTCTGGCAAATAAATCAGTGCTTTTAAATGGGGTAAATGGTTGTCGTTTTTCATTCAAGAAGGTTACAAGCAAATTTCCACATATTCTTATTTTTTTCTCACTAATTGGTTTAGTCCATCTTTCTTAATATTGTATTACAAATGCAAACTAAATTTCAGACCCTATTCTAAAGATTAGAAACTAAATTAGGGACATTTGAATGAATGAGAAACATATACATCATTTTGTTCCTTAAGGCAAATCTTTGAGGAGTTTCTACTAATGCCTCACTTACGTGAAAACAACATAGTAAAATTTAATTTAATTTTAAAACATTCCTTTATTTAGATAAATTTTTATTAGACTGGAATTCTTATTCCCTTCTTCCTTCCCCTTCTTCTCTGCCCACCATCTGCTTGCTCTTAAGTTTGTGTTTTTTTTGTACTTGATTAAGTTTGTTGTTTTTTTTTCTTAATTCTTGATTAAGTTTGTGTGATTTTTTTTTTTAAAAAAGCTCTCACCCACAAATGTTGGCAGTAGTTAGGTATCCTGGGCTCTAGAGCCCTAAGAGAGCTTGAGAGGAAGTGGATGGAGCTGGAAGGAGGGGCGGGGCATGGAGCTGCTAGAATAACAATTTGCTGAACTGACTAACATTTTCTATGATTCAAATGATGGACTTTACTGGTGTTGTGTAGACTGAGTCCTACCGGAGGAGGGCGGAAGGCGTGGGCAGGAGTTCCAGCTCTCCCTTCCATGAGCTATGAAACCTTAGGCGAGTGGTTTAAATGTTCCAGAACTCGGTTTCCACATTTAAAACATGAGTATAATAAGATGACCTGCCCTATCTTCATCCACTTTTCAGAGTAATGTGTCAATATTGCAATGGATGTGAAAGTGCTCTTTTTCCCTCACCTCCATCTCTCTTTTTCTTTCTTTCTTTTTTTTTTAATTTAAAAATTACTTCAGAGACCACAACAGCCAAAAGATACCTAACTTTTGGGCAATTTTCTCAGAATCACCCTTAACGTTTTACAGGATGGGGGTTGTGGAAATTTGGCTGATTGAATGAGTCTCCTCTCCGGGGCTCCAAAAACCCGGTAGAGCTGATTTGCGCAGCGAAAGAAGCATTCTGGGGGAAAAGCTTCACTTCCTCAAAGAGACAGGACAGAGGCATCTTCAGCAGAGAACATTGTTCTGCTTTTGGGGGAAACAATGGCTGAAGAACAACTTCACACAGGAAGAGGCTGGGATAATTGAATTCCTTGCGGGTAAGAGTCAAGGGTGGATCTGGTTTTGTTATTAACTCCATGTGAAGTTCCATGTGGTGGTCATGAAAATGCACCCTAAGGACTTGCGAATACAGGGAAAATGACCAAGGGCCTAGATACTGCTCCTGAAATCTCCTTCACGCCAAGGCCACACCTCCCATGTGTGCTGCAGCCAAGGGTGAGCACGGCTGGGATTCTGAGGCAGGACCGTTCCTGGGAGATGTAGGGGCTGGGAGCTGACTCTGGCTGGCTCAAAGAGGCCCCAACAGCCTCCTCGAATCTTTTTCTTAGATGGCACAGCAGTCTAGGGCTCTTCCACCCAACCGTCTCATTCTCTTCTTCACTCCGGGTCAGACTTGCTTCCTGGTCTGAGTCTCCCATCTTTCTCCCTTTTCTCTCACAGAGCCGTTTCCTCTAATAAAATCTTTGCACATTTAATCCCAAGTTGACTTCTGCTTTTTATAGGATCCAGAATAACACAATTGGCAGATTGTCTAAATGGCTCAGCTTTACCTTTTATATCTTGCAAATTGGGAGAAATGGGGGACAGAAAGAGAAGCTAGAAGAGCAAAGGGGAACCGAGGTTTATTCAGTTACGTCTCCATGACAGAAGGAGACATACACGATTTCACATAATTATCTTACCAATTTAAACGTTCTAGGTGCTGTCTTACAGAAGAGGAAGCCCGTGTTCAGAGAAATTAAATAACTAGCTCAAGTTCACATAACTAATCATCGCAGAGCCTGGATTGGAACCCAGCTTTCTTCTAACTTCATGATTTTGTCTTTTCTTCCACTTTCTCTCCTTTTCTGGATGCTTTATTGTGAGGATCCAGATGAGATAACAAGTGTGAATGCCCTTTGAAAACGTAAAAAAAAAGTGTTACTCCGAAGCCAGAGGTATATTTTTATTGGTTGCAGTCAGGATCACTACATCTTATGCAGGATAGTGCAAAGTGAAAATGTGGGTCTCCTTGTTCAAATTTATTGAGCATTTCAAGATGACAATGGCAGAGCATTAAACGATGGGACTTCCTGAGTGTGAAACTCATGAACCTAGCCCTGGTAACAGAATCGTCAATATGGGGCAATCAAATTGAGCTTGTGGGACGTTTTCTAGAAGAATAAATTCTAAAACTTGATAGTTCCGAGAGGTAATGTAGAAAAGAAAGCCCTAGCTTTCAGAGGCTCTCAATGCAGTAGAAATGACCTCTGGCTATCTTTTGAAGTCATCTTGCATATTAAACAAAAACAGAGACTTCTGGGCCCAAGAGATCCAATAATGTTTATGGGAAAACAAGGGGCAAAGGGCAGGATGTGCCTGTAGCAGTTCCCTCCCAGGTCCTGTGTTTCTGGTGCTGGATACCTAGGCTTCATCTAAAGACATGAAGGGGTTTACCTCATGGAAAAGTACAGGCCCTGCTGCCTTTTCTGTCCAGCAGTATAAAGCCATACTTACTAAATTAGTTATGGGCTCAGTTTTTGGGGCAGCCTGCTCTCCTGAGGAGTGCTGCTGTCTTCAAGTATGGGGCAAACATTCATCATGGGCCACCAGAAGCCCATACTCACTTCACTTAACCAGATGAAGCCTGTGGAGGCTTCAGATCCAAATTGCCTCTTTAAGGGTGCCAGACAAAAAAAACCAATGTGATTCCTCCTGTGGCTGGGGACATCTTCTGTCAGGTCAAATATCTATTTGTCTGGAAAAACCTAGATAAGCCTCTTTGTAAGCAGTGTGAGGCATACGTGCACATTATCCTGGCCCTTAGTGCAGCTAGTTTCCAGTGAGCATACGGATCCTTTTAAACTAGGCAGGGAAATCCATCAGCATTGTCCTCATTCCCGCTTGGATTTGACCTTTCACTTTGAGCTTTTGACATGGTTAATAAGAGCTACTCTATCATTTCATGGCACATAAGCTGGTGACAGCCTGAAGGAAAATGATCATGAGTCTTAGAGTTATTGAGTGGTAGGGACCTCAATTGTCCACCCTTATGCCTTTGGGCAATCTAGCACCAGCCTCATCTCTTACCACTTCCTCATTTGTTCTTTGTGCTAACTAATGCCATACTGTTTTATATGTATTCACTTTTGCAGAGTCTTTTAACTGGCCTGGAATACCGTGTGTAGAAAGTAAAAAGTTTCCTCCTCAAAGTTTCCCTTCTTGTTAAAGAATAAATCATAAGTGTTAGAAATAATAGTTTCTTTTAAAGACTAACTTACTTCAAGCCTCCTTGCTTTGTGCTAATAACTCTTTGTTAAGCCCTATCCTATGTAACTGTTGGACATGCTCACAGACACTTTCCAGCTCACAGCCTACGCCCCTTCCTTATTTGGAAATGTTATTGCTTCCTTAAACCTTTCATGAGCAACTTCCTCTCCTTCTTTGTTCTTCCTTGCACTTACCTATTTAGGAAAGTTTTAGGTTATTAGCAAATCGGGTATTAGTTTAAGATTGTGAGGTCCAGTCCCAGCCAATGGATGCAGGACACAGCAGTCAGGACCATCCAAATGTGTAAGGGATAAATATGTCTGCTTTTCCTTTGTTCAGGTGTGCTCTCACCATTGTTCCATCTGTGATTGAGCACCCTTTCTGCAGAAAGTAAAGATTCCCTGGCTGAGAGATCTTTTGTCTCCGTTTTGACATTTCTTCGTGGCACTGATTATCTATTTCTAACACCTGTCTATTTTGTTCATGTGGGGAACTCTTACTTTTTAAAACTGCTGCTGAGAAATGTCAATAGCTTGCTCAGGGCCTCGTTCCTCTTTCTCAGTATTAACTCACATATAGTCATTATCTACTGTGTGTTGTCTTTCCTACTAGTGGTTGTGAGCTTAAAGGCCTGGAATTGTCCTTGCTGGTCTCCATAAGCCTGGGTATTGTGGTATGTAAACCACAGTAGATTTTCATTAATGATTGATGAATAGAAGTGAATGAATGAATCATCCCATGTCCAGAATATCTCTCCCAGGGTCTTTCCACAGAACCAAATAGTTTCCTAGTCCATGTTCTCTTAGTCTGGCCTCAGTGGAAATGTAAACATTGTCTTTGTATAACAAACTGTGGACCATACTCAGTCTTCATCTTTCACGGAGAAACAATGCTTGCTTCTTTCATAAAGTTATACAGGCATTTTTGTTTTGTTTTGTTTTGTTTTGAGATGGAGTTTCGCTCTTGTTGCCCAGGCTGGAGTGCAGTGGTGCAATCTTGGCTGACCACAATGTCTGCCTGCTGAGTTCAAGCAATTCTCCTGCCTCAGCCTCCTAAGTAGCTGGGATTACAGGCATGCGTCACCATGCCCAGCTAATTTTTATATTTTTTTGTAGAGATGGGGTATCTCCATGTTGGTCAGGGTGGTCACCCGACCTCAGGTGATCTGCCCACCTTGGCCTCCCAAAGTGCTGGGATTACAGGTGTGAGCCGCCGCACCCAGATGGGGAATTCTTTAAAAAAAAAATTTTTTTTTTAACTTTCAGCTACATTCAATGTTCTTTCCAGAAATTTCTACAGGAATGAGTCATAGCAATAAGGGGTTTATTCTTTGATAATATTCAGAAGGCCAGGATACAGTCAGCATGGCTTAATGGACTGTCCAGCTCTATAAAGTCACTCTTGAGTGGTGTTTGATTGAGTCTCTAGTTTGGGTGAGAAGAAAAATTTTCCCCAAAGATCAAAGGGGACCCATGTCTTGGAACTAAGGATGAGGTAAATCAATGTCATCAAATAATTCCACAGATTAGAATAGTTTAAGGATTGTCAGAGGCCCACTCCTGGCTTATAGTATTTATATCATCCACTGTTTATACCTGGAAGTGTTTAGAATCAATTCTATTTCACTTTTCCTGCTGAGAGTCATGGGACAGTTATTTTATAAGAGGAAGATACTGGCATATTAACTAAGTATCATTTCAGATTTTGGAGAAATATTAAAGATGATTTGTAAGACCATGACCAAGCCTGTAACAAGTTGGAAACATTTTTCAAAACCAAAAACACTTCGTTAGCATAGATCTTTTGAGTGGAGAAATAAAAGATATGACAGAAAAAACCCTAGGTTTATGGTAAAGAAAACACAAATGTCCATTTCTCTAGGCTGTAAGAGTTTTCAGCCTGTGATGTTTGCAGATGCCTCCTATATGCTGAGCACTGCACGATGGGATAAGGCTTTAACTCTGTTTCAAATTCAGATTTGTCAGAAGTACACAAGGTGTGGTTTGTTTTCATGGCAAAGATTAGAGGATGGGTGGGTGAGATCCAGTCAGTCATATCTTTACCCCATGAACCAAAGAGGGGGCTGCCATGACCCTATGGAAGGTGGTCTCTACCAAATGACCCCATGGAAGGTGGCCTGCCTTTGTGCCTGAGCACTCAGGCTTTTAGTGGCTGACTGCTGCATGGTAGAGCAGGCAAGGCTGGTGGAATAACAGTATCACTTTACTGTCCCAGGAGGATTTCAGAGATAAGCCTGGACATATTAGTGGTAAGAGCTCCCTCTGAGGGGTTGAAAAAATCTGGCCTGAGGTCTACCATGAAAGGAATGTAGGCAGGACCACATATAGATGTCTTAGATTTGTTTAGGTCTCTCCTGATTTCAAAGATCTTGTCTCATTTTTAGGCCATGTCAGATCAATGGGTCAGATCATGTTGTCTGATTTTTAATAAAAAAATATCGTTATGAACAATGTGGATAATTTGCAGAGGGTATTATCCACCCTTCAGATGATTATATGCTTCTCTTGGAAGGATTTCTTTGAAATTCTGAGAGGAGAAGCACATAGAGTTTCTTACATTTCAGGGAAGTGTTTTCCAAACTGTTTTCCAAGGAAGTGTTGATACGTGTTTATCAAAAATCAAGGGCTGTGGTTTAATAAATATTGGGAACATTGGGCCTAACAAAGTTAAGCAGACATATTTATGCAGGGACTTCTCAGAGCTCTTAATTTGCTAATATAAGTTGTGATTCTCTAAGACAAAATGAGAGATGTTTTCCAAACTTATTGCCTAAGAAAACATATTGCTCTGGCATCTTCTGATGGTATCATTCAAAAAGAATGATACCATCTCTTTTTGAAAACATAGTTTGAAAATAGGGTGTGTTTATAATTGGTCATCCAAGCAAGGACAATTTTGAGAGAAAAAGAGGCACTGTTAATATCAGTTTAAAAAACATAGTTTGAAAATAGGGTGTGTTTATAATTTGTCATCCAAGCAAGGACAATTTTGAGAGAAAAAGAGGCACTGTTAATATCAGTACAAGTGAAGCTAGGACTGTGTAAAATAAACTGAAGACATCTGATACCCTACTTAGAAGACATAAGCTTAGCTTCTTTCAGAGCTAACTCGATGGGAGACTTGGAGCATTGGGATTTTTAAGGAGAAGTTGGCATTGATAGAGACTGTTGTTGGGAATGCAAGAGGCATCAATAACAAATTCACAGTTGACTTAGGGATCCTTGTGCACCGCAAAGGAGGAGGACTTTGGAAGACTGCTTGGCAGAGCTACAAACAGTAGCCATCAGTGATAGAGGTGGGAAATACATTGCCATCCTCAAGCACAGCCTATCTCCCATGCAGCTGACCTTACCCAAGTCCTGTGTTTTAGCAGAATAACGTGCTCACCGGTGGCATCAGGTCTCAGTGTGAGTGCTCATGACCCCTACTTGTAAAATGGCCAATTGCAAAAACAAACAAGCAGCTTCAAGCACCTTGGGAAAAGAGAATGCCATTTCACTCAAGATGTGCCAAATAAAACAGTCTAGAAAAAACAAAATGAATAACTTTCTTGGGCCTAATGAGAAAAGGCAAATGTTTCTAATTCAGGCTTCCTCTGAGCCTCATCCCTTGATGGGCCATTGGAACATGGTCTTGCCGAAGTTGCTGTTATTTGCCCAGCTGACTGAACCTGCCTCACAGTTGGCTTAGATGTCCTGGGCTTCCTCTGAATGGTTGCATTTATTCCACATAGCATAGTGTCCAATTCCTACTCTGTACATCATACAATTTCACCAATCTTCCATCAGCTAAGATCTGGTGTTTATTTTGCCTGACTCCTAATCCTTGGGCCTCAACCAGAGGAAGACTACTAGATGATCACCCCAACATTCTTCTGTCCCTGGATCAGAAGAAGCAAGGTCTGCATCATTTATTATTTCAATATATATTTTTTGGTAAGAGTTTTTAAGCAGAAAGTAAACGGCATGATTAGATTTCAAAAATTTGGAAATAATCCTCTGGCCACAGTGAGAAGACTGGATTGAAAGGGACAATTTTGGGGGCAGGGAGTTCTGCAGGGAGGATTTTGTAGGAGTCCATGTCCATCTGTACTAGAAGCTGAGAGATCTCAGGTCCTCCAGCCTTCGAAGTGATTCTCCTGTTTGTCTTGTGTAGCAAAAGGACAGGAGTTGGCAGCAGCCTGTAACAAAGACTTACATTGTATATAGATTATTAATACACTTTTACAATGATCCCATGTAATCCTCACAGCTATTTTGTGAATTTGGAAGTACAGGGGTTTGTATTTCCATTGCAGAGACAGGGAACTCTGAGGTTCAGAGAGGTTTAGTATTTCTGCTAAAGGCCACTATGGTGGTTAATGAGGCAGCCAGGACTAGAACCCATTTCCTAATTCCAGTCCTGAATGTGTTTTACCTTAGCAAGCTCCTCACTAGACAGCAGTTCCTTTGGAGTTCAGAGTATCTGTGGTGAGTGTGTGAGGGGACATAGCGGGCATAACTCACCACTCAAGGCTGAGAAAATGTGTCTTCTCCATGGAGGCAAGGATTGGACTCCTGTTTCCTGAAAAGGACAGGTTTAGACATTGTACTGGCTTGAATACTGTTGTATAAATTTATATCTTTCCTAGAACCTTAGAATGTGGCCTTGGTTGAAAGTAGGATCTTTGATCATATTGGAGGTGGGTGGGTCTTAAATCTGACATGACTGGTGCCCTTAAACAAAGAGGAGAAGAGACAGAAACAGAGACACACTGAGAAGAATACCATTAAACAGTGGAGGCAGGGACTGGATTGACGCATTTACAAATAAAAAACTCCAAGGATTGCCAACAACCACCAAAAGCTAGGAGAGAGGCCTGGAGCAGATTCTTCTTCAGAGCACTCCAGAGGGACCACCTTGTTGACATCTTTATTTCAGACCTGTGGCCTCCAGAACTGTGAGAGAATACATTTCTGTTGTTTTAGGGCATCTAGCTTATGGTACTTTGTCAGGGTAGCCCTAGGAAACTAACATAGCCATGCTTTGGAATAGGGCTGTCCAATAGAAATATACTGTGACTCACATATGTGATCTTAAATATTTTAATAGCTGCATTAAAAAAGTAAAAAAAGAATAAGTCAATTTAGTAATACATTTAATTTTACCCAATATGAAAATATATTACAACGTAATGATAAGTATGTGAGGCGAAGGATATGTTAATTAGCCTAATTTAATCATACCACATTGTATACATGTATCATTTTTTTTTTTTTAATTTTTTTTTTTATTATACTCTAAGCTTTAGGGTACATGTGCACATTGTGCAGGTTAGTTACATATGTATACATGTGCCATGCTGGTGCGCTGCACCCACTAACGTGTCATCTAGCATTAGGTATATCTCCCAATGCTATCCCTCCCCCCTCCCCCGACCCCACCACAGTCCCCAGAGTGTGATATTCCCCTTCCTGTGTCCATGTGATCTCATTGTTCAATTCCCACCTATGAGTGAGAATATGCGGTGTTTGGTTTTTTGTTCTTGCGATAGTTTACTGAGAATGATGGTTTCCAATTTCATCCATGTCCCTACAAAGGACATGAACTCATCATTTTTTATGGCTGCATAGTATTCCATGGTGTATATGTGCCACATTTGCTTAATCCAGTCTATCATTGTTGGACATTTGGGTTGGTTCCAAGTCTTTGCTATTGTGAATAGTGCCGCAATAAACATACGTGTGCATGTGTCTTTATAGCAGCATGATTTATAGTCCTTTGGGTATATACCCAGTAATGGGATGGCTGGGTCAAATGGTATTTCTAGTTCTAGATCCCTGAGGAATCGCCACACTGACTTCCACAATGGTTGAACTAGTTTACAGTCCCACCAACAGTGTAAAAGTGTTCCTATTTCTCCACATCCTCTCCAGCACCTGTTGTTTCCTGACTTTTTAATGATTGCCATTCTAACTGGTGTGAGATGATATCTCATAGTGGTTTTGATTTGCATTTCTCTGATGGCCAGTGATGATGAGCATTTCTTCATGTGTTTTTTGGCTGCATAAATGTCTTCTTTTGAGAAGTGTCTGTTCATGTCCTTCGCCCACTTTTTGATGGGGTTGTTTGTTTTTTTCTTGTAAATTTGTTTGAGTTCATTGTAGATTCTGGATATTAGACCTTTGTCAGATGAGTAGGTTGCGAAAATTTTCTCCCATGTTGTAGGTTGCCTGTTCACTCTGATGGTAGTTTCTTTTGCTGTGCAGAAGCTCTTGAGTTTAATTAGATCCCATTTGTCAATTTTGGCTTTTGTTGCCATTGCTTTTGGTGTTTTGGACATGAAGTCCTTGCCCACGCCTATGTCCTGAATGGTAATGCCTAGGTTTTCTTCTAGGGTTTTTATGGTTTTAGGTCTAACGTTTAAATCTTTAATCCATCTTGAATTGATTTTTGTATAAGGTGTAAGGAAGGGATCCAGTTTCAGCCTTCTACATATGGCTAGCCAGTTTTCCCAGCACCATTTATTAAATAGGGAATCCTTTCCCCATTGCTTGCTTTTCTCAGGTTTGTCAAAGATCAGATAGTTGTAGATATGCGGCATTATTTCTGAGGGCTCTGTTCTGTTCCATTGATCTATATCTCTGTTTTGGTACCAGTACCATGCTGTTTTGGTTACTGTAGCCTTGTAGTATAGTTTGAAGTCAGGTAGTGTGATGCCTCCAGCTTTGTTCTTTTGGCTTAGGATTGACTTGGCGATGCGGGCTCTTTTTTGGTTCCATATGAACTTTAAAGTAGTTTTTTCCAATTCTGTGAAGAAAGTCATTGGTAGCTTGATGGGGATGGCATTGAATCTGTAAATTACCTTGGGCAGTATGGCCATTTTCACGATATTGATTCTTCCTACCCATGAGCATGGAATGTTCTTCCATTTGTTTGTGTCTTCTTTTATTTCGTTGAGCAGTGTTTTGTAGTTCTCCTTGAAGAGGTCCTTCACATCCCTTGTAAGTTGGATTCCTAGGTATTTTATTCTCTTTGAAGCAATTGTGAATGGGAGTTCACTCATGAGTTGGCTCTCTCTTTGTCTGTTGTTGGTGTATAAGAATGCTTGTGATTTTTGTACATTGATTTTGTATCCTGAGACTTTGCTGAAGTTGCTTATCAGCTTAAGGAGATTTTGGGCTGAGACGATGGGGTTTTCTAGATAAACAATCATGTCATCTGCAAACAGGGACAATTTGACTTCCTCTTTTCCTAATTGAATACCCTTTATTTCCTTCTCCTGCCTGATTGCCCTGGCCAGAACTTCCAACACTATGTTGAATAGGAGCGGTGAGAGAGGGCATCCCTGTCTTGTGCCAGTTTTCAAAGGGAATGCTTCCAGTTTTTGCCCATTCAGTATGATATTGGCTGTGGGTTTGTCATAGATAGCTCTTATTATTTTGAAATACGTCCCATCAATACCTAATTTATTGAGAGTTTTTAGCATGAAGGGTTGTTGAATTTTGTCAAAGGCTTTTTCTGCATCTATTGAGATAATCATGTGGTTTTTGTATTTGGCTCTGTTTATATGCTGGATTACATTTATTGATTTGCGTATATTGAACCAGCCTTGCATCCCAGGGATGAAGCCCACTTGATCATGGTGGATAAGCTTTTTGATGTGCTGCTGGATTTGGTTTGCCAGTATTTTATTGAGGATTTTTGCATCAATGTTCATCAAGGATATTGGTCTAAAATTCTCTTTTTTTGTTGTGTCTCTGCCCGGCTTTGGTATCAGAATGATGCTGGCCTCATAAAATGAGTTAGGGAGGATTCCCTCTTTTTCTATTGATTGGAATAGTTTCAGAAGGAATGGTACCAGCTCCTCCTTGTACCTCTGGTAGAATTCGGCTGTGAATCCATCTGGTCCTGGACTCTTTTTGGTTGGTAAACTATTGATTATTGCCACAATTTCAGAGCCTGTTATTGGTCTATTCAGAGATTCAACTTCTTCCTGGTTTAGTCTTGGGAGAGTGTATGTGTCAAGGAATGTATCCATTTCTTCTAGATTTTCTAGTTTATTTGCGTAGAGGTGTTTGTAGTATTCTCTGATGGTAGTTTGTATTTCTGTGGGATCGGTGGTGATATCCCCTTTATCATTTTTTATTGTGTCTATTTGATTCTTCTCTCTTTTTTTCTTTATTAGTCTTGCTAGCGGTCTATCAATTTTGTTGATCCTTTCAAAAAACCAGCTCCTGGATTCATTGATTTTTTGAAGGGTTTTTTGTGTCTCTATTTCCTTCAGTTCTGCTCTGATTTTAGTTATTTCTTGCCTTCTGCTAGCTTTTGAATGTGTTTGCTCTTGCTTTTCTAGTTCTTTTAATTGTGATGTTAGGGTGTCAATTTTGGATCTTTCCTGCTTTCTCTTGTAGGCATTTAGTGCTATAAATTTCCCTCTACACACTGCTTTGAATGCGTCCCAGAGATTCTGGTATGTGGTGTCTTTGTTCTCGTTGGTTTCAAAGAACATCTTTATTTCTGCCTTCATTTCGTTATGTACCCAGTAGTCATTCAGGAGCAGGTTGTTCAGTTTCCATGGAGTTGAGCGGCTTTGAGTGAGATTCTTAATCCTGAGTTCTAGTTTGATTGCACTGTGGTCTGAGAGATAGTTTGTTATAATTTCTGTTCTTTTACATTTGCTGAGGAGAGCTTTACTTCCAACTATGTGGTGAATTTTGGAATAGGTGTGGTGTGGTGCTGAAAAAAATGTATACTCTGTTGATTTGGGGTGGAGAGTTCTGTAGATGTCTATTAGGTCTGCTTGGTGCAGAGCTGAGTTCAATTCCTGGGTATCCTTGTTGACTTTCTGTCTCGTTGATCTGTCTAATGTTGACAGTGGGGTGTTAAAGTCTCCCATTATTAATGTGTGGGAGTCTAAGTCTCTTTGTAGGTCACTCAGGACTTGCTTTATGAATCTGGGTGCTCCTGTATTGGGTGCATAAATATTTAGGATAGTTAGCTCCTCTTGTTGAATTGATCCCTTTACCATTATGTAATGGCCTTCTTTGTCTCTTTTGATCTTTGTTGGTTTAAAGTCTGTTTTATCAGAGACTAGGATTGCAACCCCTGCCTTTTTTTGTTTTCCATTTGCTTGGTAGATCTTCCTCCATCCTTTTATTTTGAGCCTATGTGTGTCTCTGCACGTGAGATGGGTTTCCTGAATACAGCACACTGATGGGTCTTGACTCTTTATCCAACTTGCCAGTCTGTGTCTTTTAATTGCAGAATTTAGTCCATTTATATTTAAAGTTAATATTGTTATGTGTGAATTTGATCCTGTCATTATGATGTTAGCTGGTGATTTTGCTCATTAGTTGATGCAGTTTCCTCCTAG
This sequence comes from Homo sapiens, assembly GCF_000001405.40. Lineage (NCBI taxonomy): Eukaryota > Metazoa > Chordata > Mammalia > Primates > Hominidae > Homo > Homo sapiens. The sequence goes on along the minus strand of NC_000001.11, from coordinate 118,854,285 downwards.
TCTCGATGGTCTTTACATTTTGGCATGATTTTGCAGCGGCTGGTACCGGTTGTTCCTTTCCATGTTTAGCGCTTCCTTCAGGAGCTCTTTTAGGGCAGGCCTGGTGGTGACAAAATCTCTCAGCATTTGCTTGTCTATAAAGTATTTTATTTCTCCTTCACTTATGAAGCTTAGTTTGGCTGGATATGAAATTCTGGGTTGAAAATTCTTTTCTTTAAGAATGTTGAATATTGGCCCCCACTCTCTTCTGGCTTGTAGGGTTTCTGCCGAGAGATCCGCTGTTAGTCTGATGGGCTTTCCTTTGAGGGTAACCCGACCTTTCTCTCTGGCTGCCCTTAACATTTTTTCCTTCATTTCAACTTTGGTGAATCTGACAATTATGTGTCTTGGAGTTGCTCTTCTCGAGGAGTATCTTTGTGGCGTTCTCTGTATTTCCTGAATCTGAACGTTGGCCTGCCTTGCTAGATTGGGGAAGTTCTCCTGGATAATATCCTGCAGAGTGTTTTCCAACTTGGTTCCATTCTCCACATCACTTTCAGGTACACCAATCAGACGTAGATTTGGTCTTTTCACATAGTCCCATATTTCTTGGAGGCTTTGCTCATTTCTTTTTATTCTTTTTTCTCTAAACTTCCCTTCTCGCTTCATTTCATTCATTTCATCTTCCATTGCTGATACCCTTTCTTCCAGTTGATCGCATCGGCTCCTGAGGCTTCTGCATTCTTCACGTAGTTCTCGAGCCTTGGTTTTCAGCTCCATCAGCTCCTTTAAGCACTTCTCTGTATTGGTTATTCTAGTTATACATTCTTCTAAATTTTTTTCAAAGTTTTCAACTTCTTTGCCTTTGGTTTGAATGTCCTCCCGTAGCTCAGAGTAATTTGATCGTCTGAAGCCTTCTTCACTCAGCTCGTCAAAATCATTCTCCATCCAGCTTTGTTCTGTTGCTGGTGAGGAACTGCGTTCCTTTGGAGGAGGAGAGGCGCTCTGCGTTTTAGAGTTTCCAGTTTTTCTGTTCTGTTTTTTCCCCATCTTTGTGGTTTTATCTACTTTTGGTCTTTGATGATGGTGATGTACAGATGGGTTTTCGGTGTAGATGTCCTTTCTGGTTGTTAGTTTTCCTTCTAACAGACAGGACCCTCAGCTGCAGGTCTGTTGGAATACCCTGCTGTGTGAGGTGTCAGTGTGCCCCTGCTGGGGGGTGCCTCCCAGTTAGGCTGCTCGGGGGTCAGGGGTCAGGGACCCACTTGAGGAGGCAGTCTGCCCGTTCTCAGATCTCCAGCTGCGTGCTGGGAGAACCACTGCTCTCTTCAAAGCTGTCAGACAGGGACACTTAAGTCTGCAGAGGTTACTGCTGTCTTTTTGTTTGTCTGTGCCCTGCCCCCAGAGGTGGAGCCTACAGAGGCAGGCAGGCCTCCTTGAGCTGTGGTGGGCTCCACCCAGTTCGAGCTTCCCGGCTGCTTTGTTTACCTAAGCAAGCCTGGGCAATGGCGGGCGCCCCTCCCACAGCCTCGTTGCCGCCTTGCCGTTTGATCTCAGACTGCTGTGCTAGCAATCAGCGAGATTCCGTGGGCGTAGGACCCTCTGAGCCAGGTGTGGGATATAGTCTCGTGGTGCGCCGTTTCTTAAGCCGGTCTGAAAAGCGCAATATTTGGGTGGGAGTGACCCGATTTTCCAGGTGCGTCCGTCACCCCTTTCTTTGACTCGGAAAGGGAACTCCCTGACCCCTTGCGCTTCCCAGGTGAGGCAATGCCTCGCCCTGCTTCGGCTCGCGCACGGTGCGCACACACACTGGCCTGCGCCCACTGTCTGGCACTCCCTAGTGAGATGAACCCGGTACCTCAGATGGAAATGCAGAAATCACCCGTCTTCTGCGTCGCTCACGCTGGGAGCTGTAGACCGGAGCTGTTCCTATTCGGCCATCTTGGCTCCTCCCCTGTATACATGTATCATAACATTGCATTCTACCTCATAAATATATACAATTATTATTTGTCAACTAAAAATTAAAAAATCATTTTAACATGTAATCCATATAAAATTATTAATGGTATATTTTATAATTTTTTTCACACCAAGCCTTTGAATCTGATGTGTATTTCACACATATAGCACATTTCAAATTCATACTATTTCACGTCCTCAACTGTCACATGTCACTAGTGGCTTTCATACTAGATAATGCAAGGTTGGATTTTCTTTCTTTTTCTTTCTTTCTTTCTTCCTTCCTTCCTTCCTTCCTTCCTTTCTTTCTTTCTTTCTTTCTTTCTTTCTTTCTTTCTTTCTTCCTTTCTTTGTTCCTTTTTTTTTTTTTTTTGAGGCAGAGTCTTGCTCTGTTGCCTAGGCTGGAGTTCAATGGTGTGATCTTGGCTCACTGCAACCTTTGCCTCCCGGGTTCAAGCGATTCTCCTGCCTCAGCCTCCTGAGTAGCTGGGATTCCAGGCATGTGCCACTACACCCGGCTAATTTTTGTATTTTTAGTAGAGACAGGGTTTCACCATGTTGATCAGGCTGGTCTCAAACTCCTAACCTAATGATCTACCCGCCTCGGCCTCCCAAAGTGCTGGAATTACAGGCAAGAGCCACCGCGCCCAGCCAAGCCTGGATTTTCGGAAGGCCTTTTCCCTTACAACCCTGCTTCCTGGTGCTCTCTCAGTTCCTATTGATTTGTTCTACATACACAGTCCCTCAAATACCCACTGCTTCTCCACTGGGGGACATCAGGGTCAGCCCTGCCCCTGGTGCCACCAGAATATCTTGCATGGAGGAGCTGGGGCAGAATTTTTTTCCAGACTTGCTGCTTCCTCACTATGGTTCCAGGACCTGTCCTAGGACTTTCTCATTGACTTGGGTCAATCTTGTTTTAGCCCCTGCTTTCTCCCGGGGGCAAGGTATTGTCAGTCCTCTGGCTCCATAGCTGAACCCCAAATCTCCATTGTCCCGAAGCACATATTTAAGCACATGTTCTTCCTTTTCTCCCTTCCACTACTGCCAGGAGTGAGGAAGCAGGCAAAGGTCTGAATCTGACACTGACAGATTCTCATGCTGATTCTAAAGAGATGCCCAAGACCAAATGTTATAAAGACAAACCATATGGGAACCCCAGCACTCTGGGCCATTAATAGGAATTTTTAAATGACTGTGATTGATGGCACTGCTCTTACAAGTCCAAGATCAATGAAAATGCATCTTGATCTTTTGAACTTGCTCGTTTTATCTTGGATCCTTTTTCTGTACAATGAGACCCACTTCTGTGATGCCTGGAGGCATCTGGAGCCCCTGCAATGGATTTGCCATCTATGCCCTTGCCAGCCAGCTGGAATGACGTAGGAATGGTGGAGGGTGAGAGCCTTGGAAACTAGAATTCTCATTGCAATGCTAGATGCCAAACCAGTCCTTACAAAGTGAAAATTTCACACTCTTCCTAGAAAAAGACTCTGGACCAAATTAGGAACATCACCCACATCGTTACTGACCCGGGGATGTTTAATTAATAAATGTTTATTAGATAAACATTTGTGTTCTTGAGTTTGTTTATGTGCCCCCATTTACCTGGGCATGAAAATAATTCCCTTTCTCCTTCGCCCATATTGTTCCAAAGTAATGAAGAAGGATTTGGTAGAGAATTTGCCTTAGTTTGGAGTCTTGAATTCTCCTCAGATCTGAAGGCCTGTCTCCCAAGAATACATCAGTGAATATAATTTTGCATGCAATTTCAGGGCATTCACAAACCTTCTGGGACTCATCCATGGACCTCTCACATTAAGGACAATTGGTGCAGAAAAACTATTATGGGCTCCAAGTGAGGGCATAAGATTGAGGTGGGACACTATGCCATTTGTTTAAAAAGAGGCAGAAAACCATATCTTTTTCTTCCTTTATGTGTTTCTCAGAAAGCCACAATGCTGCTTTATGAAGATAGGTTCTTTGGTCAAATGAGTTTGGGAACTACTGAACCAGTTATTCTCTCTTCACTTCCACTTTGGAAGTTAGTGATACAAAGCAACATATTGCATGCTTTTAAGACATTCAGAAGAAATTCCAAATTAATTTGACCAGATAATCTTATTTTTGTCCAACACTTCAAACAATCTGCCGAATACACTTTGGGAAACATTAAATCTGGACCATATAGACCATTCCATGTTTTGGTTTCTCCCATAAAAGCCACGGCGTTCTACTTTTCTCTCCACTTCAAACTATAGTGTATGTGTCTGCCTTTGCAGTGTCCTGGGTAGCATGGCTATTGGCACACATTGTTAAGTGTGGGGAGGCAGGGCCACAGATGAGTGCAGCAGGGCTGCCTTTTTTCCCATCCCCAGAAGTCATTATTATGCACATTGTTTTTTGCTAGGGAGGATGCCATTCTCATTGAATACAAAATTAACAATGTCCCCTGGAGTTGTGCAGTGGTGTGGTACTGGAGTGCAGACTTAGTTCTCAAAGGTGCTAACTGGCTTTTGCTCGTTCTTTGGGTTGTGGACAACTAGGGTTTTGCTTTGGTCCAGCTGTCTGGAGTCACCCAACAGGAAGGGCAGTTGTCAGGTTGGGTGGAGGACCTGGCTGAGAGAGGGACAAAGAAAATGTCTCCAAGAAGTTGGCATTGGAGGTAAGCCTTGAGGGACATGAGGGGTTAATTCAGCAGAGATACTCCTTGGCAGAGAGGATGGCCTGAACAATGGTATGGGGGCTTGCACATCATAGAACAAGTGATCTGTGGAGCATATACTGGGAAACAGATCTGCATAACTAAGGGGTGTCTGGCTGCATTTCCAATGGTTCATATTCTAGAGAAGGCCGCAGCAGTATACAAACCTAACTTCATTTAAAGCTCATAGTTTTGGTATGGTAGATAATAAAGGACCCCACAGAGTTAGGTGTCTGGCAGAACATTCCAACCCTCATTCAAGGGCTCAAACTTGGACAATGGCCATACATGGTTTCCCTTTTTAAAACTTGTTTTTGTTATTGTTAATTGTTAAGCCCTGGGTATTCTGTGAGAAACAATCCATCTGTTTCTGCTTCTTTCACACTTAACTTATTGAAACCTTTTGTAAGAGCTTTTGGATAGTGAACCATCCCTCAGAACCATTTCCATAAGCCTTTTAAGACTGTTTATTCTGAAGTAGGAAGTTGCTATTTTGCCAAAAGAATACGAATCTTGGGCCTGAGGACTCTACTGCTGGACATTCTGCCAATCTCATAGGCTTTCAACCTGGCCAAAGTGTCTCCCCATTCTGAATTGGAAGCTGCAGAGTTTCCCCCAGTTCTGTGACCTTATTGATAGAACAGACTCAGTTTTCTCCATCCTCATAGCATCTGTGAGATTGATCAGCTTCTTGGCACCTTCAACTTGCATAAAGTATGGAAGTAGGTGAGCTCAGCATGCATTTTCAAAATGTTCATTTCCAAATAAGATTTCTTCAAACAAGGTAACTCATAAGAACACGTGGATACTCATTCAGAGGGCAGCTGCCTCTCCAATTTCCCTTGGTTCATGATGTCAGGAACCACTTCTTACTTATCTTTGTAGCTCCAGTATTTATTTCAGGGTTCAGCATAAGACAAATGCTCAGGAAATGTGTGTTGATTGACCAACTACTGTCTAAGGGATCCGTGTGTGAAAACAAAAATCACAGAAGTTCTCCTCAACCAAACTAAACTAAATTTAAAAATATTCTTAAGGAATTATTATCGGTATGGATATTAAAACATGTATTAGTTCTGGGAGGCAAGTTTTCCCTCTGTTATATAAAGACAAATTTAGTGCTTTAATAAAAAGAATATCAAGCTTACCAGAATCCAAGGTGGTTTAATTTCCATGAGGGAGACTGGCTTGACTTGGAAAATATAACTGTTTTTCATATGGAAAGTGAAAAACTGGTGACTGTACTGGTTCATGTCCACCAGTCTTAAGGCTTTTGTCATAATAGTTTTGATGAGCTCAGTCAGAATTTCCAGTGGAATTTGAGAGTTTGAAATATTAATGCCTCTGATCTGAGGGAGGAAAAACCCTGAGCAAAGTGGAATCAGGCAGGAGTTATGGACACAGGCAGCAGATAGAGGCTTTGGCACCAGAAGACTGAGTTTGACGATAATGGTGAAGGCTTATTAAGCACTCAACAGCTGCCAGACACTGTTCTAAGTGTCTAACTGGCATTATTTTATTTAATTCTCATAACAGTAACAACCCAATGAGGTAGGAACTATTATTCTTTCTGTTTACTAATGAGGAAACTAAGGCACAGAGATGTTATCACTTGCCTAAGGTCACACAGCAGAGGATGGACTTGATCCCAAGTAGTAGAACTCTAGTCTCGGTGTTCTTTTTTTTGAGACAGAGTCTCACTCTGTCACTCAGGCTGGAGTGCAGTGGCGTGATCTCGGCTCACTGCAACCTCCGCCTCCCGGATTCAAGCAATTCGCCTGCCTTAGCCTCCCGAGTAGCTGGGATTACAGGGGCGCACCACCATGCCTGGCTAATTTTTGTATTTTTAGTAGAGATGGGGTTTCACCATGTTGGTCAGGCTGGTCTCAAACTCCTGACCTCGTGATCCACATGCCTCGGCCTCCCAAAGTGCTGGGATTACAGGCGTGAGCCACCACGCCTGGCCCAGTCTCGGTGTTCTTAATCTCTGCCTGGTAACAACACTGCTCATCAGCTATGCAATATTGAGAAGGGCATTTTGAAACCTTGACTCTGGGTACTCAGGACCATGATTGGAATATTAATAAGAATAGTAGCTTTGCTTTGTCTTCAGCACAGGATAATTCTGTGTACCATTTCAGGTAATGAATATTAAAACATTTGTATTAAAGCCCGAGATATACAATACTTACCTATTTATCTGAACAAGTGCCTGGCTCAGAGAAATGGCTTAACAAATATTTTTTGAATAATGGAATGAAGAAGAATAGATTTATAATAAAGCAAAACTCACTTTTTCTCCAAATCTGCTACGTATTTATTCACACAGGCTCTTTTAACATGCCATAATTCTTGCAGGTAAATGTAAATCTTATACTTGATATAAACATGGTATAGACTAAACACCTCCCAAAGATCACCTGCAATTTAGGTGCATTTCAGGGTCTTTCTTTCTTGGAATCATCTTATTTAATAATGAATATCAGGTAAGGTGGCAAACCTTATCATTCAAAAATTTAAATAAATGTCTATTATCTATCCTGTTCCATTCTTGAAAATTATGATAACTCAAGAGGTAGGTATCTCAGGGAAGAACACTGTGATGTGTGGCTGGAGCAAGAAATGTGTATCTCTTGTTCAGTGTTGAGTTTTGGCTCGTAGAATAGAGACTGGCTCATAATAGGTACTCAGATATCTGTTGAAATAACCCAGGAAGAGGTGTGATGGGGGGATTAGCAGCAGCTAGTCATAAACTGCCTGAGCAGTATGTGGGAAAGTGCTGGCCCAGGAGATAGCTGGATATCTGGGAGCCTTTTCATCCCAGGAGGCTCTTCCTGGGGGCCTTCCCACTCAGCCATGGGAAGCTGCTTCTCTCTCTATGAAGTTTAGACTTTCCTGTGCACCCAGAGGTATCTTTCAACAATCAGGAGCTGAGTGCTTAGACAAAGGGTGAGGTGAGCTTGGACAAAAATCAAGATGAATATCTGTGACTATGCACATACTTGGTACAGACACGTCCATATATGCAACAGACACAAATACATGGAGATTGAACTGAAGTAAATCAGGAATCCCTGGATGATCTACTGAACTCAAACAGAAACCACTTACGAATATTTTTTCTGAACTTTCAACTGAAACCTCTTCTACAATAATAATTGTAATAAAAACCCCAAACACAGACCTGCACACCAAAGAAATGAAAATACTCCTATGAATCAGTTTGAACTAGAACTGACCTCCACATTTAAAACAAACTACTGAGCCCCTGGATTAAAATATTATCCAAACAGACCATTAACCAAACTCCTATTTCCTCTCTTTAAATTCATTTAAATAGAATTATTTAATTATTTAAATTAAATTCATTTAAATAGAGCTACACTGTACTCTATGCAAATAATATGTTCAACGAAAGGTGAATGGACCTAGTTGTGAGAACCAAGTGTATTTTAACAGTAGCAGAGAATGGAATACATAAAATAACCTTATTCTGAATAATTTTACAAAGAAAGATCCCACTTGTGATGAGAATAATTGGATCCTGGTTTGTCTTTTAAATCGATTTAGATTTCCATATCTTGGCTTTTCCTAAAAAGTGGCCCCACCAATATTATGCTAAGTTAAATAAGCCAGGCACAGAAAGACAAATACTGCATGATCTCACTTATATATGAAATCTAAAAAAGTCAAATTCCTAAAAGCAGAAAGTAGACAGGTGGTTCCCAGGGACTGTGGGGGTTGGGGAAATGGAGAGATGGTGGTTAAAAGGTACAAAGTTTCTGTCATGGAGGGTAAATAAGTTCTGGGAACCTTATGTGCAACACGATGACTATAGTTACTAACGTTGTATTGTATACTTGAAATTTGCTAAAAGAGTTTATCTTAAATGTTCTTACCACACCAAAAAGGGTAACTATTTGAGGTGATAGATACATTAATTAGCTTGATTGTGATAATCATTTCACAATGTGTACGTATATTAAAACATTGTATTGTACCTGTTGTATATAAATACATATAATTCTTATTTGTCAAGTATACCTCAATAAAGCTGGGGAAAAAGTAGCTGACATGGTTTGGCTGTGTCCCCATCCAAATATCATCTTGAAGTCCCACGAGTTATAGGAGGGACCTGGTGGGAGGTAATTGAATCATGGGGCCAGGCCTTTACTGTGCTTTTGTTTTCTTTTCTTTTTTTTTTTTTTTGAGATGGAGTTTTGCTCTTGTCGCCCAGGCTGGAGTGTGATGGCGCGATCTTGGCTCACCACAACCTCCGCCTCCCAGATTCAAGGAATTCTCCTGCCTCAGCCTCCCAAGTAGCTGGGATTACAGGCATGAACCACCACAGCCAGCTAATTTTTTGTATTTTTAGTAGAGATGGGGTTTCTCCATGTTGATCAGGCTGGTCTCGAACTCCCGACCTCAGGTGATCCACCTGGGTCAGCCTCCCAAAGTGGTGGGATTACAGGCGTGAGCCACAGCAACCAGCTTTTCCTGTGCTTTTCTGGTGATAGTGAATAAGTCTCATGGGATCTAATGGTTTTAAAAGGGGAGTTTCTCTGCATAGCTCTCTCTTTGCCTGCTGCCATCCATGTAGATGTGACTTGCTCCTCCTTGCCTTCTGCCATGATTGTGAGGCCTCCCCAGCCATGTGGGACTGTAAGTCCATTAAATCTTTTTCTTTTGTAAATTGTCCAGTCTCAGATATGTCTTTATCAGCAGCATGAAAATGGACTAACACGGTAGTCTACAAAAAAAGTGGCCCCACCAGCCTACACATGTAGATGCATTTCAGCACCCTGGATCAGGCTGAGTATTGGTTTTTATTGTTCCTTGCAGGCTCCTTTGTCATTAAACCTCTGCTTTGAAGTATTTTACTGAGCCCGGTCCAAAGAGTTTCTGCTATGGCCTCCTGCCCAGGTTTCTGATCAGGGTCTTGGGAGCTGCACAGACACCTCAGGCTTGGACAGTGATATCACTGTTCTCAGATGCAGGTGAGCCAAAAAGTGTCCAAACACTTAATGGTGGTGGTGTCTCCAGTCTTGATCCAAAAGGAGCTGCTGTAACTCAGGAATTGATGAAGGAGCTAAATGATGATGGCACTCAGGCTCATCCAGTCTCAGGACACTCCAGAGATTTTACACAATACCACATCACACACAGCATGGATGTGGTTTCCACCAGCCTTTAGAGATTCACAGGCAAGTGAGCATGATCTGACTTCCCCACTGTGAAATGTCTGTTCATAGATTCTGGGGCCAATGAAATTGTGAAATGTAAGTGGTTTTAGCTACATTGCTCAGTCACCCACCATAATCCACCTTCTTGATTCCTTCATTATGCAACACTATACAAACACTACAATAATTTTCTAAACTTCTTGAGTTATTGTTATATAAACCTGATACCTGTCAACAGGTAGGAAGGTTATTGTATTTGACTCGGCACTATCTTGAAACTTTTTCTACCATGAGTAATTTTCAAGCTAAATTTTGTTTTAATTTGTTTTGTGTTAATTACTCTTTTATTTTTGTTTTTATTCTTATTATTTTTTACAGTTTCCATTAAAGTGCATATCCTCAATTCATTTGTAAAAATTAACTTGAGGAATCCTCTGAATCTACCTTTTTGCTATATCTCACTGTTTCCAATAAGATTTTCCCAGGAGTTTTATCTGGGTCTATATTAGAGGGTCACAGCAAATGAGTTTTAAATAATTTTCAATTCTTGGCCAATTTTAAAGCTCAATGCTTATTTCTACTACTCTGAAAGCATTGCTTCTGGATTTTGCCTCCATAGCTTTTCTTAAAAACTAAAAATTATCACACATTTAAAACATAAATAAATTCTTGTTATAAAAATCCAAAGTATAGTTCTAGAAAGAAGTTATAGTTTTTTCTTTCTCCAATTCCTTCTCAGGAAAGATGCACAGAATTGTGGCCCTTGTGCCTAAACAGTTAAGTTTGCTGGAGTTTCGGTGAGTCTTCCTGATACAGGAATTCTTGGATACTCACCAATTCCCTACAATAATTATGGATAGTTTAGCTGAAGTTAATCATCATTAGTAATCTCCATCTTCTACAATTTGATAAGCACCTACCATGTGCTGGGCACTGTTTTCTTTAAACCTATGTTTTTAACTAATAGGTGTTTATTCTGTACGATCCCTGTTTAAAATATGAGAAATATAAGGCTCAGAGAGGCTAAGTAACTTGTCCAAGGTCACATAGCTACTAAGAGGCAGGCCCAGATTGGAGATGAATATGTTTGACTCCCGGAATCCACGTGCTCATCTGCGGGATGCTGGAGCTAGCTATACCAGCTCACCACCATGATTCTGCACATCTTTTTGCAACTCTACCTTCCCTGACGTCACAATGGTAGTTTGAAATCCTGTATTTAGGCCATGGAAATCTGAAGATTGTACAAGTCAGAGCTTTTTGTAACCTTCGGAGACCTGCTTTTACTACTTTGCGTGTTCTCCTTTGCCAAACTACTTCTCTGAAGAGGAAGGACACAGAGTAAATCTACGGAAGCAGTGAAGGGAAATGGTTTCCAGAAACCTTTGCCCAAATACGTCATACTAGTTTTTGTGGTCGAATGAGCTATAAAAACTTCCTCAGCCAGAGAGCTTTTATTGACCGGCACTCAATACCCATCCTCAGGCCCCCACAAAGCACTTTTTATGGAAATTGCGTCAATATTTGCACACCCTTAACGAGGCCGTGTCTCAATTCCTGGTACTTCAGCATCTCCTCTGAGTTTCTCACACACTCTTGGGTAGAAAGGGGATTCTGCAAATCTAGTTAAACCAAATCTTCAGGGACTGATTACACAGGTCATGGATAATCCAAGCCCTCTTTCCCCCTACTTCTTTTCACCTTCTGGCCTTTTTACTGCTCATTAGCACCTCGGCCAGAGACCTGGGCCTGGGAAGGAGTGAGTGGGTGTGGAAGTCCCATCGGCCCCTCTGGCTTCTGGCCAGCAACCCTTGTGTAGCTTTTGTTAGGAGGAGTAACCTAGAGACGAGGTAAATTGATCCCTGGCATATGTGGGGTTTTATTCAGCTGAGTTACCGACATTGGCCTCACCCACTCCCAGCACTGCTTACACTGATGCCACAAATCATTAAGTGTTGGTTGCATTAACTGTCGTCCTACTCCATGGTTATTTAATTTGCTTCAAAATTTTTCACTGGTGGCCAGTTTAGTTACCACCATTTGTGAATCTGGTTGAGCATCGTGCAGCGAAGAGAAAGGAAGACAGAGACAATTCAAATTAAATAATGCTCATAAAGTAGGCCTTGAGAGAAGTAAAAGGCTGCTTTCTATGTAAGTAAAAGGCTGATTTCAGGGATATCTCATGAGCTGCTGCCCTTTAGTGCTTCCTGAAATTGTACTAGGAAGATGAAATATTTTATTCCATATCACTCCTTCCTGAAAAAAACCTTACATGTGTTGAATCATTATTAAACAAAAACATAAGCTTTAGTAAAGTCTTTGGGTATGGTTGTTTATTTGGCTGTGCATTTACCTGCTCATTAATGTATTCATTTATACAATACTAGAGCATCCACCATAAGCTGGATACAGTGCTTGGGATGTATTGCTGAGTAAAACAGACATGGTCTCTGTTCTTGTGCTGCTTGAAGTTTTGTTGGCAGTACAAAGCTAATAAATAGGGCACAGCTATACAGAATAATGAGGGATCATATTTTAGATATGGCAGGGCTGGTCAGAGAAGGTTTCTCTGTGAAGAGACATTTAAACTGAGATGTGAGCAATGGGAAGAGACCCATCATGTAAAAAGCTGGGAAGAGCAATCTTTTCTCCAGATTGGTCAAACAGTAAGCTCAGAGGCTGTGGGGTGAATCTTACATGCTGAGGAACTGAAAGAAGGTCAGTGTGGCTGGTGTGCATGAGGAAGGGGGAGTGGCAGGAAACTGGATTGGAGAAGTCACTGGGGACAGGGGTGAATGGGGGCACATTATGCAGGACTTGCAGGCTTTAATAAGGAATTTAGACTTAGTATTCCAAGTGCAATGGGAAGGTATATCAGTCAGAGTTCTCCAAAGGACCAGAGCCAATAGGATGTGTGTGTGTGTGTGTGTGTGTGTGTGTGTGTGTGTGTGTGTGTATCTATGGGTGGGGAGGATTTTTTAAATAAGGAATTGACTTACAGGATTATGGAGGCTGAGAAGTCCTGATCCAGGCAAGATGGTGGTACAGTTTCGGCACAAATTCCAAGGTCTGAGCAGCAGGAAAGCCAATGATGTATGTGTGAGTGTGCGTCTGAGTCTGAGAAACAGTAAGGCCAATGATGTAAGTTCCAGTCTAATTCTGAGTCTCAAGGCAGGAGAAGGTCAATATCCCAGCTCAAAGACAGCTATCCAGAGCAAAAGAGTTCTTTCTTCCTTAGCTTTTTATTCTACTCAGGTCTATAATATATTGAATGAGCTCCCCACCCCATATTATGGAGGCCAATCTACTTTAGTCAGTGCCATCGTCTGAATGCTTGTGTTCCCCCAAAATTCATATATTGGAATCTAATCCCCAATGAGATAATATTAAGGGGTGGGAAGTTTTTTGGTCATGAGAACTTTGTCATCACGAATGGAATTAGTGCCCTTATAAAGAGATCCAGGGAAGCTTGTTATCCCCTTCTGCCATGTGAGGATGCAGCAAGAAGGCACCATCTATGAGGAATGGGCCCTCACCAGACACTGAATCTGCTGACATCTTGATCTTGGACTACCTGGCCTCCAGAACTGTGAACAATGTCTTTCTTTTTAAAAAAGATTATCAAATTTTATTTTAGATATGGGGGTATATGTGCAGTTTTGTTACATGGTAATATTGTGTTATGCTGTGCTATAGAATATAAATTTCTGTTGTTTATAAATTACCCTCTCTGAGGTATTTTGTTATAGCAGCTCAGATGCATACTCAGTCTATTCATTCAAATGTTAATCTTACCCAGAAACACCGCCCTTGCCTCAGATACACCAATAAATAATGTTTAACCAAAAATCTGAGTACTCAATGGCCCGGTCAGATCAACACATAAAATTAACTATCACAGAAGTTATGGAAGGGTTTTAAGCAGGGAAAGAACATAAAACATATTTTAAAAGTTCTACTCTGGCTTCTGCATGGAGAATGCCTTGTAGGGACTAGGAGTGGAAATGAGGAGGTCAGTTAGGTGGCTATTGTGAGATTCTAGATGAGAGACAGTCATGGGATATACCAAGTTGGCAGCAGTCAGGATGAAGACAAGTAGATAAACTCAAGATATAGTTTGGAGGGAGAATTTATGAGACTTATTTGATGATTTGCACATGTGTCTGTGTGGGAATTAGGGATCAAGATGATTCCCAGGTCATATGGTTTGATTGTGTCCCCACCCAAATCTCATCTTGAATTCACACATGTTGTGGGAGGGACTCAGTGGGAGATAATTGAACATGGGGGCGAGTATTTCCCGTGCTGTTCTCATGATGTGAGTAAGTCTCATGAGATCTGATGGTTTTAAAAAATGGGAGTTTCCCTGCACAAGCTCTCTTTTGTCTGCTGCCATGTGAGATATGCCTTTCACCTTCCGCAATGATTGTGAAGCCTTCCCAGTCACGTGGAATTGTTAAGTTCATTAAACCTCTTTCTTTTGTAAGAGTATCCCTTTATCAGCAGCATGAAAATGGGCTAATATACCAGGTTTCTGTATTGATGATGGTACCATTTCTGGGTTGAGTGAGACTGGGATAGAGTTAGGTTAGGTGGTAGTGGGGAGAATTAAGAGTTCTGTTCTGAACATGTTCATCTTGAATACCACTCCCTTAAGCTTCAACTTGTTGTGTACATAAAGATGTTAGGAAAAGCTTCCTGAAATAAAAAAGGAAAAGCTATTAAAGGAAACTTAAATGTTTGAAATGAAGTTTACACATCACGCATTATTCACTTTCTTATAGTGATTTATTTCCCTGAGTACTCACAGTAAGCAGCACACACATATGCTTGAAAACTTTCTTAGAAGTCAACGAAGTTTCTGGAAAACATTGTTTTGCTCTTTCTTGCAGATTAGTTAGTATAGTTATCTTTAGCCTTCTGCCACTTTTTTCATATGCTAAATTATATAGAATCATTGATGGAGGTTATGAGCTCTCTTCTGTTTCTTCTTTTAGCATTAATAAGAACTATTCACATGTATTGAACACTTATTATTTGGCATCCACTTTTCTAAGAGTATGACATGTATTTATATATAAATAAATAAATTCTGGGAGATTACTATTATTATTTCCATTATAAAAGGGGGAAATGAAGGAGAAAGTGTATTTACTTGTCCAAGATCATATAGCTCACAAGCAGCAGAGCCAAGATTGTATGCTAGATTGTTATATCCTAAGAGAACTTGATCTTTTGACCATCGAGTCCTATTGCTCCTTGACAAGAGGTTGGAGAATAATCCATGTGAACTTGCCACTTAAACCATTTTAATTGTCTAAATCACTGTTTCCAAAACCAGCTGCTCATCAAAATCACCTAGAAAGCTTGTTAAAATAAGACTCCCTGCTCTGTGCAGACCTAAATCAGTGTCTGTTAGAATTGGGGTTGGGAATCTGTGTCCTTTATAAGTTTTCCAAGTAATTCTGATGTAGCCAATCTACACAGCAATATTTTTTAAGAATAAGAGATACAAATTATCTTTTATCGCTTTTCATCCTTCTGAGACAAAATTTACTTTTAAATAGTGCTTGTTCTATTCTTCCCTGTTTTCAGACTGTTCTCTTTGATTATGAGCTGAAAGCTCCATAGAATCTCGGAGTTTTGCTGTCTGCATTCAGTTAGGATCATTCTTTCACATTTCCCCATTAATTCAAAGTAAACTTTACAGTTGAGAAATTATATTTTAACTTTTAAACTTTTTTAAGAGAAGGTCAACATTTCCCTAAGACATTTTCCATAGTTTCAATATTTCACCACAAAGGCTAGTTGTTTTCAATTTGAAACAACTAAAATGAAAAAATGTGGCTTTTATTTTAGATTTTTTTAGTTGAAGCATCCTAATTTATCCAGAATAAAAGAATTTTGGGGAATATTCTACCCATTTTTGAATTTTCATATTTTTTAGTCTCAAAAAAATGGGTTAAAGCTCTTCTTCAATCAAGACCTGGGTCTCTACAAAACTGTGAGGGAGGTAGTTAGTCTATTGTGTTGTTCCAGTTACCACTTCCATGCTACTCCCCAGTCCTGCTGTGTGTGCTTAGTGGCAACTCAGGACTTCACGTGGTATGTTCAGAGACGACGACCAACCTTCTTGCTTTACCTGAAACTAACGGTTTATTTGGGGATGTGGGATTCTCAGTGCTAAGACTTGGTCAGTCCTAGGTCCAGGAAAGTTTGTTGCCCTACCTGTATTATAGAAAGAGAATCAGCAGGAGGAAAGATTATTATTCTTTTCTGTTTCCCTGAGATGCTATTAGCAGGTACCCCAGAGCAAGAATAGGTTTATATTCTAAGTGTGAAAGGAAGCAGTTGTTAATAACATGCTTGGGTACCACTGTGTTGGTGAACCTGCTTGGGCAAAGAAAAGTCAAGAACTGGAGAAATTATGCTGAAGGGACCCTTTTTTCTTCTTCCACTGAGGAATAAAATACAATTTCTCAATGTGGCTCTATATGAAAGTTATAGTCTAACATTTTCTGTGTTAAATTTGGGGCTTTCCCATAGTTCAGCGTGCATTTTAACTGTCAGATCTTTCACATCAGATAGGTAAATTCTTCATACTAGACCTGAATCAGGTAAGAGATGGTGCTGGAAAATGATTTGAGAAATCAAATGTGGCATTTGAGGTAAATTTCTACTTCTCCCATGCAGAGGGGTGGAAACTCTTATGTTCCCCGACCCCCCTCTCTCACTGCACCATGATCTCATCACTTTCTGCAGAGTGTGTATCATGTATTGTAAGTATGTAATTATTTGTGTATTGATATGTTCAATGTTCACTCCTCATTTAGCTCTTTGTCTGCCTATGCACTTTACAACTTTGGCTTTTATTTTATTTTATTATTATTATACTTTAAGTTTTAGGGTACATGTGCACAATGTGCAGGTTAGTTACATATGTATACATGTGCCATGCTGGTGTGCTGCACCCATTAACTCGTCATTTACATTAGGTATATCTCCTAATGCTATCCCTCCCCCCTCCCCACACCCCACAACAGTCCCCAGAGTGTGATGTTCCCCTTCCTGTGTCCATGTGTTCTCATTGTTCAATTCCCACCTATGAGTCAGAACATGCGGTGTTTGCTTTTTGTCCTTGCAATAGTTTACTGAGAATGATGATTTCCAATTTCATCCATGTCCCTATAAAGGACATGAACTCATCATTTTTTATGGCTGCGTAGTATTCCGTGGTGTATGTGTGCCACATTTTCTTAATCCAGTCTATCATTGTTGGACATTTGGGTTGGTTACAAGTCTTTGCTGTTGTGAATAGTGCTGCAGTAAACATACATGTGCATGTGTCTTTATAGCAGCATGATTTATAGTCCTTTGGGTGTATACCCAGTAATGGGATGGCTGGGTCAAATGGTATTTCTAGTTCTAGATCCCTGAGGAATCACCACACTGACTTCCACAATGGTTGAACTAGTTTACAGTCCCACAACAGTGTAAAAGTGTTCCTATTTCTCCACATCCTCTCCAGCACCTGTCGTTTCCTGACTTTTTAATGATTGCCATTCTAACTGGTGTGAGATGGTATCTCATTGTGGTTTTGATTTGCATTTCTCTGATGGCCAGTGATGGTGAGCATTTTTTCATGTGTGTTTTGGCTGCATAAATGTCTTCTTTTGAGAAGTGTCTGTTCATGTCCTTCGCCCACTTTTTGATGGGGTTGTTTGTTTTTTTCTTGTAAATTTGTTTGAGTTCATTGTAGATTCTGGATATTAGCCCTTTGTCAGATGAGTAGGTTGCAAAAATTTTCTCCCATTTTGTAGGTTGCCTGTTCACTCTGATGGTAGTTTCTTTTGCTGTGCAGAAGCTCTTTAGTTTAATTAGATCCCATTTGTCAACTTTGGCTTTTGTTGCCATTGCTTTTGGTGTTTTAGACATGAAGTCCTTGCCCATGCCTATGTCCTGAATGGTAATGCCTAGGTTTTCTTCTAGGGTTTTTATGGTTTTAGGTCTAACGTTTAAGTCTTTAATCCATCTTGAATTCATTTTTGTATAAGGTGTAAGGAAGGGATCCAATTTCAGCTTTCTACATATGGCTAGCCAGTTTTCCCAGCACCATTTATTAAATAGGGAATCCTTTCCCCATTGCTTGTTTTTCTCAGGTTTGTCGAAGATCAGATAGTTGTAGATATGTGGCGTTACTTCTGAGGGCTCTGTTCTGTTCCATTGATCTATATCTCTGTTTTGGTAACAGTACCATGCTGTTTTGGTTACTGTAGCCTTGTGGTATAGTTTGAAGTCAGGTAGCATGATGCCTCCAGCTTTGTTCTTTTGGCTTAGGATTGATTTGGCAATGGAGGCTCTTTTTTGGTTCCATATGAACTTTAAAGTAGTTTTTTCCAATTCTGTGAAGAAAGTCATTGGTAGCTTGATGGGGATGGCATTGAATCTATGAATTACCTTGGGCAGTATGGCCATTTTCACGATATTGATTCTTCCTACCCATGAGCATGGAATGTTCTTTCATTTGTTTGTATCCTCTTTTATTTCACTGGGCAGTGGTTTGTAGTTCTCCTTGAAGAGGTCCTTCACATCCCTTGGAAGTTGGATTCCTAGGTATTTTATTCTCTTTGAAGCAATTGTGAATGGGAGTTCACTCATGATTTGGCTCTCTGTTTGTCTGTTATTGGTGTATAAGAATGCTTGTGATTTTTGTACATTGATTTTGTATCCTGAGACTGCTGAAGTTGCTTATCAGGTTAAGGAGATTTTGGGCTGAGACGATGGGGTTTTCTAGATATACACTCATGCCGTCTGCAAACAGGGACAATTTAACTTCCTCTTTTCCTAATTGAATACTCTTTATTTCCATCTCCTGCCTAATTGCCCTGGCCAGAACTTCCAACACTATGTTGAATAGGACTGGTGAGAGAGGGCATCCCTGTCTTGTGCCAGTTTTCAAAGGGAATGCTTCCAGTTTTTGCCCATTCAGTATGATATTGGCTGTGGGTTTGTCATAGATAGCTCTTACTATTTTGAGATACGTCCCATCAATACCTAATTTATTGAGAGTTTTTAGCATGAAGGGTTGTTGAATTTTGTCAAAGGCCTTTTCTGCATCTATTGAGATAATCATGTGGTTTTCGTCTTCGGTTCTGTTTATATGCTGGATTACATTTATTGATTTGCATATATTGAACCAGCCTTGCATCCCAGGGATGAAGCCCACTTGATCATGGTGGATAAGCTTTTTGATGTGCTGCTGGATTTGGTTTGCCAGTATTTTATTGAGGATTTTTGCATCAATGTTCATCAAGGATATTGGTCTAAAATTTTCTTTTTTGGTTGTCTCTCTGCCCGGCTTTGGTATCAGGATGATGCTGGCCTCATAAAATGAGTTAGGGAGGATTCCGTCTTTTTCTATTGATTGGAATAGTTTCAGAAAGAATGGTACCAGTTCCTCCTTGTACCTCTGGTAGAATTCGGCTGTGAATCTATCCGGTCCTGGACTCTTTTTGGTTGATAAGCTATTGATTATTGCCCCAATTTCAGAGCCTGTTATTGGTCTATTTAGAGATTCAACTTCTTCCTGGTTTAGTCTTGGGAGGGTGTATGTGTCGAGGAATTTATCCATTTCTTCTAGATTTTCTAGTTTATTTGTGTAGAGATGTTTGTAGTATTCTCTGATGGTAGTTTGTATGTCTGTGGGATTGGTGGTGATATCCCCTTTATCATTTTTTATTGCGTCTATTTGATTCTTCTCTCTTTTCTTCTTTATTAGTCTTGCTAGTGGTCTATCAATTTTGTTGATACTTTCAAAAAACCAGCTCCTGGATTCATTAATTTTTTGAAGGGTTTTTTGTGTCTCTATTTCCTTCAGTTCTGCTACGATTTTAGTTATTTCTCGTCTTCTGCTAGCTTTTGAATATGTTTGCTCTTGCTTTTCTAGTTCTTCTAATTGTGATGTTAGGGTGTCAATTTTGGATCTTTCCTGCTTTCTCTTGTGGGCATTTAGTGCTATAAATTTCCCTCTACACACTGCTTTGAATGTGTTCCAGAGATTCTGGTATGTTGTGTCTTTGTTCTCGTTGGTTTCAAAGAACTTCTTTATTTCTGTCTTCATTTCTTTATGTACCCAGTAGTCATTCAGAAGCAGGTTGTTCAGTTTCCATGTAGTTGAGCGGTTTTGAGTGAGTTTTTTAATCCTGAGTTCTAGTTTGATTGCACTGTGGTCTGTGAGACATTTTGTTATAATTTCTGTTCTTCACATTTGCTGAGGCGAGCTTTATTTCCAACTATGTGGTCAATTTTGTAATAGGTGTGGTGTGGTGCTGATAAAAATGTATATTCCGTTGATTTGGGGTGGAGAGTTCTGTAGATGTCTATTAGGTCCACTTGGTGCAGAGCTGGGTTCAATTCCTGGATATCCTTGTTAACTTTCTGTTTCGTTGATCTGTCTAATGTTGACAGTGGGATGTTAACTTCTCCCATTATTATTGTATGGGAGTCTAAGTCTCTTTGTACGTCACTCAGGACTTGCTTTGTGAATCTCGGTGCTCCTGTATTGGGTGCATATATATTTAGGATAGTTAGCTCTTCTTGTTGAATTGATCCCTTTACCATTATGTAATGGCCTTCTTTGTCTCTTTTGATCTTTGTTGGTTTAAAGTCTGTTTTATCAGAGACTAGGATTGCAACCCCTGCCTCTTTGTGTTTTCCATTTGCTTGGTAGATCTTCCTCCATCCTTTTATTTTGAGCCTATGTGTGTGTCTGCACTTGAGATGCGTTTCCTGAATACAGCACACTGATGAGTCCTGACTCTTTATCCAATTTGCCAGTCTGTGTCTTTTAATTGGAGCATTTAGTCCATTTACATTTAAAGTTAATATTGTTATGTGTGAATTTGATCCTGTCATTATGATGTTAGCTGGTTATTTTACTCGTTAGTTGATGCAGTTTCTTCCTAGTCTCCATGGTCTTTACAGTTTGGCATGATTTTGCAGTGGCTGTTACTGGTTCTTCCTTTCCATGTTTAGTGCTTCCTTCAGGAGCTCTTTTAGGGAAGGTCTGGTGGTGACAAAATCTCTCAGCATTTGCTTGTCTGTAAAGTATTTTATTTCTCCTTCACTTATGAAGCTTAGTTTGGCTGGATATGAAATTCTGTGTTGAAAATTCTTTTCTTTAAGAATGTTGAATATTGGCCCCCACTCTCTTCTGGCTTATAGAGTTTCTGCCGAGAGATCTGCTGTTAGTCTGATGGGCTTCCCTTTGTGGGTAACCAAACCTTTCTTTCTGGCTGCCCTTAACATTTTTTCTTTCATTTCAACTTTGGTGAATCTGACAATTATGTGTCTTGGAGTTGCTCTTCTCAAGGAGTATCTTTGTGGCATTCTCTGTATTTCCTGAATCTGAATGTTGGCCTGCCTTGCTAGATTGGGGAAGTTCTCTTGGATAATATCCTGCAGAGTGTTTTCCAACTTGGTTCCATTCTCCCCGTCACTTTCAGGTACACCAATCGGACGTAGATTTGGTCTTTTCACATAGTCCCATATTTCTTGGAGGCTTTGTTCATTTCTTTTTATTCTTTTTTCTCTAAACTTCCCTTCTCCCTTCATTTCATTCATTTCATCTTCTGTCACTGATACCTTTTCTTCCAGTTGATCACATCGGCTCCTGAGGCTTCTGCATTCATCACGTAGTTCTTGAGCCTTGACTTTCAGCTCCATCAGCTCCTTTAAGCACTTCTCTGTATTGGTTATTCTAGTTATACATTCATCTAAATTTTTTTCAAAGTTTTCAACTTCTTTGCCTTTAGTTTGAATTTCCTCCTGTAGCTCAGAGTAGTTTGATCATCTGAAGCCTTCTTCTCTGAACTCGTCAAAGTCATTATCCATCCAGCTTTGTTCAATTGCTGGTGAGGAACTGCATTCCTTTGGAGGAGGAGAGGCGCTTTGCTTTTTAGAGCTTCCAGTTTTTCTGCCCTGTTTTTTCCCCATCTTTGTGGTTTTATCTACTTTTGGTCTTTGATGATGGTGATGTACAGATGGGTTTTTGGTGTGGATGTCCTTTCTGTTTGTTAGTTGTCCTTCAAACAGACAGGACCCTCAGCTGCAGGTCTGTTGGAGTTTGCTAGAGGTACACTCCAGACCCTGTTTGCCTGGGTATCAGCAGTGGTGACTGCAGAACAGCGGATTTTCATGAATCGAGAATGCTGCTGTCTGATCGTTCCTCTGGAAGTTTTGTCTCAGAGGAGTACCCGGCCGTGTGAGGTGTCTGCCCCTACCGGGGGGTGCCCCCCAGTTAGGCTGCTCGGGGGTCAGGGGTCAGGGAACCACTTGAGGAGGCAGTCTGCACATTCTCAGATCTCCAGCTGTGGGCTGGGAGAACCACTGCTCTCTTTAAAGCTGTCAGACAGGGACATTTAAGTCTGCAGAGGTTACTGCTGTCTTTTTGTTTTTCTGTGCCCTGCCCCCAGAGGTGGAGCCTACAGAGGCAGGCAGGCCTCCTTGAGCTGTGGTGGGCCCCACCCAGTTTGAGCTTCCTGGCTGCTTTGTTTACCTAAGCAAGCCTGGGCAATGGCGGGCGCCCCTCCCCCAGCCTCGCTGCCACCTTGCAGTTTGATCTCAGACTGCTGTGCTAGCAATCAGTGAGACTCCGTGGGCGTAGGACCCTCCAAGCCAGGTGCGGGATATAATCTCCTGGTGCACCGTTTTTTAAGCCCATTGGAAAAGCGCAGTATTAGGGTGTGAGTGACCCGATTTTCCAGGTGCCGTCTGTCACCCCTTTCTTTGGCTAGGAAAGGGAACTCCCTGGCCCCTTGCACTTCCCGAGTGAGGCAATGCCTCGCCCTGCTTCGGCTCGTGGGCGGTGCACTGCACCCACTGTCCTGCACCCACTGTCTGGCACTCCCTAGTGAGATGAACCTGGTACCTCAGATGGAAATGCAGAAATCACCCATCTTCTGTGTCGCTCATGCTGGGAGCTGTAGACTGGAGCTCTTCCTATTCGGCCATCTTGGCTCTAAGCCACAACGTTGGCTTTTCTTCTCCAGTTTGCAAGTTACATAGCACGCTTCTTCCTGCTTGTGGAGCCAAATTTTAAGCCTCACAGACATGGGAGTGTATTATGTGAGTGTGTTGCAGGGTGGAGTGGTTGTGCACTGTGTTAACTCCTTTCAGGCAAGAGTTAGATATAAAATAAATCAAGGGACATTTGGAGCAAGGGGAGATGGCAGATATTATCTTCTTCAACCTCTTTTCCACTATTATTTGATAGACACGTAACTTTTTTGGTATTTATGTCTTTCTTATCTTTGCCTTTAGTTTTCTACTATTTCCCCTCCCTGCTTTACCAAGTAGGGTGGGTCGAAAGGAATTGTTGGGCCCAGCAGTAGAACAGGATTTGGGCCCCATTATATTGCATATCAATCCTAGTTCAATCTTTCTGCCCCAGGGCCTATATTCCCTCTCAACGACCCAATTCTAACTGATTTTCACTGCTCAAATTCTATTCCTTCTTCAGTGTGCATCTCAAATGCTTATATTTTCCTTAGATCCTTCAGACAGAAGGTATAGCTTTCTCTCCTTTTCTTTTTTATAGCACTTCATTGTTGTAGGTTCTTGTGGCTATTTGTGGGCGGGTCTCTTCTCTCCTGCTTTTTAACATTCTTCAGGTCTGGGACTTTTCTTTACTTCTTTGCTTCTCCATCTGCACTTAGCACAACTCTTGGCACAGAGAGACTTTAGTAAATGCTTGCTGGTGGTTGCTACTACACTTCAACTACTCTAATTTCCTTTAATGAATCCTATGATAGGGTCATCTTCCATGGGTTTTTCTCACTTATTTGTGTAGCCATTTATAGTTTCAGCTTGTTTCACATCTTGGGGGTAATGGGTTCCATAATCATGAAATCTATCATGACAAATGACTCATTTATTTATTCCTTCTCAGTTTGCCTCTTTCTAGGTTCAGGCAGTTGTCTCCTAATGAAAGTGTGTGTCCCCTAGATGGACTTATGATTCATTAGATTTCTAGCATGTCCCCTTTCAGTCTATCTTGAGTGTTCACAACTTATCCAGTTCCCCCACCCGCTTCTTCCATTACTTTATTACTCTTCTCTATTTCTCCAGCTCCATGTTATGCTTCCTCCTGTGGGTGGAGCCTCCTACCAGGAATGGTGTAGAAATGGAGTGGGAGGAAATGAAGATACAGAAGAGAAGGAAGTAGAGATTCATGTCCTTAAGCAGCTTGCAGTTTAGTAGAGAAGCTTACTACATTTGAGGTGTAGATACCGCTTGTATTACCTGGATATAAAGTGGTGGAAATGGCATAAAAGTGGAACCCTAAGCATTTTGTGGTATAAGCCATAGGTATCCATTAGCGTGTGAAAGCAAGTCTATCTATCTGTATAATTTACAATCTGACCACATGGGTGATTGGACCATTATAGATACCAGTAGATAATGACAGCAACTATAATAGCTATCATTCACAAAGCATCAATTCTGTATCAGGTAGGTACCATGCAATTTTCTCACTTTGCTTTATCTTTTGCAACACTGCAAAGTTGGTATTTTCCATTCCATTTTACAATTAAGGATACTGAGCCTTAGAAAAGTTAATTAACCAGCTGGGCACAGTGGCTCATGCCTGTAATCCCAGCACTGTGGGAGGCAGAGGCAGGCAGATCACAAGGTCAGGAGTTCGAGACCAGCCTGGCCAATATGGTGAAACCCTGTCTCTACTAAAAATACAAAAATTAGCCAGGCATGGTGGTGCGTGCCTGTAGTCCCAGCTACTCGGGAGGCTGAGGCAGGAGACTCGCTTGAACCTGGGAAACTGGCTCTCAGTGAGCCGAGATCACGCCACTCAATGATCTTACTTGGACAAGTAAGATCATACTTGCCCAGCACTCCAGCCTGGGCAACAGAGCGAGACTCTGAAAAAACAAACAAACAAAAAAAGGTAATTAACCAGGATAAGTTCTTGGGACAGATTGTAGTTTAAACTCAAAGTCCATGATCTTTCTACTACAAAATAAAGCATTTTTCCTTAGGGACTTAAACAGTAAATCTGTAATTTTAGGACTTTCTCAGGACAAATAAATTTTTGAAAGAACTGCTTTTCCTGGAAATCTGTCCTATGTGGATAGGATATCCAGTGAGTTGTTAAGATGGACAAGAAAATTCACGTAGACTGGCTTATGGTAACTATCTTGCTTGAGGATTGCCTAACCTGCATAGTCTCTAAAAATAAGTTAGAACCTTTGATTAAAATACATTTACTCTTTTAGGCCACTAGAGTACCATTTACATAATATGAGAAACCAATGATTGATATTATTATCAAATCAATATTTGGATCAAAATATATTGAGTAATGTAAACTGGAGGACACAATGAGGTTTAGTAGGGCTGATATCCAACTGGGACACACTAGAATGGCTGAGCTCCACTCTCACTGGTTGGTGCCTGATGTATTAGCTGTTAAATATTTTGATCATTACTCCAAGATATTAGGGATAATTCCCATCCTCAAGGAAATAACAGACCAATTGAAAAAATGGAACATCAATAAGCAAAACTTTAAATAATAACAGAATTAATGAAAAGGCAAACAACACTCTATCCACCTTAACTTGCTTTATTTTTCTTCTTAGTGTGCATCTGCCACTAAACATACTTTAAATTTGTTCATTTTCTTATTGTTTAATGCTATATCTCGAATACTGACAACACTGCTTGATCCTGTTGAATAAATGAATACATACGGTAGGCATTTAAATCAGTAAGTTTGTGCTGGAGTGGTTAGGGATAATGTCACGGGGAAGAAAAAAAGAGCAGAATCTGGAAGGAATAGATAGTTTTGGAAAAAAAGAGGTTCAGGAAGGGGGAAACTGTTCTATGAACAACAGCATGGAATTTAGATAATACCCTTCAAGCAAAGGATTTGTGAGTAAACTACTCTGGTTTGAACAAAGGGAGACCTTGAAGTGGCCAGTTTATACCAAAAGGTGTAATGCGCAGTCTGTGAGAACTCTTTGGGGCATTTAAGTTGACTACTGACTGTCTAAAAGCACTGAGGAGGTGAAATCTGTAATGACTGAGACTTTTAATTGTCAACAACAAAACATCCATCTTTATTCCTTTGCATGAGTAATATGGGTTGAAACTTCATTTATGAGAAACAATAAATGGAGGTTACAAATATTTCTTAGCTGATGCTCCAAAAAGGAATGCCACTAATGAGAAATGTGCAAATGAGTACTGCTGGCTGAGATTTTAAGGTTGATGCATGAAATTCTAATTTTTTAGATTGTGGTTTTATTTTCTTTTGGTGTTCCCCTTGCTGTATTGCAACTTTCTCATTTAAAACAATAATTTAAAACCAATTTAAAGACAAACACATGCACATATAATTGTGCACTTGTGTGGTGCATGAAGACACACACACACACACACACACACACTCTCTCTCTCTCTCTCCCTCTGTCTCTCTCACACTCCCAGGCACACAGCTTCTTTCAGCTCAGCTTCTATTTCCTCTCATCTGGCAGCTTTCAGAATAATCTCACCCACCTGTTAAATCAGAGCATGTCAAGTTTAATTTATAACAATGAGTAAAAACAGGATGCTACAGAAAGCATTTTAATTAAAATCCTTTAATTGGATACATGCTTCTTGTGAAAAGGGAGCTGTGGAGAGGGCCTCTTTGTCGGCACCTTTCACTCCAGTTGCCAGAGATTGTTGCAGGAATGGCCTTGCAATTGGAACCAGGTCTCCAGGGTGGAGGAGGTGGGGAAAGAGGTAGAGGCTGAGAGAGGGAAATTGGGAGCAATAGGGAAGGACAAAGCGGGTGAATGTCCATGGATTTTGTGTAGAAACACAGCCTGGGTGTTTTCGGGAGGCAGTTCTACCAACAGCTATTGATATCATTTCACGTTGGTTTCTTCTTAATCCTTTCATCATTCTTAGGATGGCATAGTCTCTAGGGGGAATCCACAAATACCCCTGACTTCAGATACTAGTTTAGGAAACCTTGGCAGTGTAGGCCAATTGGTGAGTGTGGGCAGTGGGCAGATGACAGCATGGGGTTTGGAAAGCCTAGCTCTTACACCTGTAGTTCCTTAAATGACAGCACTTAGCACTGTCCAGCCTACACTGCAGAAATAAAGTGTTGGACTCAATTAGAGCCCAGTTTAAGGAGGGGACTGTGTGCTAAAGCCAGGGGCTTCGTCTGGAAACTATCCCAAGTGCTCATATGGGGTGACAGCAATAGAGTGTGCCAAGAGAGCAGAAAGGCATGGAAGTGTTTTACTGGATGCACTCAAAGTAGCAGGGAGAAGTGGGAAGTGGAAGTAGTTTCAGTGTCAGGTATGTTGTCAAAGAAACAAGATCCTAAACTGAGTTGATGAGAGAGGGGAGGATGAATGGATTTTTACCTCCTTGGTTTGGCTTCAACTTGCAGTGCCAGAGGATGACGCAAGAGAGTCTAAAGGATATTGGTTCTTCCCTCTGAGTGAACAAATCAGCACTATGTCCTTTCGGGTGTAGAAAAGAGACACACCTTGAAGGATTTTTTAAGTGCTGTTCATCCATTGCTACTGCTTGGCTCCCAGAGGCTCTGTTTGCCAAGAAAACAATAGTAGCCAGTTTTATTTGTTTACACTTATTGGTTCCCTCTAGCGGTATGCTGGTAAATGTTGAACAACTACCCTTGGGGAAGTGAGGAGAGGGTAGAGAAGTTCAATTTGTAGCATTTTCCAACTTCCATGGTGTGAAAATTTCCATCAAAGTCCAGTTGAAGATATTAATGGATTAACAATCAGCTGGCCAAAACTCTGAAATTAAAAAATGACTGTTGGCTGTAATCCTAGCACTTTGGGAGGCTGAGGCGGGCAGATCATAAGGTCAGGAGTTCGAGACCAGCCTGGCCAATATGGTGAAACCCTGCCTCTACTAAAAATACAAAAATTAGCAGGGTGTGGTGGAAGGTGCTGGTAGTCCCAGCTACTCGGGAGGCTGAGGCAGGAGAATTGGTTGAACCCAGGAGGCAGAGGTTGCAGTGAGCCGAGATCGCACCACTGCACTCTAGCCTGGTGACAGAGCGAAACGCCATCTCAAAATAAATAAATAAATAAATAAATAAATAAATAAATAAATTGTTGTTAGAAGCCAGTATGAGCTGGTTCTAGCATACCACTGGCTCCTTTATGCCCTAGTTAAGCTTTCCTGTAGGAGGTATCTACTTTCCTGCCCCACTGACTTTGGGATTGGCTATATAACTTGCTTTGGGCCTTGAAATATGAGCAGATGACATAAACCACCTTCAAAGGTTTAAATGTGCTTGCTTGTGTGGTTTGGCTCTGCTCTCCCCACCCACTTTGAGCTTCTGTCCTCTATTTTGGAAACAGCTTGCTCCAGTTAGTGGCTCATCCTTCAACCTGAGTCTCAGAATGAGAAGGCACAGGGAGCTGCCTAAACTGAGGTATTCTCAGCATAGCCTGACAAACCCACAGCAAAGCTGCAACCCTCATGTAATGTGAGCAAACAAAAGTTTGTTGTTATAAGACACTGAGGTTTTGAGATCTGAATAGTACAGAAATTTTCACCTAATCAATAAACACTAAACAACTGTTGGCACATAGCCAATGCTGTGGGGTTGTATCTAGGTGATGCAAAAGAACTAGAGATTCCAAGTTCTAGAAGAAACTTAAAAACCCAATTATTTCAACAATCTGTGCTACTTAAACCTCTTCTATAACACCTGTGCCAAATGTTTGTCTACTTTAGTTATTCTCTTTAAACTTGAAAACCTCTGTAGCTGTGGACATCTTAGTACCTCTTGAGAGTGTCCATGCTATCTTTGGCAGATCTGAATGTTGGAAAATTCTCTGTATGAAACAGAAGCCATTCCTTGTAGCAGACACATAGTAGCCCTAGTTTCATTTTGCCAGGCGACACAGAAATTTTATTTATTCTTCTACAGGCAAACACTTCAGATTTTTGAAGATAACCTATATTTTCTACATTAAATTGTCTCTCCATGTGAAACTCCTTAAAATTCTGAGGAGGAAAATGTAAACCTAGAATTTTTTTACCCAGTAAAAGTGTTATTATTCAAGAGTAAGAATGAAATAAAGATTTGTTTTTGGATAAACAAACCCTCCACTTGACATGATTTTGAGGCTTGTTACCATTCTGGCCCATCCTGTCCCATATCTCTACTTTGTTTATATTGACGTGCATCAACCTATTGAAAGTGCAGCAGAATACTGGACTAAGATATAGGCCCAAGAAACTAGAAGCCAAAATTTGAATACTGTTAAGACAACAGGAGACATAGGTGTAGACATATAAATGGGAGGAGCTAGAATGCAAATCCCTGCGTAAGGCTAGTACCTGGAAGAGTAGAGATGAAGACAATGCCCAGAATGTAGCCTCGGTACATAACAGGATAGAAAATATGAATGAGAAATTAAGAATCATGGAGGTTAGAATTAAAGGGATAATATATATCTAATAGGAGCTACAAACAGAAAAAATGGAGAGACTAAGAAAAAGGTAATATTTAAAGATTATATCATAGCTGAGATATAAAAATTTCAGTTGTGAACTCCTGTTTGAAGAAGCACAATGAGACTTGAACAAGACCAAGAAAAATATATTCATACCTTTTAGTATAACATATTCATAACTTTTAGTATAACAAAGAATAAAACAAAAATTAAATGTAGCCGGAGGCCAAAGAAGAAATATTGTCAACCTAGAATTCTAGTCTTATTCAAGAGTGAGTATTGACCATTCACAGGTCTCGCTAAAAGAATTTCTGAAGACATTTCTTCAGAAAAAAAGGGACCCAGATGGAAGGCAAAGGTGTACAAAGAACAGAATGCAAAAACGTTGGTATGTATGTAGTCTTTTTTTTTTTTTTTAGTAGATAAGATAGCAACGGAAGTGTGCTGGGCCCATAAAAAAAAGTGGATAGATGTAAGCAAGCACGAATTGTAAAAAAAAAAATACAAAATATGGGAGGAAGATATCATAGTTAAGGTACTTTAGAGTCCTGCATCTTTCTGGGGGACAGAGATAGTGATTTTCAATTTTGTTATGTCAAATATACAAGTTAAAAGTGCAAGGTAACTACTAAAGGAATAGTGATAGAAGGTGTAATTCCGACAAGCAGAGTGATCAAAAAGTATGCAAACACTGAAAAGAAGAATACATATCAA
The DNA here is from genome assembly GCF_000001405.40 of Homo sapiens. Taxonomy (NCBI): domain Eukaryota; kingdom Metazoa; phylum Chordata; class Mammalia; order Primates; family Hominidae; genus Homo; species Homo sapiens. The sequence goes on along the minus strand of NC_000001.11, from coordinate 118,824,229 downwards.
CTTCAAGTTATTGGTTATTTCCTATAAGGAATAAAAATGCATGGGATATAGTAAGATTGGTAGGAGAGGGGGACTTGTCAGCCATATTTGCAACATTGTATTTATTTAAAGACTCTAAGGCAAATAAAACAAAATGTTAAAGTATTAAATCTAAAGGGTGGGTACATTGGTGTCTCTTACATTAACTTTTGTATTTTTTATATACTTCAACTTTTCACCCTTAAAAATTCAAATAATTAAGAGTAAATCCAAATTTCTACAAACCTATGAAAGGATGCCAAAATTTACTAGTAGTCAGAGAAACTGACTACTGTAATGTAATATGATATATTACATATATATCATAATACATAATATCAAATAATGATGAGATATTACATTTAGACCACTGGATAGGCACAATTTTAAAAGAACTATAATAAGAATTGCTGAACAAGATGTATGAAAAAAGACAGTCTTTTGTAGTAGAAGCATTATGGCTTTTTTTCAGAAGTTAAAATAAAAATACATAAACTCTTTTACCTAAAAATTTCAGTTCCAGGAATCTATCCTATCAGGATAGATTGTATTTATTGCAGTGATGTTAGTATGAGCAAAATACGGAAACAAAACAAATGGCCACCCTTATAGGTGTGATTAAATGAGTCATGTATTCACAAATGGGTAAATTGTGTAATAAAAAGGAAAAAATTAAAGATACGCCAGTTTACTTGGAGGCTTTTTTTTAAAATAAAGAATTGTGTGATAAAAAACAAGATGTAGGAAAAAAATGTAGATGGTATTATTCCATTTTTGTTAAAACAATGTTCAAAAGATTTTCTTATATGTGTGTATGCGTATATATGCCTCATAAAATTATATGATGCTAGTAAAAAAGCAAATGAATACAAATTGGTTATAAACGTGGGCCTCTTTGGTGGGTGTGAAGATATTTTGGACAGAAATGGGGAAAGAAGAGTGACAAGAAGCCAACCAAAAAAAAGTGTTTGGGGGGAGACTTACAAATATTCAGTGTGTCGTATGTTTATAGCGGCACTATTCACAATAGCAAAGACTTGGAACCAACCTAAATGTCTAACAGCGATAGACTGGATTAAGAAAATGTGGCACATATACACCATGGAATACTATGCAGCCATAAAAAATGACGAGTTCATGTCCTTTGTAGGGACATGGATGAAGCTGGAAACCATCATTCTCGGCAAACTATCGCAAGGACAAAAAACCAAACACCGCATGTTCTCACTCATAGGTGGGAATTGAACAATGAGAACACATGGACACAGGAAGGGGAGCATCACACACCGGGGACTGTTGTGGGTGGGGGGAGGGGGGAGGGATAGCATTAGGAGATATACCTAATGCTAAATGAGGAGTTAATCAAAATAATAAATGATAACCCTGTTATTGAAAAAAAAAGAAAATGGTATTTCCTATGCATGCCGTAGGATTTGGCAATCAAATAAATAAATATGCATGCGGTAAAAAAAAAAAGAAGAAATACATTTCCATATATTTCTTAGTTTGAACATTACAGTTTTAGAAAATTAAACACAATTTAAAAGTTCAATTTTAAGGTACATTTTTATTGAAGAGAAGTATGACAGAGGATCAGTTAAAAACTTTTAGAAATAAAAATGATTACATTAGGGCAAAATCCTATGGGGAGATAACTGGAAATGAGTTTAAGCAAAAAAGTGTATATAAATTTTCTAACTCTTGAATTTTTTTTTAATAAAATGGTTGCTGGTGTATATCAGAAAAAAAATTAAATAAATAAATAAAATACAAATGACAAAAAAAATTCAGTGTGTTAGTTAACAATCACATTCATGTGCTTATGTAAAAATATATGAACATGTAAACATAACTAAAATTCAAAGCACAGAATTCAATGATAGAAAGATTAGAACAGTTTGGCATACATTTCTCAGCTTCAGTAATCACTATGATTTGCACCCTCCCCCTGCCGCTTGTTTTTATAGCGTTTTACTCTGCCACTGTCATGCGAGGTCACTCTACAGTTCTCTTCCCTACCTCTGAAAACCGTTGCCCTTTTATCTGGAATATTTTCCTTACCAACATTAATCTATGTATATTGGAGTGAATTGAATGAAATTCACAAAATTTGCAAAATAGTTAAGAAACTGAGTTAAGGGAGACAATTGAGGCAGAAGTAAAAAATGAAGCCTCTGTGTCTGAGAAGGAATAGGGCATGTTGCCCAGAAGTGACTTTTTACCACTGGAGGAAGTATGTTGGCAGCTATTGGGAAGTACTATTGGATGAATTTGGTAAGACTGGTTGTAAGGAATCCAGAAAGGCTAGCAGGGAAGGCTGGGCTTGAGACAGTATTTACCAGAGAGCTCCTGTATGTTTTCAAGCAGTGCAATTACAGCGTTTAAGGAAGATTTGTTTTCAGTGGTATTCAAGATAGGAAAGAGTGTTGGGTAATTCAGATACTGACTGATGAAAAACTGATATAGAGGAAGGAGAGGAAATATAATGCAAGTGGCAGTAAAGGGATATCTGGAAAGACCTATGATTGTCTGGATATTATGGAGGGAGGTCAGTAATGAGTCCAACATGACTTCATTTGAATTTAATAATTAGGAAGAAATTTGGTATCACTGGGAAATGGTTTAGAATGATTAATTATGAATAATTCAGTTATCATTGCAGTGTGGTTTTGATATTAGTTATTCGATTCATCCTCACATCACTGTCTTTGATTTCTTTAACCAGAAGTGGAGAGTGTGGAATGTCCAATAGATCCTCCAGTTTCAGGTGCTGGTTTTGCATAATCTAGTGATCTGCTTTCATGCTTCGTTCTCGTTTATGCTGATCGCTGCCCTATGCAAACCTAATTTTTCTATACAGCTGATTTACTAATTGAGACCATTTAAAAATCCTCATTTTCTTCCAGATTGTACAAATATCAGTTTTAAAATAGTCTCTATCAAAACATCATGGATTCCATGAATTACATTCGCACATTTCCAGTTATGTATTTTCCAACTAGCTGTTGTACAAACTTACACATATTCAGAAATGCTGAAAGGTTTCTCTTTCAATGAAGAGCTGTTTTGTTAATTCAAATGTTATTTTCTAAAGAAGTGGGAGGATTTTATACATATTTGCACAGCCAAATGTTATGAAGAACATTCTGTGCTCATAGTTAGAAACTTTTTCCCTTGTGATTCAATCCTTTCACATGTCCTCCTGGCTATAGCATCAGAAAGAAAAGGTTATCCAGTTAGTGTTTTGTTGAAACTCTCTGTCAATGATTTAGTTTCTACCTAAATGTGGTTTATGTCCATCCTGTGGGAGTCTATACAATTTATATAAGAATCTGAGCAATGCTAATGGCCAACCTATCAGTGTAGACCAGAAATCCCTCTGGAGTCAGAATTAACCCTAGTTGCTCTTGCTGCTAGCATCTCTCTTTTTACCAGGAAGACATGGCTTTCAATTGAAAAAAAATTGAGGCAAATTCTCTGTATAAATTTCTTTTTAAAAAATATTTTTTACTAATTTTTATTGGTTGCTCTAAGAAGTACAGTATGCCTCTTTTAAAATACCAACTTTCAAATTACAACTGCAGATTTGTCACATGGAAATATCGCATGATGCTGAAGTTTGGAGTGCAGATCCCATCACCCAGGTGGTGCGCATAGTACCTCGTAGGTAGTTTTTTTTTAATCTCCCACGCAGTAGTCCACGGTGTCTATTGTTCTCATATTTCTGTTCATGTGTGCTCAATGTTTAGCTCTGACTTATAACTGAGAACATGTGATGCTTGGCTTTTGTTCCTGTGTTGTTTAGGATTATGGCCTCCAGCTCCATCCATGTTGCTGCAAAGGACGTGATTTCATTGTTTTATGGCTGCATAGTATTCCATGGTGTACATGTACCATATTTTCTTTATTCAATCTACCATTGATAGGCACCTGGGTTGAATACATGTCTTTGCTATTGCGAATAGTGCAGCAGTGAACATATGAGTGCATGTGTCTTTTTGGTAGAATGATTTATTTTCTTTTGGGTATATACCTAGTAATGGGATTGTTGGGTTGAATGGTAGCTCTGTTTCAAGTTCTTTGAGAAATCTTCTTCAGATTGCTTTCCACGGTGGCTGGACTAAGTTACATTCCCATCAACAATGTATAAGTACTTCCTTTTTTCTGCAGGTTTGCCAAAGTCTGTTATTTTTTGACTTCTTAATAATGCCATTTTGACTGGTGGGAGATGGTATCTTATTGTGATTTTGATTTGCATTTCCCTCATGATTAATGATGCTGAGCATTTTTTTCATATGTTTGTTGGCCACATGTACGCTTTCTTTTGAGAAGTGTCTGTTCATGTCTTTTGCCTTTTTTTTTTGTTGTTGTTGTTTTTGAGATGGAGTCTCACTCTGTCGCCCAGGCTGGAGTGCAGTGGCGCGATCTTGGCTCACTGCAAGCTCTGCCTCTCAGGTTCACATCATTCTCCTGCCTCAGCCTCCCGAGTAGCTGGGACTACAGGCCCCCACCACCATGTCCGGCTGATTTTTTTTGTATTTTTTTGTATTTTTTAGTAGAGACAGGGTTTCACTGTGTTAGCCAGGATGGTCTCCATCTCCTGACCTCGTGATCCATCCGCCTCAGCCTCCCAAAGTGCTGGGATTACAGGTGTGAGCCATTGCACCTGGACTCTTTTGCCCATATTTTCATTGGGTTATTTGTTTTTTGCTCATTGATTTGTTTAAGTTGTCTATACATTCTGGGTATTAGGCCTTTGTTGGATGCATAATTTGCAAATATCTTCTCCTGTTCTGTCTGTTTGCTCTGTTCATAGTTTCTTTTGCTGTGCAGAAGCTCTTTAGTTTAATTAGGCCCCACTTGTCTATTTTTGTTTTTGTTGCAATTGCTTTTGGGGACTTAGGCAAAAATTCTTCACCAAGGCTGATGTTGAGAAGAGTATTTCCTAGGTTGCCTTCCAGTATTTTTATAGTTTGAGATCTTACATTTAAATATTTAATTTAGTTTGAGTTAGTTTTTATATATGGTAAGAGGTAGGAGTCTGGTTTCAATCTTCTGGATATGCCGAGCTATTAATAGTTTTCCGAGCACCATTTATTGATAAGGAGTCCTTTCCCCATTGCTTGTTTTTGTCAGCCTTATGGATGATCAGATGGTTGTAGGTATGTGGCTTTACTTCTGATTTTTCTATTCTGTTCCATTGGTCTATTTGTCTGTTTTTGTACCAGTACCAAGCTGTTTTGGTTATTGTGGCTCTATAGTATAGTTTGAATTCAGGTAGTGTGGTGCTTAGGACTTCTTTGGCTATTCAGGCTCCCTTTTGGTCCCATATGAATTTTAGAATTTTTTTTCTAATTCTGTAAAGAATGATGTTGGTAGTTTGATAGGAATAGCATTGAATCTGTAATTTTTTGCACAAATTTCTAAATCTCAGATAATCTTTGCAGAAGTAGGTGCCTCATCCTCTAGAAATTTCACAATTTCCAGAGAGGTCTTTCCTTATCTTCCTTTATGGGAAAAGAGTAATTCTTTCTATTGACAGATGTCTGTGTGATCTAATAAACACTTGAAGCTGGAACCATAAGGAAAAGATTTGTTTTTAAAAAGGCAAAGTTTTTAAAAAGGCAGAGTTTAATCTTGAGGTAAACTTAAAAAAATAAGATGTTGATATATACTCCAACCTCAAACAATCATAAAGCAGTTATCTTTATACCTTTCTGGGTGTTGAGTTGTGTTATTCCCTTAAAATGTGAGAATGGATGTCCACACAATCAAAATATATAACTTGGGACCAGAGGGCATTTTTGGCCAAATCACCTGTTGTAGGAAGAATACTCATACTTAGTATAAACATTTACACCTCGATGTTCATGCAGAGATAATTTGATTTAAGTGAAGTGATCCACATAAGGTTATAAACAAGGTGAGGTCCAGAGCAGATCCTTTTTTACTATGTTTTTTATTATGTATGCTCTCCTTTAGACCCACGACTCCTGTAGTATTGTTTTGAGAGGCCTCCAGGTAACCTAAAAGTTGGTCTTAGGTAGCATTTATGCGTTTTTATAATATAACTTTTGATGCTACTATTCTGAATCTCCAAATAGAGATTTATTTCTAATGATTAATAAAAACCTAAGCATTTTATCTGAGTTACACTAGAGAGAAGACTCTACATTTTCTTGTAATTTTTTTTTTCAGCAGTACAGTGTAGCCAGCAGGTCTTATCTGGCTAATGATCAGAATTATTGAGGCAGACCAAAGTGCCCTTTTATGGCATCTAAACTTAAAAATTAATTTTGCTTTTCATAGGCTTACTGAATAATGTCTCATTGTAATTCCTAAGATATGTAAGTATTCCTAGATATTTAAAAAACCATATTGGGTGCATCAAACAATGGGAAGCATTATGGAGAAGCTATCTCACGTATTCTTATTTATTTCGTGATATCCAACATGGACATCTTACAAACGTAAGACAATTTTGCTTCCAAGCATTCTCCCTTTGAAGATTATTTATCAATTGTCCCTTTGGGTGAGACACTGCTGTCTCATCCCCATTACCTTGTCAAGTCCTAAAGGATGTTAGCAGACCTCAGAGAAGGTGAATTTCCCCTTTCTTCTAGAATAGATATGTCTAGGCAACATCAAAGCAAGCTGACTAAAAAAAGCTTTAATCAACTGAACATGTCTTTTTGGTATCTAATGCTTTGTTGAATCTGTTTCTGTCTTTTTCCCTCTCCATTTCATTTAGCTGACAGGTGTGGCCATTTAGAAGAATGTTTAAGCTTCAAATTCAACGAAACCCATGTTTTTAAATTAGGAACTATGTATATTTCTACCCTGAAAGATCTCAAAGCACTTTAAAATTTTCTCTGTGCTCAAGCACAAACTCACTATTGGGATCATTTTACCTTCCACTACGTGTCTATATTAGAGGTGGAATGCGGCAGCTGTTTAACCCTGAGAGGCTTCCCAGAACTTGAAGACAGGGAATGAAGAATTATGTATTCTATTCCTTCTATGGTTTCAAGAGGCAGAACTAGAATCTAGTGTGACCAGATTAGAATCTGCCAAGCCTTCTCAATTACTCAATCAGTAGGAGTTGAATAAATGCAGATGGTTAAGGTCTTATATTCAGGGCCTTGTTTCATACATTGGTAAGGGATGGTAGCTTCTTACATTGATTCTCACTGAGGAAGTATGTGGGTTGAGAAACAATTTAGAGGCAAATTCCATTTTGTCAGGATGCAGAAAAAGGCTAATTGGTGAAAGGTGGCAGAAAGAGTGCAGGGTTGTGAATACAAAGACTTGGGAGTCCTTCATCATGTATGAAGATAAAGTGATGTAGATGAACTCCAGGTAATTGAGTATCTTCCATATATATGGAAAAACCCTAATTAAATGAGAACTGGGCCCTAGAACCTTTCTTCAAACAAACTTTATGGTCTTTTCCCTCCTTATTTGAAAAGTAATACATTATTCTAGTTAAAATTTTTGAAAATATTAAAAACATATGACTCTTTATCCCATTATCTATAGTTAATTGTTATTATTTTTTTGTGTGAATTTCCTTGTAAGGTTTTATCTGCATATAAAAAATATAAGGAAAGGAGGAAGTCCTCAGTATTCATGACCTACCCAGGCACAAAGAAACAGAATGTGACTGGGGTTATGAGGCTCATCATCATCATCCAAATATAATATTTTCTTCAGAAGAAGAGAGGTTTAGGAGCTAGAACATATTATTGATGATAATAATTTACAGTAAATTATCTGGAGAATGTTCTCAGTTCTTCAATTTCCTGAAATAGATCTGCCTTATGATTGTGTAAATATTTGTAGAACACGGCTTGGTTGAGACAAAAACAAGACAGGAATATTCTGAAACTCTGAAACTTTGGGGAAATTATAATTTTATTTAGTGTAAATAAACATTCATATATTTATAAAACCTTCTGACACATCACTCTCTTATCCTCGTTTCCTTTTTGGCTTTTTGTGCTTTTGGAAGGGAGGGTAGTGAACTTTTACATAATTATGAAACCTCTGACGCATCACTCTTTTACCCTCATTTCCTTTTTGACTTTGTACTTTTGGAAAGGAAAGTGGTGAGGAATCAAAGGTTTTGTGAAATAGCACCAGTTTAGAAGGGGGTCCAAGTTAAAGCTAAGTGTTTTTTGTCACTTTATTCAGCCTTTATCTGCCCTGTTGGTTCTGTTCATCTGTGGAATACATGGTGGATGGCCTATGGACATTTCCACCATTTTACTTACAGTGGATTTAGCTATAATGATCCTAATGAATCAGGAAGACAACAGATATAATGTACTGATGACAGCTCATGGTAATTATAAAACCTCAGAGATGCCCCTACGGATCTCATTTTATCAGATGCTTTCTATGCTAAACTAAATCAAGACGTTCCCTCATCATTTCAGGTGCTAGTTAATGTGCTAAATGGTGTGGAATTTTATGACCATAAAAGGTCAAGTTTCAAGAGTTTTATTTTTAATGAAAATTTCCTGGCATCTAAAATGTGAGGTCCAATCATACTGAATTCATTGGCAACCAGACCTGCTTAAAAGTGAAACCCCACTTCCCCAGGGCTTTCAAGTCAGAGAGGAGAAAGTCCCCTCAGGTTGCTCCTACTCTTGCCAGGTTTCAGTTATAACAGAGAATCTTTTCACAAAAGGTAGTCAATTTATATTTCAAGCATTTGAAAGCATATTTCATTGGCTCATCTGGACACTGGAAAATCTTATGTCTCTTCCTGAGTGATTTGGCGCATTACTTTGGCACACAGCAAGAACTCGCACACCTGGCAAATCATCTCAACTTTTTTGATGCTCAGAAGGAGGCTTCAAAACTAGAAGCATTTTGGATGGTGAGCTATGCTCATTGTGCCCAAATCCAAAGAATGTGAAAACAACTATTTATATTCAGAGATGGGAAGTGGGAACAGAGAACAAGGGCAGGGGGCGGGAAAGAAGACACAGTTTCAAATGAGAAAAGAAAAAGAAATATGGATGTATTATTTGATCAAAACTTATTTATTTATTAAATATATATTTTTATATATATATATATTTGAGACAGGGTCTCACTCTGTTGCCCAGGCTAGATTGCAGTGGGCGATCATGGCTCACTGTAGCCTCGACCTCCCCAGGCTCAGGTGATCTTCCCACCTTAGCCTCCCGAGTAGCTGCGATTATAGGCATGTGTCACCTCATCCTGCTAATTTTTGTATTTTTAGTAAAAACAGGTTTCACCCTGTTGGCCAGGCTGACTTCGAACTCCTGACCTACTGACAAGCAACCTGTCTGTCTCAGCCTCCTAAAGTTCTGGGATTATAGGTATGAGACACTATACCCATCCTGATCAAAATTTAATAAAGCCATGAACATATTCCAATGAGTGTATTATTGATTTTATTAATGTTCTGTCTCAGATACTCAGTCATCCTCTTTGTGACTAACTTGAAATTAGGTTTCTCATAAAGCCAGAGAGTAATGCAATTCTAATCTAACATCGAACAAAAGGTTCTTTCGGCAGGCTTACAATTTTGTAAACACAGGCAAAGGAACCAGTGTTTCCTCTAGTGGGATCACAATTCTGTAAACACAAGCAAGATCTGTGTCTTGATCTGTAACTGTGTTACAGTTGCATCTGTTACTTGTGACTCAGTTGTTTTACAAGAGCCAGAGGACTTGAAGTGTAGGGAGCTGGAGACCTCTCTTAGACACACAGGCTCAATGTACTAAAACAGTATCCAAGGACATCATTCAAGTTCCATGGTAATGATTCTTTATGACATATGAAAAGCATGCAGTATAGTGCCTGGCACATAGTAGAGACTCAGTAATATTTGTTTCCCTATACTCATCACTGAAATGGGATTCAGCACTAGGAGTAACTTGGGACTTCAGCACTAGGAATACGTTCTTTCTTTGCCAGATCTTGATTATTATTATTATTATTTTTGAGACGGAGTCTCACTCTTGTTGTTCAGGCTGGAGTGCAATGGTGCAATCTTGGCTCACTGCAACCTCTGTCTCCTGAGTTCAAGCAATTCTCCTGACTCAGCCTCCCAAGTAGCTGGGATTACAGGCGCCCACCACCACACCCGTCTAATTTTTGTATTTTTAGTAGAGATGGGGTTTCACCATGTTGGTCAGGCTGATCTTGAACTCCTGACCTCGGGTATTCCACCCGCCTCGGCCTCCCAAAGTGCTGGGATTACAGACATGAGCCGCCATGCCCAGCCCAGATCTTGATTATTGAACTGCAACTACTGGAGGTTCCATATTGGATGTATCTATGTATCAGTATGAATAACAGAATTCAGAAGTCACTCTATTATTTGTTGAAAGAAAGAATGGACTAATACATAAATGCACAAATGATTAAAATCAGGGTTTGAATGGGGGCATAGTAAAGGCTAGTAGGTGTTTTTTCCTGAGCTCTCGTTTCTCTTGCACACGTTTTAATTTTGTTCTGTACTTGGAGATAGAAGAACGCCGGACTTAACTGTGGGGATCAGTAGGGACTAGAGGGAGTTTGAGAAGGGAGGAGGGGGTAAATGGGTGTCTGAAAATCGGGGCCAGCTGGTAAGAAGATGAGACAGAGTGCTGGGAATCCAGAGGAATCTGGAATATAGTGCTGGATTTAGGGTTTGGAAAAACTTATAGGATTGAATTCAGGTCACAGATGGGTGGCGGGGAGAATCATAATACAGTTCATTGACTCATTTATTATTTATCCACATTTATTCATTCCACAAATATTGAGCTTCTACTATATGATAGGCACCTTATTGCTTACCAAGATACAACAGTGAACATGACAGACACAGCTCATTAAAGTCTAATCGAAGGAGAGGGCGAAGGTCACTATTTTAAACCTGCATCAAGTTCTGCATTCTGTAGTGTCTTGCTAGAGACAAATACATCACAAGTTTTGTCTCATTTGTGAAGGGCTCCACTAAAAAGAACACTTTTACTTATGCTGGTACTCTGATTAGGAACTTTTTCTAACGTGTGTGTGTGTAGAATTTCTAATTGCACCAATGAACTTTCCTCTAAATTCAAAATATGAAACATTTGATTGCATGGTATAGTATGTGAGCATAATGGTCCCTAGAAGCACTCATTGGTAATGAAAAAATGGTATCTTGTGGCCATGACTGACCGAGGGAATTAAAGATGGTGGCAGTTTTTCTTTTCTAGCAGAAAGAGGGAATGTGTTAGCAGAGTTGGTTCTGGAAGGAAAATGGCAAAGGAATTAGGTATTAAAATATCCACATTTTTGGAAATTATAGCCTGTGATCTATGTATCTTGGGTCATAATCAATTTGAGTAAGGATTATTTCCTCGGAATGGTTTTCAGGTATTTGAGAGTGATATTGAGCAATATTTGGTACAACCAAATTGCAAAATCCTGGAAGCAATGGGACATCCCTTTATGCTTCTGGAAGCTCGTTGTCACGAGATTTGACCTAAAACTTTTTACACAGCCAGCTCTTAGTCATTTGTGGGAATACAGGCCAAGATTGGTATACTTTTTTTCTGCCCGTTTGTAACAATTCCAGATAGTGTAAATGATCAGCAGAAGTTCTGTTGCAGTAATTCATTTCTGGTTCAAGTGTAGTTTATGACTGTACCTCCACAGGTCTCCATGCCGTCTCCTCTTTCTTTGTGCTTCTCCTATTGATACTGCCTTAGGTAAGAGCTGTTAAAGGTATAACAGCAGAGTGGCATGTGAGGAGAGACCATTCATCAATAGGCAAAAATAAGTCTTAGTTGACTAACTATAGACTTTAATCACTTGTCTAAAATTACATTTCTTTAAATTACTGGTTTCTAACTGCACTCTATTTTAGCATCCATTTCTAGTCTTTGACTACTATAACTTTCGTTTTATTTATTTACTGTTTTTTAAAGAGAGGGTCTCATTCTGTTACCCAGGCTGGGGTGTAGTGGCATGATCATGGCTCACTGCAGCCTCAATCTCTCAGCCTCAAGTGATCCTTCTGCCTTGGCCTCCCAAGTAGCTGGGACCACAGGCATGCACCACCATGCCCAGCTAATTCTTAAAAATTTTTCATAGTGATGATATGTCAACATGTTGCCCAGGCTGGCTTCAAACTCCTGGGTTCAAGCAATCCTCTTGTCTCAGCTTCCCAAAGTGGTGAGATTAGAGATGGGAGCCACCACGCCTGGCCTGGCTACGCTACTATATCTTATTTTCTATAATTCTGTCTTTGAACTGTTACAGAACAAGTGTGGGTCCGGGAAAAATGATAATGTCAGTGATTTAACTTTCACTTCTTTGGAAGCCTCTCCCATATTTTTTGTAAGGTTCTTTTCACTTTCTTTTTGTTGCCCAACGTCTCTGAAAGCTTCTTCTCAGAACAATATCTGTCACAAATTATTCATATCTTGATGTAAATTTAGATCAGTATGTTACATTTCTTTGGGATGTTTCCACTTTAAGATTTTCCTATAAATATGTAATAGCATTTTTTTTCCTGTTTCTAGAGGAATTTAAGCTTTATTGCCCCAGGAGCAGGACTAATATTTTACTGGGTAAGAGCCTTCCCTTATGTCCCTATTATTCCACCAGGCCACCCTTAGGTTAAAGGCTGGCTCCTCCCATAAACTGTACTTCAATTGCCCATCTTGGATGCAGACTGAAAGTCTCAATTCACTTTGACTTAGGCTCTATAGAAGCCAAGGAGAGGCCAGTATTTATCTCTGTAATGAGACAAAGGGCCTTTGAGAGAAGGATTTGTAAAAAACTGGCTGGATATGGCCCATCTTCTTTGTTTGTATGATAGCTAGCCTCCAAGATGACCCCCAATGATTCATATCTCCTAGAATTCACACTGTTGTGTAGTGTTCCTCCACTTTGAATCTGTGTGACCAATAAAATATGGTGGGAATCACAGTATGTGACTCTTGAGGCTGAGTCATTAAAGGCATTGTAGCTTCCATCTTTATGTCTTAGATCCTCTACTCAGGGGGATGCTAGCTGCCATGCCGTAACACATACTCAAGGAGCTCCATGGAGGTGCTAAGGCAGAGGTTTCCACCAATACCCAAAACCAACTGGACAACCATGCAATTGTGCCACTTAGGAAGTGGCCCAGCCCTTATCAATCTTTACTTGATTGCAGCTACAGCTGACATCTGACTGCATTCTTCTTTCATAAGAAATCCCAAGTGAGAATATCCAGCTAACTTATCCTCAAATTCTTGACCCACAAAAAGCATGAGACATGATAAATTATTATTGTTATTTTAAACGACTAGTTTGGAGTAATTTGTTACTTGGCACCATCTCTCAGCTTTCCAGCACTAATCGCCGACTCTGGAAATCTTTACATAAAATGCTGGCAACAAATTTGCTCCAAAGTGAATTGTAATTTTTTTCTAACAAGATAGGGTGATTCAACTGAAGGCAATTTAACCAAATACAATTTCATATGAAGCAAGCTGACCAATATAATCATGTGTTGGAGTATGAATAGCCTGTCTCTAGTTTCATGACATTTTTAATTTTGGTACATCACGGAAAGTTGTTTTGTAACCCCTATGAATCTTCAGGAATTTTTTTCTGCCTTTTAGGATTTGGGAAGTTTCTACTTTTATTTTACTTTTATATATCCATTTCTCCAGTGACTAGGATATATTTTGACCAAATTGTTGTTGGACCACTCTATTTCCACAAAATTGCTTTCAGTCAGATTTTTTTTGGCTAAATCATCCATCATATTGTAATACTTTCTATATGTTACCTCTAATTGATCCATAAAACTTTAAGAAACAAATTCTATAAATTCACACAAAACAAACCCTTTAATTAAAGTGAATCAATGATAAATAATGTAATAGATGGCCTCTAAGACCATCTTAATGATCCCAAGTATTCATACTTTTGAATAATCCTCCATCCTTAAATGTGGCTTGGACTAATTGATCCACTTTTGCTGAACAGAATATGGCAGAAGTGTTCAGATATAACTTCTACGTTACATACTTTTAAAAATAACCTTCTAAGATTAGGTTATAAAAATAATGTGACTTTTATTTTGGGAATATTCTGTTGCTCTCTTTTGGATTGCCCACCCTTGGGAAAGCCATCTGCAATGTTACCAGACAGCCTTGTGGAACCCTCACTATAAAGATCATGTAGAAATTAGGTCGGGACTAGAAAGAAGACTCAGTAGTTGGACTAGTAATAGTTTTTCTGTTTTAATAACAACAGACTCCCAAAACAATGAGGCCAGATCTCTCTGAGGGTTGTTGGACAGCCTCAGCATTTGCTGAGTTCTAAATTGCCCAGTGTTTTCACTGAGTTAGCAGACAGTGGTCCTAGCAGAATCCTTGGTATGAGGAATTGTATCCTGCCAATGACCGCATGAATGCGTTTGGAAATAGACCTCCCTCAGTCAAGTGTTCAGATAAGACTGTAGCCCCGGCCCATAGCGTGACTGCAGTTTCATGAGACAATCTGAGCCACACATACCCATCTAAGCTGTGTCTGGATTTCTGATTCAGAGAAACTATAAAATGATAAATGTTAGTCATTTTAAGCCTCTATTTTTGGAGTAAGTTGTTACACAGTAATAGAAAACTAATAGAGGGGACAAGAGCATTGAATTCAAAATGTGTTCTAAAAGATGGATTTAGATTCTTTGCTTTATATCTTTTGTAAAATCAAGTCTTACTCCTGACCTTTCCTGGTAATTCAGGAAAGCAACTTACTGGGGTTAATTACCAACTCTTCCCTCTTCCTTTCTACCTTTTCCTTGATCCAGTCACCCCCAAACATAAGCATAGGGTTGATCTCTGTTTCCTGCTACAAACCTGTCCTCTCTCCCTCCACCTCCTCCTACTTCCTTTCTTGTTTTTATTCAGAATAATAAAGGGGTAAAGTGATTTGAATTAAAGTGCGACATTAATGCCTCTGAACAAATGCGCTTTGGAGAGAATGTGACAGACTGTCCAGGGGAATGGGCTGGGGCCCTCAGAATCTGGACAAAGATGTGGCTGATTATCACCCAAGATAGCAAGCAGAAGCTGGGTGTTGAGAGTGGGGGCCCAGGTGACAGTTGTGGTTTTTATAGTTTGGCTCTGATGACAGTTTGGGAGGGATCTGTTTCTGGGGCAGGATTTATGTTTGTCCTTAGAATCTGGAATCTTCCTGGTTGCCAGTAAAAGCTGAGCTTGGACTGATTATCTTTCTCTAGAATCACCTCTGCTTCTCATGTCGTGGGTCAACGGTAGGAGTGGTTGCTAAGTGAATGACCTTTGTGTTTCCACTGAACAAATCTTCAAAGAGAAAAAAAATACCTATTCAGGTAATACATCATGATTTCCTTCATAAGCTTCAGAACATATGTCCTGAGAAAAACACCCCCATTGGAAGTTATTGCAAAAATAATAGAGACATTCAGTGGTAGATGATGGAGACATTTGAAAGATACCGACAATGCAGGAACTCACACGGGCAGAGTTTGCTAATGACTTTGCTATTCCTTGGTGGCAATGAAACCTCTAATCCATGACCTGGCCACAGGCAAACTCCAATAAGGTTTTACAACAAGGATCAATGAGATAGAAATTAATAAAAATAAAAAGACTGACCACTTGTCAGGTATCTCTGACTGGGCTTGAGCTGCAAGGACACTGTGTACAGAAGTAGTCTCCTTAAGAGCATTACAAAGATTTGAAGCAAATAGGCCGGGCGCGGTGGCTCACGCCTGTAATCCCAGCACTTTGGGAGCCCGAGGTGGGTGGATCACCAGGTCAGGAGATAGAGACCATCCTGGCTAACACGGTGAAACCCTGTCTCTACTAAAAATACAAAAAAAAATTAGCCGGGTATGGTGGCGGGCGCCTGTAGTCCTAGCTACTCGGGAAACTGAGGTAGGAGAATGGTGTGAACCTGGGAGGTGGAGCTTGCAGTGAGCCGAGATTGTGCCACTGCACTCCAGCCTGGGAGACAGAGTGAGACTCCATCTCAAAAAAAAAAAAAAAAAAAAAAGATTTGAAGCAAATATAAAAAGTTAAGACTTTGGGGAAGAAGAAGTACATCTGTGTGTGTTATATTCATCTCTATAGTTACTTGTGTGATTGAAAAAAAAAGAAGTAATCTTTTTAAGATGGCCTTTTCACTTTCTCTGAATGCAGGAATGAACAGAACACTTTGAAAATGTCACAGGGGACTTGGAACCAACCCAAATGTCCATCAGTGATAGACTGGATTAAGAAAATGTGTCACATATACACCATGGAATACTATGCAGCCATAAAAATTGATGAACTCATGTCCTTTGTAGGAACATGGATGAAGCTGGAAACCGTCATTCTCAGCAAACTATTGCAAGGACAGAAAACCAAACACCACATGTTCTCACTCATAGGTGAGAATTGAACAATGAGAACACTTGGACACAGGAAGGGGAACATCACACACAGGGGCCTGTCGTGGGGTGGGGGGAGGGGGGAGGGGGGAGGGATAGCATTAGGAGATATACCTAATGTAAATGACGAGTTAATGAGTGCAGCACACCAATATGGCACATGTATACATAGGTAATAAACCTGCATGTTGTGCACATGTACCCTAGAACATAAAATATAATAAAAAAAAGAAAAAAATAAAAATAAAAAGTTAAGACTTTGAGGAAGCAGAAGTACATTCGTGTGTGTTATATTCATCTCTATGGTTATTTGTGTGATTAAAAAAAGAAATAATCTCTTTAAGATGGGCTTTTCACTTTCTCTGAATGCAGGAATAGACAGAACACTTTGGAAAATGTCACAGGGCATTACGTTGCAGGGCTGGCCCCATGTGGTTCATTTCTTCCTCCTGCAGCACACTGCACAGTGTCAGATCTTTGGCATATAGTAGGCCATCAGATTCTGCCTGATTGAAAGGCTGTTCTATTCTACCACCAAGCCTTCAGTGACAAGCATTCAGAGAAAAATAGGATGAGAGGATAAGACCAGAATAAAAGAGATCAATAAACCAAAAGAAAAAATAAAAAGGAATAGAAGGCAATACAACAATAGCAGAAGATTGTATTCTCTCTGACTCTTCTCTTACTCTTCCATCTAGAGGAAATTTTTCTTTTAGATTTCTCTCCAAGTCCACAATGGAATAAAAAGCACTGGTCCTGAGCCCTATGAACTCCTTCCTGTTTAAATTCCTACCAAAGAAGAACTTGATAAAAAGCAGATGATCTAAAAAGCAGATTGTGACTGGAGAGAAGACTGAGTAGTTGGACTAGTAACAGTTTTTCTGTTTCAATAGGACAAATTCCCCAAACCATGAGGCCAGGTCTTCCTACAGACGGCTGGACTGCCTGGGCATTTGCTGAAGTCCTAACCTGCAAAAGAGTTCCACTGAATTAGCAGACACTGAGCCTGCAGTATCCTTGGTGTGTGTGAAAGATTCAAGTATGGAGCTGATACTCTAAGGCCACATCTCAGTGAGGCAAAACCAGAGCGACATAAAGGGTACATATGAAAAATTGTCTCTGCATAGAAAAGCATGTTCACATTTGGAGGAAGTCAGAAGGATTAGATTTTTTTACTTACATTTCTTTTGATTTAAGGTTGACAAAAGTGATAAGGTCCTGACTGGGTTATGACTGGTGCTTAAGAAAGTAATCAAGCCAACAAACAAACGGACAAACTAACAAAGCAAATAAAAGTAGTATTGTGGCAAGGGAAAGAACTCTCATAGAAACAAAAGGTCTGTATCCTAGTTTAGCACTGTGCAATAGAATTACATTTTGAGTGACAAATATGCTTTAAAATTTTCTGGTAGCCCCATTAAAAATAAATGATTAGGTTAATTTTAATAATATATTTTATTTAACCCAATATAGAAATATTATAATTTTGGCAGGTAATTGGAACAAAAAATTATTGAAATATTTTATGTTCTTTTTACCAAGTCTTTGAAACTCAGTGTGTACTGTACACCATGGCACATCTCAAATTTGACTAGCAACACTTTTAATTCTCAAGAGCAATGTGTGCTTGGTGGCTATCATACTGGGCAGTGCAATTGTAGCCCTCCCTCCCTCTTTCCCTCAATCACTCATTGTATGACTTTGGCCAAGACGTTCTCTTCTATGGCTCATTTCTCTCTTTCATAAGATAAGAAGACCGGTCCTCATCACTCTTTTTCATATTTTTGGCACAGAATCTTATACAGAATATCAATAGCTAAAATAAATAATACCGATGGAGTTTAAATCATAATTGATGGGCAGGAAATTGCTACTTGTACTATTTGTTTGTGAACTCCACAATTTTTAGAGTCCCTTTTAAACCTAGAATTCTATTTAATGACTGATCACCCTTTGTTTTGCTCACATTTGTCCAACATTAACCACATGTCAAATCTTGACCACATTTGCTCCAACCCTCATGCTACTTGGTATTAGGAGATGGAAGGAAAATCAAGGAGGGGGATTTGAAGGAGAAAACCATCTGGAGAGCAAAGCAGGAGAGGCAAGGAAAGAAAAAGAGTTGAAAATCAAGGAATGGAGTGAAGAAGGTAATTTATGCTTGCTTAGATATTGTGGAACCAAATTCAAGCCAAGAAAAGAGGAGGATCACTGCTCTGCCTCCTGCCATCCTTAAACCTCATTAACCCTATCACAATTAAAGATTGCTGAGAACCATACAACTTAAGCCTATGTTTGCTGAAAGAGGCATCTTCTTTGGATATTTGCTGTCACCTATTATTCTTCTGTTTTGTTATGGAACAGATGCACACTGCTCATTTATTAGGGTGGTATACCAGCATCTGTATACTGCACAGACACTGTGCAGGTGCTAGTGGTATAGAGATGCTTGTAAGGAGCCAGTCTACTCATCCTGTCTCCTCTCTTCCCATTGCATCCTATCGCATCTCATCCAATTTTGTCTTAATACAGACATGACCAAATGTTTCTATCTGAGTGGATTGTGCTACAGTTTAGTGTGTAGGACCAGAAGGTGGTTTGCTGAACTAGGACTAAGGCTTATGGAGTCCTATGGAGACTATTAGTGCCCATCTCTGTCCTTTGTGTTCCTCTGCATTGTCCAGCCTGTCTCACAGTTAGTTGGCCATGTGACTAGCATACCTAAGGATTGTGAGAAGTTAATGCTGCAACGGCTGAGATGGTAAGTATCTGACATGCCTTCCTCATACTTTCATTATTCTTTCATCTAACTGTTGAATAATGTCTAAGCCACAAAAAGGAGGCAGCCTGAAGAAGAACCACCCAACATGCATTGGACTGTGACATAAGTAAGAAAATAGCCTTAGTTGTGTTAAGCCACTGGTAATTGGGAGTTTGTTACAGTTGCTGGTATTACTACCCTGATGAGTACAGTGGCCCCTGACTGGTGAATTTGCTCCTTTCCAAGGAAGACATTGTGTTTGGGTGGCAATCTGATAATGACCATGGGCCAGGGCTATTACTTTATTCATTTTTACTGCATTAAGCATATTGAAAAAAATCCTGGCCAGTACCTATAAGTCTTTCTAAGTGAACAGGAGAGCTGTGCTCAGAGGCAGACAGTTCCTAAGACTCTAACATCAACAGAGGAAATGTGGTTCTTTCATTGGACAATACCCAGTGAAGCTTCCACATTTTTTTTAAAGAAAAACACAAAATATGCCTTACACTTTTATTGTTCTTAATACTTTTCAAAGGATATTCCCATCAATAATGTTAATTGACTGTCACTAGTATCTGTAAGATAAACACGACAGGTATTACCATTTTTTAAATTGCTTTTGAAAAATTTCCATTTTATTTTAGATTCAGGGGGTACATGAGCAGGATTGTTACAAAGGTATAATGCATGGTGGTGAGGTTTGTACTTCTATTGATCCCATTACCCAGATAGTAAATATAGTATCCAATAGGAAGTTTTTCGGCCCTTGCCTCCCTCCTTTTATACCTCTCTTTCCTTTTGGAGGCCCTAGTGTGTATTGCTTCCATCTGTATGTCCTTGTGAACCCAAGATTTAGCTCCCTCTTATCAGTGAAAACATGCAATATTTGGTTTTCTGTTTCTGTGTTAGTTCACTTAGAATAACAGCCTCTAGCTGCATCCATGTTGCTGCAAAGGACATGATTTAAAAAAAAAATTTTAAATGGCTGCATAATATTCCATGATGTATATGTACCACATTTTCTTTATCTAATCCACCATTGATGGGCACCTAGGTTGAATCCATGTCTTTGCTATTGTGAACAGTGGTGCGATGAATATATGAGTGCATGTGCTTTTTGGTAGAACAATTTGTTTTCCTTTGGGTATATACCCAGTAATGGGATTGCTGGATTAAATGGTAGCTCTATTTTTATTTATTTGAGAAAACTCCAAACTGCTTTCCACAAGGGCTGAACTAATACACATTTCCCTCAACAGTGTATGAGCATTTCCTTTTCTCTGCAACCTTGCCAACATCTGTTATTTTTTGCCTTTTTGATAACAGCCATTCTGATTGGTATGAGATGCTATCTCATTGTGGTTTTAATCTCTCTGATGTGATTTGCATCTCTCTGGTGATTGGTGATGTTGAGCATTTTTAAATATATTTCTTGGCCACTTGGATGTCTTTTTCTGAGAAGTGTTCATGTCCTTTGCCTACTTTGTAATGGAGTTGTTTGGTTTTTGCTTGTGTATTAGTCCGTTTTCACGTGGCTGATTAAGACATACCAAGACTGGGAAGAAAAAGAGGTTTAATTGGACTTACAGTTCCACATGGCTGGAGAGGCCTCAGAATCATGGCAGGAGGTGAAAGGCACTTCCTACATGATGGTGGCAAGAGAAAATGAGGAAGATGCAAAAGCGGAAGCCCCTGATAAAACCATCAGATCTTGTGAGACTACCACGAGAACAGTATGGGGGAAATTGCTCCCATGATTCAAATTATCTACAATCAGGTCCCTCCCACAACACGTAGGAATTATGGGAGTACAATTCAAGATAAGATTTGAGTGGGGACAGAGAGCCAAACCATATTGGCTGTTTAATTTGTTTCAGTTCCTTATAGATTCTAGATATTACTCCTTTGTCAGATGCACAGTTTGCAAATATTTGCTCTCATTCTGTAGGTTGTCTGTTTGCTCTGTTGAGAATTTCTTTTGCCATGCAGAAGTGCTTCAGTTTAATTAAGTCCCATTTGTCTACATTTGATTTTGCTGCATTTGCTTTTGGGGTTTTCTTCATAAATTCTTTGCCTAGGCCAATGTCTAGAAGAGTATTTCTTAGATTTTCTTCTAGAATTTTTGTAATTTGAAGACTTACCTTTAAGTCTTCACTCCATCTTGAGTTATTTTTGTCTATGGTGAGAGGTAGGGGTCTTGTTTCATTCCTCTGCAGGTGGTTAGCCAGTTTTTCCAGCACTATTTAGTGAATAGGTTGTCCTTTCCCCGTTGTTTATTTTTGTTAACTTTGTTGAAGATGAGTTTGTTGTAGGTGTATTTTGGGGGTCTCTATTCTGTTCCATTGGTCTATGTGCTTATTTTTGTAACTGTAATTTAAAAATTGTTTTTATAAACATGTAATTTAAGGTAGAAACTATACCACAAGTAGAAGCTAAAAGTATAGTAACAGTGTTATAGGAGCTCGATTTTCTTTCTTCTATTTCTTCAATGATATTTTAAGACAATTTCTTAAAATCTATCAGCTTCATTTTTCTTAATGGTAAAATTAGAAAAAAACCCACTACTTTTCAGAGCTATTATAAAGGCTGGAAATAATGTAAGTACAAAGTAAAAATAATGGTTGTTGCTTTTAATATATCCCTAATGCAAGTACCATTTTAAAAATAAATTTCTTAGAGTTGTTCGTTATTTATGCTTTAATAAGTGGGAGTCCATCTGTTGAGAAAACACTGGCCTTGGTGATATGTGTGTGTGTGTGTGTGTGTGTGTGTACACATCTTAAACCCACGGTCTGGAGATGAGTTGCACTTCTCTAGTTTAAGAATTTAAAAACTATAGAATCATAGGAGGGACCATAAATTCGGGAGAATGGCAGAATAAATATCAGAGGCTTATCCTCTCCTTTTATTTTTTCCCATATTCAAACATTGTAATGCCATCTACATGATATTTTGCCATCTATACCTAACAATTATATTATGGTGATGATGTAATATTTCTTTAAATTGACCTTAATTAAACTCATTCATTTTACATCACATTGTCTTAATAAAAAATACTTTTAAAATTATAAATAATATAGGCATATCAGGTCTATACATAACATTTATATTTTTTCAAGAATCAGATTAAATGAGATAAGGCCACATTTCAAAAGATAATAAAATTATATCAAAAGATAAATATTACTGAAATTATTATTGAAATTCTATGTCTCTATACTCTTACTGTCTCAAACTCATGACATTAGTTGGAAAAAGTTGAGCTTTCTTTCTTTGTTATGTATTTTTTGACTGTTAACGTGGCTGGCTCTTTCTTGTAAAATGAAATTTTCTTAATATGTTCACACACTTATGGTTACATATTTATAGCACATAATGCCTTAGTCACTCAGAGATTGTCTCAAAATATTTCTGTCTAGCTCTATAATTATTCCATTTCTTAACTGTTTCATAATTTTAATGGCAAAATTTTAGTTATATTAACAACTTCTCTACTCCTGCCAAGTGAAGACTTCTGTAATAAAGATTTCCCAGAATTTGTAGATTTTACTTTTAAAGGCTGTACATGCTTGGAAACAATTAATAATGAAAGTGCTAAACAATTTGAAACACCTGAGTTTAAATACTGACTTTTGTACCTGATTAGCTGTTTAACATTTCTCAGCTGCAATGCTCTTATTTTACAAACAAATTGCTAAGGTACATTGTGGCTCTAAATTGCACCTGAGAACTTCCTTAATGTAGAAAAGAGTGTATAGAATTTTGATACTGTATTTATTTAAAAAAACATTTATTGAGGTACAACTGACATATAAAATTTAACCCTTGTTTACATATGTATAAACTTAGTATATACAACTTAGTAAGTACGTATACAACTTAGTATGAAAGTAGGTATACACCCTTGAATTCATCACCACAGTCTATGCCCTAAACCTATCCATCACTTCCAAATATTTCTCTTGCCCTCTTTGTTTATTACTATTATTATTGTGATAAGAACACTTAGCATAAGATCTATCCTTTTAATAAAAGTTTAACTATATAATGCACTATTTTTAATTATAGGCACTATGCTGTATAGTAGATCTCTAAGAGTTATTCACCTTGTATAACAGATACTTTGTACACTTTGACTAGTACTTAGTCTTTTCCCCCTTCTCATATTCCCTTTCACCACCATTCCACTGTCTGCTTCTGAGTCTGACTATCCTATATTATTCATATAAGTGATATCATGTAATATTTGTCCTTCTTTGTCTGGCTTATTTTACTTAACATAATGTCCCACAGGCTACTATTGTAGCAAATAGTAGGATTTCTTTTTATAAGGCTCAATAGCATTCCATTTTATGAATATACCATATTTTCTTAATTATACATCTGTTGATGGACATTTAGGTTGCTTCCATGTGTTGACTATTGTAAATAATGCTGCAATGAACATATGAATGCAGGTATCCTTTTGAGATTCTGATTTCAATTCTTTTGAATAAATACCCAGAAGTTGGATTGCTGGATCGTATGGTAGTTCTATTTTTAATATTTTGAGGAACCTCCCTATTGTTTTCAATAATGGCTATACTAATTCACATTCCCACCCACAGTATACAAGTGTCCCTTTTCTCTATAAAATTTACCAACACTTGTTATCTTAAAAATATATAATAGCAATTTTAATGGGTGTGAAATCATTGTCATGGGTTTTAATTTGCATTTCTCTGATGATTAATGATGTTGGCATTGTCTCAAACTCCTGCTGACCATTTGTATATTTTTTTGGAGAAATATCTATTCAGGTTTGCCCATTTTTAAATTGGGTTATTTTCTTTCTTGCTATTGAGTTGTAGGAGTTTCTTATCTATTTTGAATATTAATCCCTTAACAGATATATGGTTTACAAATATTTTCTCCTATTCCGTAGGTTGTGTAGTCACTTGTTTCCTTCACTGTGCAGAAGCTGTTTAGTTTTAGCTTTTGCTTTGGTTGCCTGTGTTTTTGGGGTCACATCTAAAAAATTATTATCCAGAGCAATGTCAAGAAGCTTTTCCCAATTAATTAGGAAGTTCTAACAATTGTAATCTATTAATATTTGCTTTATATATTTAGGTGTTCTGATGTTGGGTGCATAACAATAAACAATATATGCACCCAACATCAGCACACCTAAGTATATAAAGCAAATACTAATAGCTCTGAGTGGAGAGAAAGAGTGCAATACAATAATAGTAGGAGGCTTCAATACCCCACTTTCAACACTGGACAGATAATCTAGATAGAATATCAACAAGGGAACACTGGACTTGAACTAACTTTAGACCAAATTGACCTAACATATTTACAGAAAATTCCATTCAACAGCAACAGAATACACATTCTTCCCAAGTTCACATGAAATATTCTACAGAATGGATGATATGTTAAGCTACAAAACAAGTTTTAACAAATTTGAGAAGATTTAAATCATATCAAGTATCTTTTCTGACTACAATGGCATGAAACTAAAAGTCAATAACAGGAGGAATCTTGAAAAACTCACAAATATGTGGATATTAAACAACATGCTTCCAAACAACTAATGGGTCTAAAAACAAATTAAAAGATATATTAAAGAATATTTGAGACAAACAAAAATGGAAACACAACATACCAAAACTTTCAGGATGTAGTCAGTGCAGTCCTAAGAGGTAAGCTTATAGCAATAAACACCCACATAAAAAAAGAACAAAGACCTTAAACCACCTGATGTTACATCTTAAGGAACTAGGAAATAACAAAATAAGCCCAAACTTAGCAGAAGAAAGGAAATAACAAAGATCAGAGCAGAAATAAACAAAATAGAAACTAGAAAACAATAAAAAAGATCAACAAAACTAAAAGTTGGTTTCTTGAAAAAAGATGAACAAAATTGACAAAACTTTAGCTAGGCTAACAAAGGAAAAAAGAGATAAGTCTCAAATAACCAAAATCATATATGAAGGATGAGACATTAGAATTGTTAACACAGAAATACAAAGGATCATAAGAGACTACTATGAACAACTACACATCAGTAAATTGGAAAACCTAGTAGAAATGAATGAATTCTTAGAAACATGCTACCTATCAAGACTTAGGAGGAAATAGAAAATCTGAACAGAGTAATAATGAGTAAAGAGATTGAATCAGTAATAGAAAGTAGCCAATCAAAGAAAAACCCAAGACGCAATGCCTTCAGTGCTGAATTCTACTGTACAGAGAAAGAAATAATACCGATTCTTCTCAAACTCTTTCAAAAATTTAAGAGAAAGAAGCACTTCCAAACTCATTTTATATAGCCAGTAGTGCTCTGATACTAAAGCCAGGTAATGACCCTACAAGACAAGCAAACTGCAGGCCAATATCCCTGATAAACATAGATGCAAAAATCCCAACAAAATACTAGCATACTGAATTCAACAGCACATTAAAAAGATCATTTTTCACTAGCAAACTGAATTCAACAGCACATTGAAAAGATCATTTATCACGATCAGATGGGATTTATCCCAGAGATGCAAGTATGGTTCAACATACATAAATCAATAAATGTAATACACCATGTTAACAAAATGAAGGACTAAATCTGTATGATCATTTCAATAACAGAAAACATTTAACAAAATTCAACATCCATTTAGTATTAAAAAAAACTGGACAAAATAGATATAAAAGGAATGTACCTCAATAGAGGCCTACAGCTAATATCATACTAAATGTGAAAAGTTGAAAGCTTTTTCTTTAAGACCAGGGACGAAACAAGGATATCTACTCTCACTACTTTTACTCCACTACTATGTTTATTCAACATAGTACTGGAAGTCCTAGCCAGAACAATAAAACAAGAGAAAAAAAGAAAAAGCATCCATATCAGAAAGGAAAAAGTGAAACTGTCTCTGTTTGTAGATGGGATAATCTTATATATAGGAAACTCTAAAGACTCCACCAGAGGCTGGGCATGGTAGTTCACAACTATAATGCTAGCACTTTGGGAGGCTTGACGCCAGGAATTTGAGACCATCCTAGGCAACAAAGCTGAGATCTCATCTTTACAAAAATATTAAATTAGCTGGGCATGGTGGCATGCCCCTGGGGTCTCAGCTACTTGGGAGGCTGAGGTGCGAAGATCGCTTGAGCCTGGGAGATCAAGGCTGCAGTGAGCTACAGTTGTGCCACTGCACTCCAGCTTGAGTGACAGTCAGAGCAAGACTCTGTCTTCAAAAATAAATGAATAAAATAATAAAAATAAAGACTCCACCAAAAAACTTGTTAGAATTAAATGAATTCAGTAAAGTTGGAGAATACAAAATCAACTTATGAAGATCAGTAGCATTTCTTTTTTTTCTTTTTCTTGTCAAACTTTATTCATGACTACCAATATGACAGTTCCATAATTTCCTTTTCAGATCTAAACAGAAAAAAATATAATATAAAATTTTCTAACCTTAAGCTTAAATATGTTGTGGAGAAAAATGCCAAATTATCTGCTACGTGTAAGTTTTCTTAAATTCATTTTTTTTGTAACAATAACAGTGTTGAATGGGTTTTTCTGTAACAGAAAGTCTAGCAAATACAATCAATAGCATTTCTATACACTAAAAATGAAGTATCTGAAAAAGAAATCAAGTAAACAATCCCATTTACAATGCATAAAAACAGTTACAAATAAATTTAACCAAGGAGATGAAAGATCTGTACACTGAAAACTATAAAACATTGATGTAAGAAATTAAAGAATACACAAATAAATGGATATCAATGTTAATGGATTGCAAGGATTAATATTGTTAAAATGTTCATATTACCTAATGTAATCTACAGATTCAATTTCTATCAAAATCCCAGTATCAATTTTCACAGAAACAAAAAAATCCTAACATTTGTATGGAAACAGAAAAGATCTTGAATAGTCAAAGCAATCTTGAGCAAACAGAGCAAAGTTGGAAGCATCACACTGGTTGATTTTCAAATATAAAGCGATTATAATGAAACAACATGGTACTGATATAAAAATAGATACATCAACCAATGGAATGGAATAAAAAGCCCATTAATAAACCTAAGTATTTATGCTCAGTTGATTTTCAGCAAAGGTGCTAAGAACACACAATGGGAAATGGACAGTCTCTTCAATAAAAGTGTTGGAAAAACTGGATAACCCCATGCAGAGGATGAAATTGAACTCTATGTCACACCATAGAGAAAATCAACAGAAACGAATTAAAGATTTAAATGTAAGACCTAAAACCATAAAGCTACTAGAGGAAAGCAAGGAAGAAGCTCCACTACTTTAGTCTGGGCAATGACTTCTTCGATAGGATTTGAAAGCACATGCAACAAAAGCAAAAATAAACAAATGGGAATGCATCAGACTAAAAAGTTTCTGCACAGTGAAAGAAACAATGAACAAAGTGAAGAGACAGCCCAGGGATTGAGAGGAGATATTTGCAAACCATAACTCAGATAAGGAACAAATATCCAAAAGACATAAAAAACTAAAACAACTCAACAGCAGAAAAAACAAATAACCCAGTGAAAAAATAGGCAAATGATCTGAACAGACATTTCTAAAAGGAAGAAATGTAAATGGCCAATAGCTATATGAAAAAAAAGTCCAAGTTTTCAAATCATCAGGAAAATGCAAATTAAAACCACAATCAAATATTATCTCACATCTGTTAGAATGGCCATTATCAATAAGATGAATAATAACCAGTGCTAGTGAGGATGCAGAGAAAAATTAGCCCTTATACACTGTTGGTGGGAATGTAAATTAATACAATCATTTTGGAAAATAGTATGGAGCTTCCTAAAAATGGAATTGCCATATGACCCAGCAATTCCACTTCTGGGTGTATATTCAAAGGAATTGAAATTGGTATGTTGAAGAGATATCTTTGCCAAGATATGGAAGCAATCTAAGTTTTCATCAATAGATAAGTGGATAAAGAAAATATGGTATGTATACAAAATGGAATACCATATAGCTGTAAAAGAGAAAACGTGGATGGAACTTGAAGACATTATGCTAAGTCAAATAAGTGAGGTCAGGAAGACAAATTCTGTATGATCTCACTTGTATGTGGAATCTAACAAAAGCCAATCCCATAGAAACAGAGAGTAGAATGGTTGTTGCCAAAGGCTTGGGGATAGGGGAAAGGCAGGCATGGGGAAAGGGGAGATGTTGATCAAAGGGTACAAATTCCAGTTAGATTCAAAGAATAAGTTTTAGTGATCTATTGCACTGCATGGTGACCACAGTTACTAATAATGTATTGTATGCATCGAAATTGCTAAAATGAAAGCTAATATCTTCACCACCAAATAATGAATGAGAATTTGGTGAAGCATTGGATACGTTAATTAGCTTGATTGGGTCTCTCTACAATGTACACATGGATTGAAATGTCACACTGTACCCTACAAATATACACAATTATTTGTCAATTAAAAATAAATTAACAAAAAAGCTTTTCTTCTAGTAATTGAACAGTTTCAGGTCTTATGTGTAAGTGTTAAATTCATTTTGAGCTAATTTTTATATATTTTGTGAGACAAGGATTCAATTTCATTCTTCTGCATGTGGATTTCCAGTCTTCTGAACATTTATTAAAGAGACTGTCCTTTCTCCATTGTGTGTTCTTGGCACTTCTGTCAAAGATCGATGAGCCATAAACCTATACACTTAATGCTGTAATCTATATTCTGTTCCATTGGTCTATATGTCTATTTCTGTGCCAGTACTGAACTGTTTTGCTTCCTATAGCTTTGTAGTAAAATTTGAAATTAGGCAGTGTAATGCCTTCAACATTGTTCTTTTTACTCAAGATTGCTTTGGCTATTTGGAATTTTTGTGGTTTTATATGATTTTAGGATGGTATTTGTATTTTTGTGAAAAAAAGTCTTTGAAATTTTAATAGGTATTGCATTGAATTTGTACATCACTTTGGGTAGTATGGGCATTTTAATAATATTAACTCTTGCAATTCATCAACACTGATATCTTTCCATTTATTTTTGTCTTCTGCAATTTCTTTTATCAATGTTTTATAGTTTTCAGAGTACAAGTCTTTCACCTCCTTGGTTAAATTTATGCCTAATTATTTTATATTTTTGATGCTATTCTAAATGAGATTACTTTTTGGCTTCTTTTTTGATAGTTCATTGTTTGATAGTGTATAGAAATGCTACTGATTTTTGTACGTTGGTTTGTATTCTGCAACTTTACTGAATTCGTGTATTCTAAAAGTTTCTCAGTGGGGTACTTAGGGCTTTATATATAAGATCAGTCATCTGCAAGCAGAGGCAGTTTTACTTCTTTATTTCCAACTTGGATGTCTATTTCTTACTTTTGCTTAATTGCTCTAGCTAGGACTGCTAGTTCTATGTGGAATATTAGTGTCAAGAGTGGGAATCCTTGTCTTGTTCCTGATCTTTGAGAAAAAGCATTTAGTTTTTCACCATTGTGTATGATATCAATTGTAAGCTTGTCTTATATGGTCTTTATTGTGTTCAGATAGGTTCCTTCTATACCTAATATGTAGATAATTTTTATCATAAAATAGTGTTAAATTTTCAAGTGCTTTTTCTGCGTCTACTGAGATGACTGCATAATTTATATCCATCATCTGTTAAAGTGGTGTATCACATTAATTGATTTTTGCATATTGGCTTATTTATGCATTTCAGGGATAGATCCCCATCCTCATCCCCATGGTCTATGGTTCTTTTAATGTGATGTTGAATTTCTTTTGTTAATATTTTCTAATTATTTCTGTATCTGTGTTCATCAGAGATACTAGCCTGTAGTTTTCTTTTCTTATGGTGTCTTTTTTCTGGCTTTTGTATCATGTAATGCTGGCCTCATAAAAAGAGTGTGAAAATGTTCCCTCTTTGATTTTTTGGAAGAGCTTAGAAAGGATTGATATTAATTCTTCTTTAAATGTTTGATAGACTTTGCCCACGAAGCTATCTAGTCCTGGGCTTTTCTATGATGCAAGGTTTTCAATTACTGATTAAATCTCCTTATTTCTTACTGGTCTTTCTATTTTTTTCTTGTTTCAATCGTTGTAGGTAGATTGTGCATTTCTAAAAATTTATTCCTTTTTTATAAGTTGCCCAATTTGTTGCCATGTAATTGTTCATAGTAGTCCCTTATGATCTTTTTTATTTTTGTGTTATCAATTTTCATGTCTCCTCTTTGTTTCTAATTTTATTTATTTGAGTCTTCTCTCTCTTTTTTTTGGTTAGTCTAGCTAAGGATTTGTCAACTTTGTTTGTCTTTTTAAAAAACCCTAACACTTAAGTTAATCAAGTTTTTCTATTTACCTCTGCATTAACCTTTGTTATTTTTTCCTTCTACTAACTTTAAGCCTTGTTCATTTTTTTTTCCAGTTCCTTGAGGTGTAGTGTTAGGTTGTTCATTTAAAATCATTCTTATTTTTAAATACAGGTATTTATAGCTGTAAACTTTCCTCTTAGTAGTGCTTTAGCTGCATCCTGTAAGTTTCAGTGTGTTACATTTCATTTTTGTTTGCCTGAGATATTTTATAATTTCCCCTTTGATTTTTGTATTGACTCAATGATTGTTCAAGAGTACATGGTTTAATTTTTATGTATTCATCAATTTTTCCATTTTCCTTTTTTATTGATTTTAACTTAATTCTATTGTGGTCAGGATAGATATTTGGAATTATTTGAATCTTCTTAAATTTATAAGACTTGTTTTGTGACCTAGCATGTGATCTAGCCTGGAAAATGTTTCATGTTCACTTTAGAAAAATATATATTCTGCTACTGTTGGCTGGAATGTTCTGTGTATGTCTGTTAGTTTGATTGTCAAGTCTGCTCATTCCTTGTTGATTTTCTGCCTGGAAGATATGTCCGTTACTGCAAGTGGGTTATTTAAGTCTTCTACTATTATTTTATGGTTATCTATTTTTCCCTTCATATCTGTCAATATTTCCTTTATATATTAAGTTCTCTGAGGATGGGTGCAAATATATTTATAATTGTTATATCTCCCTGTTGAATTGATCTTTTATTATATAGTGATCTTGTCTCTAGTGACACATTTTTAACTTTAAGTTTATGACTTAAAGTCTATTTTATATGATATAAGTATAGCTATAGCCACCCCTGCTCTCTTTTGGTTACCATTTCCATCCCTGTGCTTTCAGCTTATGTGTATCTTTAAATGTAAAGTAAGTCCCTTGTAGACAGCATATAGCTGGATCTTGTTTTTTTATCAGCTATTTTATATCTTTTGAGTGAAAAGTTTATTTACATTTAAAATAATTATTCATCAGAAGGATTTATTATTGTCATTTAAAAAATAGTTTTCTGTCTCTTTGTAGTTCTTTTGTTCTTCTCTTCATCTCTTTCTAATTTTCTTTGTGGTGTGATGACTTTTTGTAATTATATGATTTCATACTTTTTATCTTCTGTGTATCTACTACAGGTTTTTTCTCTCTAGTTAGTATGAGGCTTGCATTGAAACTCTCATAGTATAACATTCAATTTTTAAGCTGATAATGACAACTTTAATGACATAAAAGCTCCAGACTTTTACTGTTCACTTTATGTTACTGATGTCAGAGTTTATTTCTTTTTATATTGTGTATTTAGCAGCAATTTTTTTGTGGTTACAGTTATCCTCAGTTTTTCTGTTTTGACTTTTATGCTAGGGTTAAAAGTGATTTACACATCATTATTACAGTATTATGTTATTCTGTGATTGTTTATATATTTACTTTCACCAGTGAGATTTAATATTTTTATCTAGTGCTGTGCTCCATAGATAGGAAGACCTGGTGCTGCAGTCTGGGATTCATGGGCAGCCCTAGTGCCAACATCTATATGCAAGTGAGCCTGTTGCTGTGGCCTAGGTTCCACAGGGTGGCCTGGTGCTATAATTTCTTTCTTAGCACTGCCTTAGCTGTGTCCCAGAGATTCTGGTACATTTTATCTTTGTTCTCATTAGTTTAAAAGAACTTCTTGATTTCTGCTTTGATTTTATTATTTACCCAGAAGTCATACAGGAGCAGGTTATTGAATTTCCATGTAATTGTATGGTTTTGAGTGAATTTCTTAGTTTTGAGTTTTAATTTGATTGCACTGTGGTCTGAGAGACCATTTGTTATTATTTCAGTTATTTTTCATTTGCTGAGGAGTGCTTTTTACTTCATATTATGTGGTCAGTTTTAGAGTAAACACCATGTGACAATAAGAAAAATATATATTCTGTTGTTTTTTGGGTGGAGAGTTTTGTAGATCTCTATTAGGTCCATTTGATTCAGAGCTGAATTCAGGTCCTAAATATCTTTGTTAATTTTCTGTCTTGATGATGTGTTCTAGTACTGTCAGTGGGGTGTTAAAGTCTCCCACTATCATTATGTGGGAGTCTAAGTCCCTTTGAAGGTTTCTAGGAACTTGCTTTAAGAATCTGGGTGTTCCACTCTTGGGTGCATATCTGTTTAGGATAGTTAGCTCTTCTTGTTGAATCAAACCCTTTACCATTACGTAATGCCCTTTGTCTTTTTTTTGTCTTTGTTGGTATAAAGTCTGTTTTGTCAGAAACTAGGTTTGCAACTCTGATTTTATCTGTTTTTCATTTACTTTGTAAATTTTCCTCCATCCCTCTATTTTAAGCCTATGTGTGTCACTGCATGTGAGATGGGTCTCTTGAAGACAGCATACCAATAGGTCATGGGTCTTCATCCAGCTTGCCATACAGTGTATTTTAATTGGGACATTTAGCCCATTTATATTTAAAGTTACTATTGGTTATGTGGATTTGATCCTTTTATTCTGACGCTAGCTAGTTATTTTGCAGACTTGTTTATGTGGTTCTTTTACAGTGTCACTGGTCTGTGTACTTCTGTGTGTTTTTGTAGTGACTGGTAATGGTTTTTCCTTTCCATATTTAGTGCTTCCTTCAGGAACTCTTCTAAAGCAGATCTGGTGGTTACAAATTCCCTCAGCATTGATTGTCTGAAAAGA
This sequence comes from Homo sapiens, assembly GCF_000001405.40. Lineage (NCBI taxonomy): Eukaryota > Metazoa > Chordata > Mammalia > Primates > Hominidae > Homo > Homo sapiens. Next base: position 118,791,002 of record NC_000001.11, on the reverse strand, counting down.
ATCTTATTTCTCCTTCATTCATGAAACTTAGTTTGGTGAGATATGAAATTCTGGGCTGGAATTTCTTTTCTTTAAGAATGTTGAGGGGCCAGGTGCAGTGGCTCACACCTGTAATCCCAGCATGTTGGGAGTCTGAGGTGGGCAGATCACAAGGTCAAGAGGTCGAGACGATCTTGGCCAACATGGTAAAACTCCACCTATATTAAAAATACAAAAATTAGCTGGGCATGGTAGTCCACACCCATATTTCCAGCTACTTGGGAGGCTGAGGCAGGAAAATTGCTTGAACTTGGGAGGTAGAGGTTGCAGTGAGATGAGATCACACCACTGCATTCCAGCCTGGAGACACAGCGAGACTCCATCTCTAAAAAAAAAAAAAAAAGAAAAAGAATGTTGAATATTGGATGCCAATCTCTTCTGGCTTGTAGGGTTTCTGCTGAGAGTCCTACTGTTAGTCTGATGGGCTTTCCTTTGTAGGTGACCCGGCCTTCCTCTCTGACTGTTCTTAACAGTTTTATCTGTTTGCTTGTTTTTACATTTTGACCTTGGATAATCTGATGATTGTGTCTTGGGGATGATCTTCTCATGTAGTATTGGGTTTCTCTGCATTTCCTGTATTTGAATGTTGTCCCATCTAGCCAGGTTGGGGAAGTTCTCATGCATTATATCCTGAAATATGTTTCCCAAATTAGTTTCATTCTTTCCATCTCTTTTGGGTACACCACGTAGTTGTAGATTTGGTCTTTTTACATAATCCCATATTGCCCAGAGGTTTCATTAATTTTTAATTCTTTTTTCTCTATTCTTATCTGCTTGTCTTATTTCAGAAAGATAGTCTTCAAGTTCTGAGATTCTTTCATTTGCTTGGTCTATTCTGCTATTAATACTTGTGATTAAATTATGAAATTCTTGTACTGTTTTTTTCAGCTGTATCAGGTTGGTTATATTCCTCTCTATACTGGCTATTTTGACTGTCAGCTCCTGCAATGTTTTATCATGATTTTTAGCTTCCTTGCATTGAGTTAGAATGTGCTCTTTTAGCTCAGAGAATATCATTTTAATCCACATTCTGAAGTCTACTTCTGCCATTTCAGTCATCTCAGCTTCAGCCTGGTTCTGAACCCTTGCTGGAGGGTTGATATTGTCATTTGGAGGACAGAGGGTACTCTGGCTTTTTGAGTTTTTGGTGTTCTTTCACTGATTCCTTCTCATCTTTGTGGGCTTATCTACCTTCAGTCTTTGAGGTTGCTGACTTTTGGATGAGGTTTTGTCTGTTTTTCTTTTAACAGCATGGCTTGTGTGGTTTGTTGGGTATCTACTCCAGTCCCTAGTCACCTCGGATTTTCTGTCACCTGGAGGTATCACCACTGAAGTCTGTGAAATAGCAAAGATGGAAGCCTTCCCTTTCCTCTGGGAGCTCTGTCCCAGGAGGTATGGATCTGTTGCCAGCCCAAATGCAGCTATAGGAGGTGTCTGGAGATCCCAGTTGGGAGTTTCACCCAGTCAGGAGGAATAGGATCAGGGCCCCACTTAAAGAATCAGCCTAGCCATGCTTTTGTAGAGCAGCTGTGCTGTGCTGGGGTACCACTTCCACCTCCAGTCAGCTTGGGCTTTCCAAAGCCTGAAGGTTAGAATGGCTAAGTTGCCAAAACATCAAAGATGGTGGCCTGCATCTCCCTCTAGGAACTCTGTCCCAGGAAGTTTTCAGACCTCTGTTGGCCAGAGAACATTGGCAGGAGTGGCTGGAGGCTCTGGTTCAAAGTCCTGCCCAGTGAAGAGAAAGAGAATGGGGACCCACTTAAGGAAGCAGCCTGGCCACACTTTCATAGAGCAGCTGTGCCATGCTGGGGTACCACTTCTGTCCCAGTTGACTTGGTCTCTCCAAAGCCCACAGGCTGGATCAACTGAGTCACCCAAACAGCAAAGATGGTGGCCCACCCCTCCCCTGAGAACTCTGTCCCAGGAAGAAACAAAAATTCTGTCAGATAGAAGCAGGGATGGCTAGAAGCTCTGGTTGGGAAGTCCCACCCAGAAATGAGGAACTGATCAGGATCCCAATTAAAGAGGCAGTCTGGCAACATTTTGGTAGAGCAGCTGTGCCATGCTGGGGGATCCCTTCTGTCCCCTGTTGGTTTGGGCTGTCCTAAACCCCCAGGCTGGAATGGCTGAGTCATCTAAACAGCAAAGATGGTGGCCTTCCCCTCTCCCCGAGAACTCCATCCTGTCCCAGGAAGGTGCAACACTGCTGCTAGGGGCTGGCTGAAATTCCAAGCCAGTGGGTCTTATTCTGTGAGGCTCCATGGCAGTGGGGCCCACAGACTGACACTGCTCAGCCCCCTGGATCCAGCCCTCTTCCTAGTGGCATATATGGACTTCCTGCCTTGCCTGAGTTGCAGTCACCTTTGGCAGGGATCCCAGAGCCAGAGAATATAAAACTCCTGGGTGTCTCTGCATGACTGAGCAGCTGCTCTGCCAAGACTTCATGCAGCTATGTGTGTCAGACCAAAGGCCCTGGTGGAATGGGTTCATGAGGGGATCTCCTGACCCGAGGGCTGCAAAGATCCATGGGAGAAGTGTGGTTTCTGGAGGTCACACAATCACTCACCATATCCTTGGGCTGGGGGACTTACCAATTTTAAAAATGGAGAAATTGATACTTGAGGAAGCTAAGTGACTTGTTGAAGATCATATTGAGAATAGAATGGTCTAAATTTCTACTTTTCTTTAAGGTGAGCATCCCTTATCTATAAAAAACCCAACGCTAATTAGAGGTTTTCAACAATATATGTAAAATTATGTATCAACACATATCATGTAATAAATGTGAATTATTTGTATTGTCAAGCTATACCTTATATATACTAATGAAAGCTTGTATTTCATTTGTGCAGTAAATTACAGTTTCCTATGAGCTTTCATATTGATCATCTTATTTAATTCCTATAAAAACTATAAGGGAGGCAGCAAAGCTATCATACCCAGTTTATATAGCTGAGGAAACAGGCCAGAAAAAATAAGAAAATGTCCAAGATGGGCATATACAAGATTGAAATCTATGTCTTTTAATTCCAAACCACCGCTTTAAGAAATAATATGAAGACATTTGTTTTACAAATGTCTTAGGTCATTTGTCCTGCTATAACAAAATACCATAAACTGGGTGCCTTATAAACAACATAAATTTATTTTTCACATTTCTAGAGGCTGAAATGTGCAAAGTTAAGGCATCAGCAGATTCAGTGTATGGTGAGGGACCCTCTACTGGTTCATAAACAGCAGTCTCCTTGCTGCAACCTCACATGGTGTAAGAAATGGGAGTCTACCTCAGATCTCTTTTGTAGAAGCATTGATCCCATTCATGAGGGCTCCACCTTCATGACCTAATGACCTCCCAAAGCCCTCCCCTCCTAATGTTATCACCTTGGGTGCCATTGCCCCACCTCCTAATGCCATGCTTTCTAAGTTTATCACTTTGGGGATAAGGATTTCAAGGTACGAATTTAGGGGTGGGGACACATTCTGACCACAGGAAAAAAATACAACTTATTAAAAAAATCTAATAAAATACAATTTAATTTGTACTAGATGCTCTTGAGTCTCAAGTGTGATAGAACTGAGACTGGCCTATCTTGCACAATCTGCCAGTTTCTGGTAAATTGTTTCTGTGTCAGAAAGGTCCTAGCTTTTCTTGAAGAATTAATTCAAAGCCCATTTAGTTCAGGCCCCACAGATCTTCTCCATCTTAAGAATTGAAAGGTGTATCTCCTCATGAAGATGCAGAATGACCAGTGCATTTAGAAAAAGGAGACATGCTTAAGGACACTCTTACTAACAATCTTTCAAGTCATAGTGATATGATTTTGTTCTGTGACCCCACCCAAATCTCATGTTGAATTATAATCTCCTCATGTTCAAGGAGGGGCCTGGTTGCTAGGTGATTGATTTATGGGAGTGGATCACCCCCATGCTGTTCTTGTGATAGAGTTATCATGAGATCTGGTTGGTTGAATGTGTGTAGCACCTCCCCCTTCACTCTCTCTCTCCTGCTTTGCATGATTGTAAGTTTCTGAGACATTCCATCCATGCTTCCTGTACAGTCTGCAGAACTGTGAATCAATTAAGCCGCTTTTCTTATAAATTACCCAGTCTCGAGTAGTACTTTACAGTGGTGTGAAAATGAAATAATACACATGAGTGATAGGTAGGGGTTACTTGTGTGATTATTAGACTCTCAGTTGCTCTGGTAGTGGGGATAGCACAATACTCCCTGGGGAATGCTGCAGTCGGGTGTCTCTCTGCTTCTTGCTGATCACAACTGTGTCTCTAGGAATGCACATTCAGTGGTGCTTTAAGACTGCTCCCTCACCTGAAAATTTACCTGTCACTTGACATTCCAAATTGACTGAATAAGCAAAGTTCAGTCATTCGGAAATACTGAATACATGCTATGCCATGCTGACATATACAGGTGTGCCAATAAGTCAGTATTTATTTTTTTTTATTGGGAGCTTTCTAGAACCACTTCTAGTAACACTCACTACCAAAAGTACTCCAATATTAGGAATACGACAGCTGAATTATTCATTCGTGCATTCGACATTTTTTAAATGAATGCTAACCGTGTAGCAGACATTGAGCTGACCACTGGGCATAGAGTTGGGCACAAATGTAGACATTGTTTCTGATGGTGTAGTTCATGTTTTTGGAGAAGTAAGCCTTTTTGTTTCTTGTGAATCATATAAATTCAAAAAATTATTCAAACTGACACGTTGCAGGACAGTTTTGCACTATAAGAGTGGGGTTTAGTGTTTTAAAATCTTGTTCTGCCTGCAGAGTGCTTCTAAGAACCCAATAGTGCCTGTTGGTTCACTGACCAAAGTCTCACAATAAATTATACAGATCCACACTTATCAAGTGCTTTATTTTTCTTTCCATCTCTAGCCAGTTCTAGGTAAATAAAGATGAAGCTAGTAAGTTAAGGAAGTTTGAGACAACAAGTCATGGTTATAAAGGACGACTTGAGTGAACAGTCTCATCCAACTTTGTTCCCTTTTCCTAAATCAACTAGATTTCCTTAAGTCTCTCAAAAACCCAGATTCTGAGCTGATGAGATTAAAGGTGGGCCTGCTCTTCATAGACTCTTATTGGTTATGTTCTGTAGGGACGGGGGTGATCCCTTGCCAGCAGCAATTTCTCATAATTTCTTCCTTGCCTGCAGGTTTGAGGCCCACAGAAAGCTGTGTGTGACCCAGGCCTTTCTGTAAGTCAGCTAACAATCACCCAATCCACTGGAGAAAACTGATTGTGTCAAAACTCATGAAGAGATTCACGTTGATCAATGTCTCACTGAAGTCAAGTTTCACACAAAACTGCCCCAAGCTGGAATTAAATGTCAAGTACAATTTAGCACTGATGCTCTAGCAGTGCTTTTGGAAAGTGAGGCTCGTTCTTGATTCTGCATGTTAGACTCCTTCCCCCATGGCAGGATTTCCTGGCTAAGTGATCAGGGCCTGGCAAGCTGCCACACCACAAATCTCTTGGTAAGATCTGCAAAAGTGAGAACTTGGTGCTCAGGGCTGCTCTGAGGCTGTGGATCCTGTCAAGTCTAGAAGGGAAATGTCCTGGGTAAGAAAACAGAGAGATGCAGTGTGTCAGGTCTGATTTACATAAGCCTGTGGCATTGATTGGGGAGCCTGAAATGGTAACTTTCTGGAATGTATCCTATTAGGAACAGAGGACGACTCACAGGGAGTTGGAGGGGAAGGCTGCTGTGTGCCATACATGACCAGGTTTCAAAGCCTCCATGACTGAGTTCTGCCTAACTTCTTGCACTAAGCCCAGTAATGGTCTTTACATGCTTTCTAATCTAGTCAAAGAGCTAGTTTGCTCTGTAAAAGCCGTGTCTTCCTTGTGCCTGTTCTTCCTTTTCCTGTATCTTCCCTTCTGCATATATTAAGTTCTATCATTCTTCAATGCCCAGATCAAATGTCACTTCCTTCATAAATCTTCCATTGATTCCTGCAGCTTTAAGGAATTTCTCATCCCCTGAACTGCTGTAGAACCTAACCATATCATTTTTATGTCATGTTTACTTCCATTTTGCACTATAGTCATTTATTTTTGTGTTTTATCTTCCCCATTGTAAAGATAGTTTCAGAATCCGTTTTTTCCTAACCTCTTAGAAGAGGTTAGAAAACCACTTAGATCTTCTTTTTCTAACCTCAAAGCCTGATCTCTAACAAAAGAAACTCAATTTTTGCTTTGTAAGTTTGTAATTAAGACTTCTTACGTTTGTACAGTGCTTAACAGTTTAAAAAGTAATTTCATATAACTCTTATTTGATTCTTCCAGCAACCAAACAGAGTTAATCAACTCTTAAAGATCAATAATCTTAAGAACTAGAAAAACTAAGACCACTGTTCAGGATAACACAGCTGGGGAGTGGCAGACCTGAACTCAGAACCTCTTCTATTTCTTATTTTCAGTTTTTCTTTATTATATATATATCTCTTTATATTTTTATGTGTATATTTTCTCTATATTCTCTCTCTCTCTCTCTCTCTCTATATATATATATATATGTATATATATATGTGTATATATATATATATATACACATATATATATACATATATATATATATATAAAATCTAGGAAGAACTTGTAACTCCAACTTTGGGGCTCTTTTTATTACCCACAGTGGTTCACGAGCTTTAGTAAATGCCCCTAAATTGGAATTGCTTTTGATGCCTGAGGCATGATCTTGAAATATCCTTAAAGAAACAACATATTCTTCTCTGGGAAGCACTGCTATTCTAAGCAAGCACCTGAGAACCTAGTGCTGATCCAAATGAGCAAATCTATTTAGTAAAATTGAAGATGTGACTCTAAAGTCAAGAGACTGGTTCTGTACATTTGTTTGTGTGTGTCATGAGTGTGACTTACAAAAAGAGGTTTCCAAAGTGCCTTGAACCATAGCAGCATTTTGGGGTTGACCAAGGCAGCTGACGGGGAAATAAACATGTCCCAAGCTAGTTATTTAGAGTGGACTATATATCTATCAAGAAATCTATCCCATCGCTAGACAGACATCGAATATTTTTACTCAAAAGCTCACTGGGTAGGAAAGAGAAGTTACAAAGAGAAGAAAGTAGAAGACAGACTTTGCCCTTGACTGGTTTATGAACAAGGTGGAAAGACACGACTGGCAAGAAGCAAGTATACCTCTTGAGTTCTCTAGGATAGTCTTTTCACTCATTTTATCCATGTGATCATTCATCTGATCACATCATGGGTTCAGACTGTTGGTCATCAAAGTATTAGACTCTGGTTCCTTGCTTGCTGTCTTAGGTTTGGAATTGCAGTAGACAGGTGTGGAGAGATTCTCAGTGCTGGGAACAGCCCTTTTCAACGGCATCTTAATCACCATGGACAATTGCCATGAATGCTCTCTGCTTTTCCTGCTAGCACCTGCAGGAGAGTCTGTTTCCTGATACTCACTTAATGCCAGACCACATGCTGGCAAAGAGTCTATTTGCATGAATTCTTTGTGAAAATGTGTAGTTGTTACATTTTAAGTTTAAGCTTATTGTTGGATTAACAGTTTTTATTGTGTTATAATATATATTGTGTTATAATAACAGTTTTAATGTGTTATAACATGAAAATTTTTAAAATACATGAACCTTTCAGAAAATGATGACAAAGCAAACATTTTGCATTCACCACTCAATTTAAAAACTAGAACATTAATAACTGAAAAGCCCTCTTTGTGCCCTGCCAGATCACTCCCCAGAAATAGTTACTATTCTGAATTTTGTTTTACTATTTTCTTGTTTTTTAAACAACTTCTCACTGATATATAAATTCATAAGAAACAGGTTTTCGGTTTTACTTGTCTTCAAATTTCATATGAACTTTATCACGGTGTGTGTATCAGGCTGTGACTTGCTTCTCCTGCTCTAAAATTTTGCTATTGGAATTTTTCCATGTTAATGTTATAGGTAATTTATTAACATTATTTCTCTTTTAGAAATGTGCCATAGTTTATTTTTCCATGTTATTGTCCATAGATTTTTTTTTCTCTTTACTATCATGGACAGTTTTGCTTTGGACATTTGCACGTGTATCTTGTTACACGCACATACAAAAATTTATCTCTAGAGCGTGTAAATGTGTAGGAGTAAAATTTCTAGTCATAAAATGTAAACATGTTTAGATTCACTAGGTAATGTTGAATTTATTCAGTGTGGGTGCACCAACTATACTCCTATTATTAATGAATGGCATTTCTTTCTGCTTTATATCCTTGCCACCTCTTGGTGTTTTCAACTTTTCAAATTTTTGCCAATCTAGTGGGTATAAAATTACATACCACTGTGGTGTTTTAGTTTTTATTTTTTCTATCTGAATTAGAAAGGAAGAAGAAAAAATTGCCTCAGTTTGCAGATAATATAATTTTATGTATAGAATAGAAAGCTCTAAAGAACACTCACACACACACACACACACACACACACACACAGTTAGATCTTGTAAATGAATTCAGCAAAGCTGCTGGATACAAAATCAACATACAAAAATTAGTTGCATTTCCATACTAATAATGAATAATCAAAATGAAAATTAAGAAAACAATTCTATTGACAATAGCATCAAAAAGAGTGAATTATTCAGAAATAAATGTAACCAAGGAGGTGAAAGACTTGTACACTGAAAACTATAAAACATTGCTGGAAAAAATTAAAGAAGACATAAATAAATGAAAACATATCTTGCGTTCATGGATTTGAAGGCATAACACTGTTGAAATGTAGATACTAACCAAGGCCATCCCCAGATTCGATGCACTCTCTATCAAAACCCAATGGAGTTTTTTGCAGCCGTAGAAAAATCCATTCTAAACTTCATATGGAATGTAAGGCACCCTTAGTGGTCAAAATAATCTTTAAAAAGAAGAATAAAATTGTACATCTCATACTTGCTACAAAGCTATAATAATCAAAACAAGTGTGGTACTGGCATAAAGGTGGACATATATTACCAATGGCATAGAATAGAGAACCCAGAAACACACATTCTTTTGTATATAGTCAAATGATTTTTAACAAGGTTGCCAAGACCATGCAATGGGAAAAGATAGATTTTCAACAAATAGTTCTGGGAAAATTTGATGTCCACGTGCAAAAAAAAAAAAAAAAAAAAATGGAGTTGGACCTTTAGCTTATATAATATTCAAAAATTGAGTCTAAAAAAAAGATTCCTGGGCAAGATGATTGAATAGGAACAGCTGTGGTCTGCAACTGCCAGTGAGACCAATGCAGAAGGCAGGTTATTTCTTCATTTCCAACTGAGGTACCTGGTTCATCTCATTGGGACTGGTTAGATAGTGAGTGAAGCCCAGGGAAGGCAAGCAGAAGCAAGGTGGGGCATCACCTCACCTGGGAAGGGCAAGGGGTAAGGGAACTCCCTCCCCTAGCCAAGGGAAGCCATGAGGGACCGTGCCGTGAAGGATGGTGCTATCTGGCCAAGATACTGTGTTTTCCCCATGGTCTTTGCAACCCACAGACCAGGAGAGTCCCTCAGGTGCCTACACCACAAGGGCCCTGGGTTTCAAGCACAAAACTGGGCGGCCATTTGGGCAGACACTGAGCTAACTGCAGGAATTTTATTTTTTGTACCCCAGTGACACCCGGAATGCCAGTGAGACTGAACCGTTCACTCACCTGGAAAAATGGCTGAAGCCAGGGAGCAAAGTGGTCTTGATTAGGGGATCCCACCACCACAAAGCCCAGCAAGCTAAGATCCACTGGCTTGAAATTCTGGCTGCCAGCACAGCAGTGTGAAGTCAACCTGGGGTGCTCCAGCTTAGTGGGTTGAGGGGCTCCTGGCATTACTGAGGGTTGACCAGGCAATTTTCCCCTCACAGTGTAAACAAAGCCACCAGGAAGTTTAGACTGGATGGAGCCCAGTGCAGCTTGGAAAAGCTGCTGTAGTCAGACTGCCTCTCTAGATTCCTCCTCTCTGGGAAGTGCATCTCTGAAAGAAAGGCAGCATCCCCAGTCACGGGCTTATAGATAAAACTCCCATTTCCCTGGGACAGAGCACCTGGGGGAAGGGGTGGCTGTGGATGCAGCTTCAGCAGACTTATACATTCCTGCCTGCCAGCTCTGAAGAGAGTAACAGATCTCCCAGCACTGTGCCTGAGCTCTGCTAAGGAACAGACTGCCTCCTCCCGTGCCTTCTGACTGGGAGACACATCTCAGCAGGGGTTGATAGACCCCTTTTACAGGAGAGCTCCAGCTGGCATCTGACGGGTGCCCCTCTGGGGAAATTAAGGCAGAAATAAATAAGTTCTTTGAAACCAATGAGAACAAAGACACAATGTACCAGGATCTCTGGGACACAGCTAAAACAGTGTTTAGAGGGAAATTTATAGCACTGAATGCCCACATGAGAAAGCAGGAAAAGATCTAAAATTGAAACCCTAACATCACAATTAAAAGAACTAGAGAAGCAAGAGCAGACAAATTTAAAAGCTAGCAGAAGACAAGAAATAACTAAGATCAGAGCAGAACTGGAGGAGATAGAGACACGAAAAACCCTTAAAAAAATCAATGAACCCAGGAGCTGTTTTTTTGAAAAGATTAACAAAATAGACCACTAGCCAGACTAACAAAGAAAAAGAGGGAAGAATCAAATAGACACGATAAAAAATGATAAAGGGGATATTACCACTGATCCCACAGAAATACAAACTACCATCAGAGAATACTATAAACACCTCTATGCAAATAAACTAGAAAACACAGAAGAAATGGATAAATTCCTGGACACATACGCCATCCCAACACTAAACCAGGGAGAAATCAAATCCCTGAATAGACCAATAACAAGTTCTGAAATTGAAGCAGTAATTAAAATTCTACCAACCAAAAAAAAAAAAAAAAAGCCCAGGACCAGAAAGATTCACAGCTGAATTCTACCAGAGGTACAAACAGGAGCTTGTACCATTCCTTCTGAAACTATTCCAAGCAATAGCAAAAGGACTCTTCCCTAACTCATTTTATGAGGCCAGCATCATCCTAATACCAAAACCTGGCAGAGACAAAACAAAAAAAGAAAATTTCAGGCCAATATCCCTGATGAATATTGATGTGAAAATCCTAAATAAAATACTGGCAAACTGAATCCAGCAGCACATTAAAAAGCTTATCCACCACAATCAAGTTGGCTTCATCCCTGGGATGCAAGGCTGCTTCAACATATGCAAATCAATAAATGTAATCCGTCACATAAACAGAACCAATGACAAAAACAACTTGATTATCTCAGTAGATACAGAAAGAAGCCTTTGATAAAATTTAACACCGCTTCATATTAAAAACACTAAATTAACTAGGTATTGATGAACCATATCTCCAAATAATAAGAGCAATTTATGACAAACCCACAGTCAATATCATACTAAATTGGCAAAAGTTGGAAGTATTCCCTTTGAGAACAAGCACAAGACAAGGATGCCCTCTATCACCACTCTTATTCAAAATAGTATTGGAAGTTCTGGCCAGGGCAATCAGGCAAGGGAAAGAAATAAAGGGTATTCAAATAGGAAGAGGGGAAGTCAAATTATCTCTGTTTGCAGATGACATGATTGTATATTTAGAAAACTCCATCATCTCAGCCCCAAAACTCCTTAAGCTGATAAGCAACTTCAGCAAAGTCTCAGGATACAAAATCAAAAAATGTGCAAAAATCACAAGTATTTCTATACACCAATAATAGATAAACAGAGAATCAAATCATGAGTGAACTGCCATTCACAATTGCTACAAAGAGAATAAAATACCTAGGAAAACAACTTACAAGGGATGTCAAGGACCTCTTCAAGAAGAACTACAAACCACTGCTCAAAGAAATAAGAGAGGACACAAACAAATCAAAAAACATTCCATGCTCCTGGATAGGAAGAATCAATATCGTGAAAATGGCCATACTGCCCAAAGTAATTTATAGATTCAATGCTATTCCCTTCAAGCTACCATTGATTTTCTTCACAGAACTAGAAAAAACTACTTTAAATTTCATATGGAACCATAAAAGAACTCATATAGCCAAGACAATCCTAAGCAAAAAGAACAAAGCTGCAGGCATCACACTACCTGACTTCAAACTATACTACAAGTCTACAGTAACCAAAACATCATGGTACTGGTTCCAAAACAGATATATAGACCAATGGAACAGAACAGAAGCCTCAGAAATAACACCACACATCTACAACCATCTGATTTCTGACAAACCTGACAAAAACAAGCAATTGGGAAAGCATTCCCTATTTAATAAATGGTATTGGGAAAACTGGATAGCCTTATGCAAAAAACTGAAACTAGACCCCTTCCTTATAACTTATACAAAAATCAACTCAAGATGGATTAAAGATTTAAACATAAGACTTAAAACCATAAAAACCCTAGAAGAAAATCTAGGCAATACTATTCAGGATATAGGCATGGGCAAAGACTTCATGACTAAAACACCAAAAGCAATTGTTACAAAAGCCAAAATTGACAAACGGGATGTAATTAAACTAAAGAGCTTCTGCAAAGCAAAAGAAACTATCATCAGAGTGAACAGGCAACCTACAGAATGGGAGAAAATTTTTGCAATCTATCCATATGACAAAGGACTAACATCCAGAATCTACAAGGAACTTAAACAAATTTACAAGAAAAAAAACAACAACCCCATCAAATAGTGGGCAAATGATATGAACAGACACTTTTCAAAAGAAGACATTTATGTGGCCAACCAATATGAAAAAAAAGCTCATCATCTCTGGTCATTAGAGAAATCCAAATCAAAACCACAATGAGATACCATCTCATGCCAGTTAGAATGGCGATCGTTAAAAAGTCAGGAGACAACAGATGCTGGAGAGGATGTGGAGAAATAGGAACACTTTTACACTGTTGGTGGGAGTGTAAATTAGTTCAACCACGGTGGAAGACAGTGTGGCAATTCCTCAAGGATCTAGAACTAGAAACACCATTTGACCTTGCAATCCCATTACTGGGTATATTCCCTAAGGATTATAAATCATTCTATTATAAAGACACATGCACACATATGTTTGTTGTGGCACTACTCACAATAGCAAAGACTTGGAACCAACCCAAATGCCCATCAATAATAGACTGTATGAAGAAAATGCAACACATATACACCACAGAATACTATACAGCCATAAGAAAGAATGATTTCATGTCCTTTGCAGGGACATGGATGAAGCTGGAAACCATCATTCTCACCAAACTAACACAGGAACAGAAAAACAAACACTGCATGTTCTCACTCATAAATGGGAGTTGAACAATGGGAATATATGGGCACAGGGAGGGGAACATGACACACTGGGGCCTGTTGGAGGGTTGGGAGCATGGAAAGGGATAGCATTAGATGAAATACCTAATGCAGATGATGGGTTGATGGGTGCAGCAAACCACCAGGCACATGTATACCTATGTAACAAACTTGCATGGTCTGCACATGTATCCTAGAACTTAAAGTATAATAAATAAATATAAAAAATAAAAAAACAGTTGTGACAGCCATATAAGCTCTGCCTTCACAAGACATGGAAGACTCCCACAAAGACTTCCCTGAATGTTGAGCTGAGTATTGAGGGTTGAGTAGATCATCATTGGAAAAGAGGGAGCCTCTGAGACAGGGGAAATCAAATGTGCAAAGGCAGCAAGGTACAGGTTACCAAGTTGTATCAATTTTACACCAAACATGCCTGGTTGCCCTCCCCTCCTTTCTACACATATGGCCATTCTCCTAATTCCCTAATTCGGGCCTTATGTGTGAATCAACTGAACCACTGCAGAACGTTCCCTCCTGCTTGAACAATTCCCCCTCCCTACTGCTGCCTACAGTACAGGCTGATAACCCTGTTTCCTGTGGTATAAATACATAACTGACACATGCTCTGACAGCACCCCTCCCCCACCATGAATAATCATGTCCCCAATTCATACCAAGGTACCCTAGCTTTCTAGCCTTGTCTGTACTTCATACTAACCTGACTCTACCTACAAATCTACTTGTCAAGTTCCCAGCCCACTGGACTACTTGCAGTTGTCCAGTTGTCCAGTTCTATCTCTCACTTCCATGTTTCCATGTTTTTGGTCACTGTATTAGCTACCTATTCCACAATAATGCTATGAGACAAATAACCACACACTTCAGTGGCAAACAACAGTAGGCATTTACTGCTCATGTATCCACAGTCAGAAACTAGGTAGCACTGCTGATCTTAGCTTGACACACTCATAAGTCTGGGGCATAAGTTCCAACCAGAGGCTGTTTTGCCCCTCGGGGGCATTTGGCAATGTCTGGAGATATTTTTGGTTGTCACACCTTTGGCGGTGGGGTGGGGGGGGGGGTACTACTGGGATCTGGTGAGTAGAGGCCAGGGATGATGCCATCCATAAATGAACAGCTCCCCACAACAAATAATGATCCAACCCCTAACTTCAAAGTGCTTCTACGGAGAAACTTCACTGTAGGTGCTGGCTGGCTATTAGCTGATCTAGGATAGCCTTCTCTGGGGCAAGTGGGGCAACTTGGCTGTGTCCAAGTCTCTCCTCCTCCAGCAGGCTATCTGGGGCATCTTGTCATAGTGACGGCAGAGGAGCAATAATGAGCAGAATTACCCAAGGCGTCTTACAGCCTAATCTTGAAATAGGCTCCTCATTACTTCTGCTGCATTCCACTGGCCAAAGCAAGTCAGAGGGCCAGTCCAGATTCAAGGAGTCAGGAGACAGACTCCACCTCTTCAGGGAGAAGAACTGCAGTCACTTGGCAATGGGTGTGTATACAGGAGAGGATGGAAAACTCGTATAGCCAACTACATCAATTCAGCTCCCTCTGCGAGGGAAGCACGAATGTGGAATTATAAAAGTGGCCCCCCTCTCTCTACTCCCTCTAGTTTACATTCCTCTTTGGGTGTTTAAAATATTGCACTTGGTATTACCTATACTCAGGGCTGACAGACAGCTGGTATTCACCATGGCAGGGGCTACTGTGACTGGGTCTGCTCGGATTGGTTGGTGCTGTGCTGTACAGTTATTAAAGTTTCGTTACCTTGTCTTCCACTTATTTGTGCACTTGTTTGTCTCCTCTACTGGGACAGAGAATCACTCACTGGGTGCTGGAATCTATATTAAGATATTAGTTTAAGAATAAGGTTAAGATCTTCCTTGGGCATTCAGTGCCTTGGACATTAAATATACATACCTGGCACACAGTAAGTGTTCAAGGTCTGTTTATTGAATAAATGAATAAATGAGGACATTTATACAAAGGAAAAAAATAACTCTAAATGGATCAAAGATCTAAATATAAAAGCTAATACTATAAAACCATTAGAAGAAAACATAGAGAAAAGCTTCATGACACTGAATTTGTCAATGATTTCTTGGCTCTGATGCCAAAAGCATGGGTAACAAAAGTTAAAATAAGTGAATTGGCCTACATCGAAATAAAAAAACTTCTGTGTATCAAAGGACATAATCAACAGGGTGAAAATATAACCTATGAAATGAGAGAAAATATTTGAAAATCATATATCTGATAAGGGATTAGTAACCAAAATATATAAAGAACTAAAATTCAATAACAAAAAAAATCAAAAATGGGCAAAACTTGAATATGCATTTCTTTAAGGAAGATATACAAATGACCAATAGGCACATAAAGAAAGATGCCGGCCATTGCTAATCATTAGGGGAATGCAAATCACAAACACACTGAGATACCATGTCAATCCCATTAAAGTGGGGTGGCTATTTAAAAAAACACACAGAAAATAACAGTTGGTGAGGATGAAGAGAACTTGGTCTTTGTGCATCTTACTTGGGAATGTAAAAAGGTGTAGCCACTATGGAAAGTAGTATGGAAGTTACTGAAAATGGTAAAGATAGAATTACCATATGATCCAGAGGTGTCACTACTGTGTATATATAAAAAAATTGGGAGCAGCATCAAAAGAGATATTTCTACACCTATACATAGCAGCATTATTCACAATAACTAAAACATCCATGCAACCCAAGTTTTCGTTGATGGATGAATAGATAAATGAAATGTGGTATATAAAAACAATGGAATTTAGTCAGCCTAAAAAGGAAGGAAATTATGATACATGCAATAACATAGATGGATCTTGAGGACATTATGCTAAGTAAAATGAGCAAGTCCCAAAAAGAAAAATATTGTATGAGGTACCTAGAATAGTCAAATTTGTAGAGACAGGAAGTAGAATGGTTGCTGCTGGGGCTGGAGGGAGGGGAGAATGGAGAGTTCTTGTTTAAAGGATATAGAGTTTCAGTTTTGCAATATGAAAAGAGTTCTGAAATTGATTGAACAACATTTTGAACATACTTAACACTTCTGAACTGTACACTTAAAAATAAGATGATACATGTGATCTCATTGTTCAATTCCCACCTATGAGTGAGAATATGCGGTGTTTGGTTTTTTGTTCTTGCGATAGTTTACTGAGAATGATGATTTCCAATTTCATCCATGTCCCTACAAAGGACATGAACTCATCATTTTTTATGGCTGCATAGTATTCCATGGTGTATATGTGCCACATTTTGTAACTAACCTGCACAATGTGCACATGTACCCTAAAACTTAAAGTATAATAAAAAAAAGAAAAAAGATGATACATTTTGTTTGTGCATTTCACCATATATTTTTTTTTTTTTTTTTTTTTTTGCTAAAGAGGTAATGAGGACCAAACTTTTTATCTTTGCATCTGGCATAGGACTTAAAAGTTCCTTGCTTATAGTAAATGTTAATGAAATGTTTTGATTGAATAAAACAATGAAAGCTGAATCACAGCAATGTTAATAGGGTTGATGTTTGGATGTAAGACAACACAATAGTGGTCTTATTTCTTATTTTTCTCCTTCACATGGTAAAGAGAGAGATCTATTCTGTGGACCAACCAGAGTTTGCTGTGGAAAAGGTAGATAATAAAAGCCTACCTTTCTTTTTGCTAACTCTGATGCCATGAAATTGTAATGTTGGCATTTCCTGTTTCTACATAGTTACTTCAACTACAAAGATGCATTGGGCCAGGCAGGAGGCATAAACTAACTTTACTTTGTGACTCATCAAGTAAAAACCAGTATTAGCAATTACGGAGCATGTCATTTGGCAGGCAGTTTTATCCATTTTAATGTATTATCTCATTTAATCCAAAATAAGTATGAGAAATAACATTATCCCCTCATTTAATAGATGAAGAAACTGAGACACATAAGGGTTTAATATCTTAAGGCCACAGAGTTAATATTTGAAGTAGGTAGTCTGATTTTGGAGTCTCTAATGTGATGCCTTTAAATTTGTTCTTTTTGCTTAGTGTTGTTATGGCTATACAAGCTCTCTTTTGGTTCCATATGAATTTTAGGAATTTTTTTCTAGTTCTGTGAAGAATGATGATGGTATTTTTATGGGCATTGCAATGAATTTATAAATTGCTTTTGGCAGTATGGTCATTTTCACAATATTGATTCTACCCATCCCTGAGCATAGAATGTGTTTCTATTTGTTTGTGTCATCTATGATTTCTTTCAGCAGTGTTTTGTTGTTTTTCTTGTAGAGATCATTCACCACCTTGGTTACATATATTCCTAAGTACATGATTTGTTTTGTTTTGTTTTGTTATGTTTTTGCAGCTGTTGTAGAAGGGATTGGGTTCTTGATTTGAGTCTCAGCTTGGTCACTGTTGGTGTATAGCAGTGCTACTAGTTTGTGTACACAGATTTTGTGTCCTGAAACTTTATTGAATTCATTTATCAGATCTAGGAGCTTTTTGGATGAATCTTTAGGGTTTACAATCATATCATCAGTGAGCAGCAACAGCTTGACTTCCTCTTTACTGATTAGGATGCTCTTTATTTCTTTCTTAAAAGCAAGGAACTTTTAAGTCCTGTACCAGATGCAAATTTTAGTAATTTGGAATGCTCTGGCTAGCACTTCCAGAGCTATATTGTATATAAGTGGTGAGAGTGGGCATTCTTGTCTTGTTCCAGTTCTCAGGGGTAATGCTTTCAACTTTTCCCCATTCAATGTAATGTTGGCTGTGGGTTTGTCATAGATTGCTTTTATTACCTTAAGATATACCCTTTCTATGCAAATTTTGCTAAGGATTTTAATCATAAAGTGATGCTGAATTTTGTCAAATGGTTTTTCTGTGTTTATTGAGATAATCATATTATTTTTGTTTTTAATTTTGTTTATGTGGTGTATTGTGTTTATTGACTTGGACATGTTAAATCATCCCTGCATCCCTGATAGGAAACCAACTTGATCATAATGGATTGTCTTTTTAACATGCTGTTAGATTCGGTTGGCTGTTATCTTGTTGAAAATTTTGGATACAGGTTTATCAGGGATATTGGTCTGTAGTTTTTTGTGTTTTTTCTTGTTGTTATTGTTGTTGTTATGTCCTCTCCTGGTTTTGGCATTAGGGTAACATTGGCTCCATAGAATGATTTAGAGAGGATTCCCTCTTTCTCTATCTTATGGAATAGTGTCAATAGGATTGGTACCAATTCTCCTTGGAATGTCTGATAGAATTCAGTTGTGACTCCATCTGATCCTGGACTTATTTTGTTGGTAATATTTTTATTACCATTTCAATCTCACTGCTTGTTATTGACCTGTTCAGAGTTTCTATTTCTTCCTGGTTTAATCTAGGAAGGCTGTATATTTCCAGGAATTCATCCATCTCCTCTAGGTTTTCTAGTTTATGCGCATAAAGGTGTTCATAGTAGCCATGAATGATCTTTTGTATTTTTGTGGTATCAGTTGTAATATCTCTCATTTCATTTCTAATCGAGCTTATTTGGATCTTCTCTTTTCTTTTCTTGGTTATTCTCACTGATGATCTATCAATTTTACTTATTTTTTCAAAGAACCAGCTTTTGTTTCATTTATCTCTTGTATTGTTTTTTGTTGTTGTTTCAATTTTATTTAGTTCTGTTCTGATCTTTGTTATTTCTTTTCTTCTACTGGGTTTGGGTTTAGATTGTTCTTGTTTCTCTAGTTCCTTGAGGTGTGACCTTACATTGTCTATATTTGCTCTTTCAGACTTTTTGATGTAGGTATTTAAGGCTATGAACATTCCTCTCAGCACCGCTTTTGCTTTATTCCAGAGGTTTTGATAGGTTGTGTCACTATTATTGTTCAGTTCAAAGAATTTCTAAATTTCCATCTTGATTCCTTTGTTGACCCAAAGATCATTCAGGAGCAGATTATTTAATTCCCATGTATTTGTATAGTTTTGAGGGTTACTTTGGGAATTAGTTTCTAATTTTATTCCACTGTGGTCTGAGACAGTACTTGATATAATTTTCATTTTCTTTGGGACTTGTTTTGCAGCCTGTTATATGGTCTATCTTGAAGAATGTTCGATGTGTCAATGAAAAGAATGTATATTCTTCAGTTGTTGGGTAGAATGTTCTGTAAATACTTGTTAAGTCCATTTGTTCTAGGGTATAGTATAAGTTCATTGTTTTTCTTTGTTGACATTCTGTTTTGGTGACGTGTCTAGTGCTATCAGTAGAGTATTGAAGTCCCCCACGATTATTGTGTTACTGTCTATAACATTTCTTAGGTCCGGTAGTAATTGATTTATAAATTTGGGAACTCCAGTGTTTCATATATATAACACAGCACATCATATCAGTGCATATGCTCTCAGGTTGAGTTATCACTGATGACATTAAATTTTTTTAATCACATAAATTTTTATTATAATTTGACTGAAATATTTTTGCAAAAGGTGGCATTTAAATATGCATCTGAATTAAGGCAAAATAAAACTTACCTTAATTTTTAAGGTCATCTTTAAGAGGGAAAAATAGTCACTTTACAGAGATTAGGCAGACACCACCTTAACCAAAGTGATTGAAATTGATGTCACCAGGAATAAGACATATGAACACCATGTACCCCCAATATGATGCACTGAGAAGAGCACAATGTCACATCTGGGGTATTCTTGCTAAAATGCATAACCTTGAATGGACGCGGTGGCTCCTGCCTATAATCCTAGCACTTTGGGACTCTAAATCCTTTCGTACTTTTAGTAAAGATGGGGTTTCACCATGTTGGCCAGGCTCGTCTCGAACTCTGGTGATGTTAATTTTGATTACCCAGCCAAAGTAATGTCAACAGTATTTTCTAGTGTAAAGTTAATTTTCCCCATCTCTATATTTTTTACAAGGAAATCACAAAGTTCAGTTAATACTCCAGGAGGAAGGAAATTAAACTTCATCTCTTGGAAGCTAGGGGGTTAGCTACATAAATTATTTGGAATTTTTTTTTGTAGAGAAGATTTGTCTGTTTTCCCTTACTAATTTATTCATGTCAGCATGAAATCATATACATTTGTTTTATGCTTTGTGTAATAACTCAATACTATGTTATTTATTTTGTTTCTCAAATTGCTCCAGCTTTGATCATTGGGAGTTCCTCCAGGTTGATTCCTGTGTCCATTTGAAATGCCCTCATCTCTATGTTTTTTGAGCACTTACTTTCTGTCATTATTAGATGCTCCAGTCTCACCTTCTATTTTCTTTCTTGGTTCTAGAATCAGTCACTTCTCCCAGGGTTTTGATTCCTTTATTGGGGAATGGCATTCAGAAATCAGGATCTGATTGTGAATGCTTTATTTATTA
Source organism: Homo sapiens (assembly GCF_000001405.40). Taxonomy (NCBI): domain Eukaryota; kingdom Metazoa; phylum Chordata; class Mammalia; order Primates; family Hominidae; genus Homo; species Homo sapiens. The sequence continues at coordinate 118,770,240 of NC_000001.11, read as the reverse complement.
CTTACTTTATTTTCTGTCTATTACTAATTTTTCTCAAATGTTCCAATGGATCTGCCAGCTGTCTTTTAATTTTATTTCCAAAATCTCAAACAAGTATATATGTTGTCAGTTCTATTTTCCTTTAGACACCTGTCTCCTAGAGTCATGTGTCCTCTTGATTCCATTTGGCTTTTATTCCAGACCTGCTTCATTGCTGTCTTGCCATGCTTTTCTTTTTTGTCATAATAGAATTTTTCCTTGTTACTAAATTATAATAGAGTTTCTTTCTGCTGGATCCCCAATATGATTGCTTTTTGGTTTTACTGGAACATATAGTCACTTGCTGGTTAACATACTTGGTATATATTTCTAAAAAGGAACATAGGAGATAAAATTTCTTATTGTAAGTCTTAAAATGTATTTATTCTATTCTCACACTAAGTGGATAGATTGCTGTGAATCTGAATATATATTTTTCTCAACTTTATTTTAGTTTCAGGGGTTGTACGTGCAGGTTTGTTACCTGGGTAAATTGCATGTTGCTGGGGTTTGTTGTACAAATGATCTCATCACCCACGTAGTGAGCATAGCACCTAATAGGTAGTTTTTCAACCCTCACTCGCTCCCACTCACCCTGCTTCAAGTAGTTCCCAGTGTCCAGTGTCTGTTATTTCCATCTTTATGCTTATGTGTACAAATGTTTAGCTCCTACTTATAGCATCTGAATGTTTAAGGCATTATTCCACTATATATGTATTCGATTTTCCTTTGTCTACAGTAGTTGCTATTGAATAGTCTGAAGTCACTCTGATTTCCTATTTATATGTCATTTGTTATTTTTTTCCTCTTGCAATACTTTAAATGTTTTTATTCATTTTATTTTTTTTTGACTCATGATAATGCCCAGAGTGGAGCATTCTAATCTGGAGACTCATGTCTTTCAGTTCTGAGGAATTGTTTTTTGTTGTTGTTGTTTGTTTAGCAGTTCTATTTTCCTCCTTTTCTGCCTCCTCTTTATTTGGAGCTACAGTTAGTTAAATGTTCCTGAATTAATTTTCTTTTATCTTTTATTGTCTTTTATTTTGACATTATTTTCTTTATTTTCTGAGGTATTTCCTTGACTATATTGCACCATGCTTCTATTTAAATTATTATATTAACTTTCCTAAAATAATGTTTTGACAATTCTTTTTATCTGTCATTTTGTCTCTCTCTCTCTTTGTTCACTCAGTTCCCTCTTCATGGTATCCCATTTGTTTTATAGATGCATTGTCTTATCTTCGGTTTATGAAGATATCAATGGTAATATTTTCCCAACCACTAGTCAAATTGTTTCTACACAGAATTTTTGGTTGAAAGTCATTATTTCAGAATTTTAAGGCATTATTCTTTTTCTAGCTTTAGTGGTTATTGGTGAGAAGTCTGATATTACTCTGATTTACAGTTGTTTGTACATAATCTAGATTTTCCCTATCTACTAGAAACCCTTCTTTATCTCTGGCTTTCTGAAATTTCATATTATATGTCCCTTTCCTTTATAGTATAGGGCACATAGTGGTGCCTCAATCTGAACACATATTTTATCTATAGATATAAATAACAATAATAACTCCTAACTTTTACTGAGTGACTGCTAAGTGAGCCCTCTATAGTAAGCAGTATGACATGGCAACTCAGAAAAGTTGTGCCAGCTACCAACAGCCAATTGAAGGGAGATTCAAATATTTACTGAGACTTTTTTGGGGTGTTGCTATATCTGAGTGAATTAATCATTGGGGAGACAATTTTGCTGGATGTTAAGTATACTGCAAAGTGCAAAACTGGGAAAAAGAATGGAAAGCACTCCAGTTCAGTCATGTGTAACATATTTTTAATAAATTGTCATTCAACTGAAGTGACTGGTCTTTCTGAGTAAAGCTTTTTGATCATAAGTCAAAATTACTAGGGAGTTAACGGTACTTCTCTAGAATAACCTTCTGAATTATCCAAAATAAGCATTTAAACACAGGCACTTAATGCTGAGTAATTAATGTCTGTCTGGATAACCCAGCAGCTAATGAGGTGGGGTGTAGCAGGGGCATACTGAGTCACTGGAGAGCCCCAGAGGGCTGGCTGTGAAAATAGCCCTGAACTTGCCAGGGTTTTTGGTAATAGCTGGAAAATTTTTATAGGTGATTCATTATTGACTTCTTGCCTAAAGATATATTGGCTGTAGACAAGTTTTCGTGTGCCCTATTATATTGCAGGTACAAATGCATCTTTAGATAAATTGTGACAATCAACTTATACATCCTCTATGGGCAAAACTTTCGAAAGTATAAAGCTCTGTAGTAAATTAGACTTCAGCTGAGATATAGATTTGGCCTGAAACCCCAAATCATTGAGTAGATAATCTTTGGTGTCTCCCTTTTATGAAACATTTATTTCCCTTTTAAATAATCCTTTTGCACACTTCCCAGCCCCTGATATTTTTAATCCTCAGATGGATCTCTGCAAGAGGAATACTTATAGTTTACCAATAATAATTACTGAATTAGCATTACAACATAATGTTCTTCCCAACAATATTTGCATTTAAGAAGCTTTGTAGTAAATGAATTTAAAGGAATGATGTATGATCAAACCTCAGGCCTTGCATCTATTCGTAGAAAATTAATTGATATTCTGCTATATGTCAGATGCTGAAGAAGCAAAGATTCATAAGATGTGGCTCTAATCTTTGAGATGTTCACTTTCTAGCAGGGGAGGGAGAAACATATAAAGCTAATTGTAAAATAGAATATGACCAGTTTTACAGACAAATGAAGGGGTGATTTATTACATCTGGAGCAGGAGGCTGAAATTATGAGAGGCTTCATGGAGAAAGTCACATTTGAATAGTCCATGGGGTTAATAATAATGGGAGACTTTAAGCACCCAATACGTTTAAAGGAGGGAAAAGATTTTCAGGACTCAGGACTCCCTTGGAATCTGTTGAATCATATCAGTTAGATGGACTCTTACTCTGTTTGTCCTGAAGCAGCACCAAGAGCAGCAAAACCAGAAACTGAAGCAAAGCCAGAAACGGCAAAGCGCAGGAGGTGTTACACTTAGCTTTCTTTAAGGGAAACAGCAATGTCTATAACATTAAAAAAAATGCTGGGAAAGCTACTCTGCACCCTCCTAAGTCCAAATTTATTAAGTGCACTAAAATGATGCTGCCAAAAGGAAATAACTGGATAATTTTCTGGAGCCAAGGCGGGCAGAATATGCAGTGATGAGAAGTTGGAAAGCAGCATTATCATTTTCCAGACCGGATTTCACTTTGTTCCACTTCAGCCAATGACCACCTTGGTCCAAGACAAAATTTTAAAAGACCATAGCAAGCCTTTGTTCCAAATGAGAAGATGGAAAATAACAAATACAATAGAAGTAAGGAAATCCTTCTGCGAGCCTCCTTGGCAGAAAAAGGTGCTAGGGCAAGGCAAGGAAAAGGTGGAGGAGCAGGGGAGGGAGGAGTCTGGAATCAGTGGCTGTTAATATTTTACAACAAGGCTTTGTGTAATGGTTGAGTACATTGTTGAAGTGCACAATGGTCAACTATTCCTTACTTCAAAATTGACTGCTTAATTGGCTAATTATCTTATTGATCTGGAGCCTTCCTCCTGTGTTTGAGTCAGCCCTCAGTAGGGATGAAGTGGTGACAGTGGGTGCCCAGAGAAAGGTGTGGCACTGTCAATTTGTGCTTTTTTGTTTGTGACATTTAGGAAGCAAATGTAAAATCTAACATTCTTTGTCGACTGTTTTTGCTGTCATAACTTCTAAATATAGAGGCTGCACAGATGATTTTTTTAATACTGAATATTGTTGACAGTTAAAGAAGTTTCTTAGGAAAAAAATATTGCGCATAAACATGGTTTATATACCTATCTATGCTATCCCAATCCAAGCACAAATTATTTTCTATTAGCAATTATTTTATTCAATGCATTCCTTATGTTTGGTTCTGCAGGACAGCATCACTCATTTAAAAAAAATGTCCTTTTGAGTACCCACTGTGTTCAAGAACTATTTTTGCCACTTAACATGCTACAAATTTGAGTTGAATTTTGAGAGTTGAATTTTGTTTTCAAGGAGCTTAGTGTCTAATAGGGGAGATAGGTATAGAACAAGGTAGAGAGTGACTAATGCCAGTAGTATAGCTACTGTGCTCACAACATTTGAATAAAAGAAAACTTACTTCATTTGTGGCACTCAGAAAAGATTTGTGGAGAAAGTAGTGCTTGATTTGTCTTTGCAGGAGTCTAAATGTAAATAGATGGGAGCTAAGTAGAAAGGTCATTTTAGTGGAGCATAAACTGGTATGAGTTAAAACAGACACAGGAAAGGTCAAGATTAGACAGAGACAATGAGTAGGCAATGACTTCAGGGAAGGAGTCATCCAGGGGAGTGGTGGAAGCTAAGGATGTTAGCTAAGAATAATAATATGGCAAGGAAGGATAGCGACAGACTGTAGAGAGCCTTGAAGACTGAGCCAAATAATTTGAAATTTTGTTCAAATAAGTAGGATCGGCCGGGCATGGTGGCTCATGCCTGTAATCCCAGCACTTTGGGAGGCCGAGGCGGGCAGATCGCGAGGTCAGGAGTTCAAGACCAGTCTGGCCAACATAGTGAAACCCTGTCTCTACTAAAAATACACAAAAAATTAGCCAGGTGTGGTGGTGTGTGCCTGTAATCCCAGCTACTCAGGAGGCTGAGGCAGGAGAATCACATGAACCTGGGAGGCGGAGGTTGCAGTGAGCCAAGATTGTGCCACTGCACTCCAGCCTGGGCAACAGAACGAGACTCTGTCTCAAAAAATAAAATAAAATAAAATAAATAAAATAAGTAGGATCAAGTCAATAGTTTTTTAGAAGATATATCTTTTCTTATTCTTGTCTTATTATGGTAAGAACACTTAACATGATATCTATCCTCTTAAATTTTTAAGTGTTAACTATAGGCACATTTTGTACAGCAAATCTCTAGAATGTATCCATCTTGTATATCTGAAACTTTATACTCTTTGATTATCAACTTCCCAATTCCCATTCCCCCAGGCCATCAACCAACATTCTACTCTCAGCTTCAATGAGTTAGACTATTTTAGATACCTCACATAACTGAATCACGCAGTGTTTATCCTTTTGTGACTGGCTTATTTCACTTAGCAAAATGTCCTCTAGGTTCATTCATTTTGCTGCAAATGACAGGATTTCCTTATCTTTAAGGCTGAGTAATATCCCATTGTATATGTTTATCACATTTTCTTTTTCCATTTATCCATCCATGGGCATTTAGGTTTTTTCTACTTCTTGGCTATTATGAATAGTGCTGCAGTGAACTCAGGAGTGCTAATATATATATATATTTGAGATCCTGATTTCAAATTTTGAATAAATACCCCAGAAGTGAGATTGCTGGATCTGATGGTAGTCTATCTATAATCTTTTGAGGAACTCCATACTTTTTTCCATAATAGCTTTATCAATTTATATTCTCAACAATAGTGTACATGGGTTCCAATTTCTCTAAATCCTTGCCAACACTTGTTGTCTTAAAAAAATACTAGCCATACTAGTAGGTGTAAAACAGTATCTCATTGTGGTTTTGATTATCGTTTCTCTGACAATTAGTGACATTAAGCAATATTGACAATTACTGATACCTGTTGGCCATCTGTTTGTGTACTTTGTAGAAATGTGTATTTGTGTTCTTAGCCTATTTTAAATTTAGATTATTCATTTCTTTGAATAATTTTCTTATATATTTTGGAAATTAACCCTTATCAAGTATATGGTTTGCAAATGTTTTCTCCCATCTCATAGGTTGGCTTTCATTCTCTTGATTTTTTCCTTTGTTGTGCAGAAGCTTTTTAGTTTGTAGTTCCACTTGTCGACTTTTTGCTTTTATTACCCGTGCTTTGGTGTCATTCCAATGAAATCATTGCTAGGACCAATGCCATGAAGCTTTCCCTATGTTTTCTCTAGGATTTTTACTGTTTCACGTCTTATGTTTAAGTCTTTAATCCGTTTTGTAATTTTTTTGTGTAGTCTAATATAGGCAACCAATTTCATTCCTTTGCATATGTATATTCAATTCTCCCAATATTTCCCAGGATATTGAAGAGACTATCCTTTCCCTTTGGGGCACCCTTGGTACCCTTGTCACAAATCAGTTGACCATATATGTGTAGATTTATTTCTGGGCTTTGTATTCTGTTCGATTAATCTATATGTCTGTCTTCACATGAGTACCATACTGTTTTGATTACTGTAGCTTTGTAATATATTTTGAAATAATGCAATATGATGCCTCCACCATTGTTCTGCTTTCTCAAGATAGTTTTGGCTATTAGTGGGTCCTTTGTGCTTCCATATATTAGAGAATTGCTTTCTTTATTTCTGTAAAAAATGCCATTGGAATTTTGATAGGGATTGCATTGAATCCATACATTGCTTTAGTTAGTATGGACATTTTAACAATATTGAGTCTTCTAGTATAGGAACATGGGATGTCATTCATTTATTTTTTATCTGCTTTAATGCCTTCCAGCAATATTTTGTAATTTTAAGGTACAAGTCTTTCATTCCCTTGGTGAACTTTATTCCTAAATATTTTATTCTCTTTGATTACATTGAAAAGAGATTGTTTTCTTAATTCCTTTTTCAAATAGTTCACTTTAATGTATAGAAATGCAACTAATTTTTATATGCTGAATTTGTATCCTACAGCTTTATTGGAGACATTTATTAGATCTTTTCTTCTGGCTTTATCAAGACATAATTGACAAATGAAAATTATATATAGTTGCAGTGTACAATATAATATTTTGAAATATGTATATATTATGAAATGATTAATCAACCTAATTAATATATTCATCACTTCAAATACTTACTTTTTGTAGTGAGAACATTTAATATCTATTGCCTTAGCAATATTCAAATATACGGTATTTTGTTTTGTTTTGTTTTGTTTTGTTTTGTTTTGTTTTTGAGATGGAGTCTTGCTCTGTCTCCCAGGTTGGAGTGCAGTGGCATGATCTCAGCTCACTGCAACCTCCAACTCCTGGGTTCAAGCCATTCACCTGCCTCAGCCTCCCCAGTAGCTGGGATTACAGGCACGCACCACCATGCCCAGCTAATTTTTGTATTTTTAGTAGAGATGGGATTTCACCATCTTGGCCAGGCTTGTCTTGAACTCCTGACCTCATGATCCACCTCCCTTGGCCTCCGAAAGTGCTGGGATTCCAGGCTTGAGCCACTGTGCCTGGCCACAATATTTTGTTTATAACTACAGTCATCACGCTGAGTAACAGATCTTCATAAATTATTCATCCTCTCTAAAACTTTTTGCCCATTGGAATCACCATTCTACTCTCTGCTTCTGTTAGTTCAACTTTCTTAGTGTCCATCTGTAAGTGAGATCATGCAGCATTTGTCTGTCTGTGCCTGGCCTATTTCACTTAGAACAATGTCCTCTAGGTTCATTCATGTTTTTAAAAATGACAGGGTTTCTTTCTTAAAGGCTGAGTAGTATTTCATTATATATATTTTTATATATTATATTAGTTATAATTTATATATGTTTATATCACATTTCCTTCAGAGATTCATTAATCAATAGACACTTAGGTTTGTTCCACAGCTTTGACTATTCTGAATAATGCTACAGTAAACATGGAAGTACAGCTATTTCTTTGACATATTACTTTCATTACTATGGATATATACCCAGAAGTGAGATTGATGGATTATATAGTAGTTCTATTTTTAGTATTTGGAGGAGTCTCTATATGTTTTTAATAATTGTTGTACTAATTTACACTCCCACCAACAATATACAAAGGTTCTTCTTTCCTCCTTATTCTCACCAACACTTGTTACGTTTTTTCTTTTTGATCATACTCTTTTTTACAGGTGTCAGGTGACAGCTCATTGAGGTTTTAACTTGCATTTACTTGATGATTAGTGACGTTGAGCATTTTTCATATACTTTTTCGCCATTTGTATGTCTTCTTTTATGAAATGTCTATTCAGGTCCTTTGCCCATTTTTAAATCATTTTCAAATCATTGAGTTGTATGAATTTCTTTTTTTTTATTATACTTTAAGCTCTGGGATATATGTGCAGAATGTGCAGGTTTGTTACATAGGTATACATGTGCCCTGGGTTTGCCATACCCATCAACCTGTCATCTACATGAGGCATTTCTCCTAATTCTATCCCTTCCCTTGCCCCCCACCGCCCAACAGGCTTCAGTGTGTGATGCTCCCATCCCTGTGTCCACATGTTCTCACTGTTCAACTCCCACTTATGAGTGAGAACATGTGGTATTTGGTTTTCTGTTCCTGTGTTAGTTTGGTGAGAATGATGGTTTCCAGCTTCATCCATGTCCCTGCAAAGGACATGAACTCATTCTTATTTTTATGGCTGCAAATTATTCCGTGGTGTATATGTGCTATATTTTCTTTATCCAGTCTGTCATTGATGGGCATTTGGGTTGGTTCCAAGTCTTTGTTATTGTGAATAGTGCTGCAATAAACATACGTGTGCACCTGTCTTTATAGTAGAATGATTTATAATCCTTTGGGTATATACCCAGTAATGGGATTGCTAGGTCAAATGGTATTTCTAGTTCTAGATCCTTGAGGAATTTCCACACTGTCTTCCATAATGGTTGAACTAATTTACACTCCCACAAACAGTGTAAAAGCATTCCTATTTCTCCACATCCTCTCCAGCATGTGTTGTTTCCTGACTTTTTAATGATCATCATTCTAACTGGCATGAGATGGTACCTCATTTTGGTTTTGATTTGCATTTCTCTAATGACCAGTGATGATGATCTTTTTTCATATGTTTGTTGGCTGCATAAATGTTTTCTTTTGAAAAGTGTCTGTTTATATCCTTCACCCACTTTTTGATGGGGTTGTTTTCTTCTTGCAAATTTATTTAAGTTCCTTGTAGATTCTGGATGTTAGTCCTTTGGCAGATGGATAGATTGCAAAAATTATTTTGCCCACATAGAATAGCTACAGGCTTTTTATCTTGCAGTATAACAAGGGAAAAGCATAGTATCTTGGCCAGATAGCATCGTCCCTCAGGGCAGAATCCCTCATGGCTTCCCTTGGTTAGTGGAGGGAGTTCTCCGACCCCTTGTGCTTCCCGAGTGAGGCAACATCCCACCCTGCTTCTGCTCCTTTTCCGTGGGCTCCACCCACTGTCTAACCACTCCCAATGAGATGAACTGGGTACCTCAGTTGGAAATGCAGAAATCACCCTCCTTCTGCATTGGTCTTACTGGGAGCTGCAGACCAGAGCTGTTCCTATTCAGCCATCTTGCCAGACCCTCCCTGAATTTCATATTTTTTACATATTTTGAAAATTGACTCTGTAAGACATGTTGTTTGTGAATATTTTCTCCCATTCTGTAGGTTGTCTCTTCACTCTGTTGATTGTTTTCTTGGCTACATGGAAGCTTTTTAGTTTGATGTAATCACATTTGTCAATGTTTGCTTTATATATTTTGGTGCTCTTTTGTTGGGCACATATATATTTATAATAATTATATATTCCTGGTGAATTACTCCTTTTACCATTTCATGATAACCTTTTTTATTTCCTGTTACAGTTTTTGACTTAAAGTCTACTTTGTCTTATATAAATATAGCCATCTCTGCTCTCTCCTGGCTACTGTTTGCATGGAATATTTCTTTTTATCCCTTCACTTTCAGCCTAACGGTGTCCTTAAATCTAAAGTGAGTCTTTTGTACACAGCATATAGTTGGATCTTGTTTCTTTCTGCATTCAGCTACTGTATGTCTTTTTCTTTTTTTCTTTCTGTTGCCCAGGCTGGGGTGCAATGGTGCAATCTCGGTTCACTGCAACCTCTGCCTCCTGAGTTCAAGTGATTCTCCTGCCTCAGCCTCCTGACTAGCTGCGTCTACAGGCACGTGCCACCACGCCTGACTAATTTTTGTATTTTAGTTTTAACTGGATTTCACCATGTTGGCCAAGCTGGTCTTGAACTCCTGACCTCAAGTGGTCTGCCCACTTCAGCCTTTCAAGTGCTGGGATTACAGGCATAAGTCACCATGCCAAGACTATTCTATGTTTTCTAATTGGGGTGCTTAATCAATTTATGTTTAAAGTAATTATTAATAGAAAAGAATTTACTATTGGTAAGTCAATTTTACCAATTTACTACTGTTAAGTTAATTTACTATTGGTAAGCTAGTTAACAAAATTAACATTTTTTAATTGTTTTCTGCTTGTCTTATATTATTTTGGTTCCTGTTTTTCTTCTTGCAGCTTTCCTTTTATAAAATTGATATGCTTTGAATCTCTCTTTTCTTTTGTGAAACTTCTATGGGTTTTTTTTTGCTGGTTGCTAGGGGCTTTTATGAAATATCTTATAGTTATTACAGTACTCACAGTTGATAATGATTTACTTTGAATCACATAGAAAACCAATACACTTTTACTTCTCACTTCTTCACACTTTGTGTTATTAAGGTAACAATTTACATTTATCTATATTTTGTATCCATCAATATATTTTTGTTATAGTTATTTTTGATACTTTTGTCTTTTAATTTGTACTAGATTTAAAGTGTTTTACCCACCACCATTATGGTAATATAATATTCTCTATTTGTCTATATATTTGGCTTTACCAATAAGTTACACGTATTAAATTTATTTCAACCTATGATATTTTTATCTTACAATGGATTTATCAGGACACAGCACCATCATAAGCCAAGGAGCATCTTAATTTTTTGATTCTACTTCTATGAAGTACTTAGAGTAGTTAAATCATAGAGACAGAAAGTAGAATGGTGGTTCCCAGTGGGTGGGGGAAGAGGAAAATAAGGAGTTATTATTTAATGGGTATTGAATTTAAGTTTTATGGGACTAACAGAATTATGGAGATAAATAGTGGTGATGGCTGTACAACATTATGCACATTTAAAAATGATTAAGATGATAAATTTTATGTTATATATATTTTACACACATAAAAATAAAAGAAAAGCTAAGGGAATTCATCACCACTAGACCTGCCTCTCAAGAAATGCTAAAGGAAGTTCTTCAACATGAATCAAAAGGATACTAAATAACAACACAGTAGTAGAAGAAAGTATAAATTCATTGGTGAAGATAAATATATAGGCACATGGAGAATATTGTATTACTGTAATAATGGCATATTCTCCTGAGCTTATTGAGTATTTGTACAATACTTATTTTAAATTATCTTTCAGGTAATGCATTTATCTCTGTTTCATTAGAATCAATATTTGCAGTTTATCTTGTTTTTTGTGTGGTTTATGTTTCTTGAATATTTCACTTGTCTTGACTCTTTGTGTTGGTATCTATGCATTAGAAAAAACAACCATTTCTCCCAGTCTTCATGTACTGACCTCATACAGAAGGCTTTCACCAGTCAAGCTGGCCAGAGTTTCTGTTTGTGTGACTCCAAATTGTTCTTAGCAGCCTCCAGGTGTCTAGATTATGCTGGCTCCTGTCAGCACATGACAGGTGAGATGGAAACCAATTCTTCAGGTATTACCCAGAGGAGTTGGAATGTTAGATGTGTGGTCCAACTCTTTCTCTCCCCAGAGAGAATATGGGAACTGGAGGTTTTTTGCCTACTTACTCTGTGCTGGGCTAGGGGTAGAGCCTGTGGTAAGTGCTTATATGCTAGTTGAAACCACCTTTTTTATACTCAATGGCCCTAGGCATTTACAATGTGCCAGTGCACAAAACCAGGCAAGACAAAAACCAGTCCCTGGGGAAATACCTAGAAAAGGTGAGATGCTGGATTTATGGTCCAACCCTTTCTTTCCTCAGTGAGAAGTTGGGAGCTGGATATCTTTTTCCTTATCATATGGCTCTGTGCCAAGGGTGGGTATTATGGTGACAAGGTGTCTCCAATTTTCTTACAAGTTTTGACGTGGCTGGTTTTGCATTTGTCAGGGATGCAGGAGCCTCTCAGCTGGACTTCTCACAAAAGGAATTGATCCATACATTGGTGTTGAATAGGTGTATCTGTGGAGTGAAGGAGAGTCCAGGGCTTACCATGATTTCGTCTTGCTGATGTCACTCTCAATTGGGTTTTTAATTAAGGTATTGATATAATCAAAGAGGTGATTGCTGAATATTTCTCTCACGTAAATGTTATGGGCTTGCTAACAAGTATATTGATGCAGATGAGCCACATCTAGGTATGTGCTCCCGAAAGTTCAGTTTTTTTCATTTAGATGAGGTCATAGAAATTATCTCAGCTTTATTAGTCTTACCACATACCAATCATTAGAGAAGGTTTGTGCAATGTATTTTTATTTCTACCATCCTCCCTTCCTTCATCCATCCACCCAAACATAATTTTAAAGAAATTAATATTTTTCTATGCATCTAAGCCATACATTCTGTGTACTCCCAACTCCCAAATCACATAAAATAGATATATGACTTCTAGGAATTTGCATCCATAGGAAAATTCTATCTGATTCATATGATCAAACTTGAAGACAAAATCAAGTGTCCTAGTTAAAAGTCTTTTGGCTTGAACTAGTCAAATTAACCATATAATGAACAGACAACACTTTGATTTTGTCTGTGGGGACTCTAAGTCTATACTAAGCAAAATGAAGTGGAGAATTAAGCAAATTTGGTCCCTACACCTTTTTTTTACCCCTAAAGAAAGGTAGGATTAAAAAACATTTGCAGCATTGGGGATTGCAGTTTGACTAGAGTTAGCCAAATTAGTAATATCTAGTAATTATTCACTAAATAATTATTTGATTTTCACTCAATTTTCTTCACATAGACATTGTAAATAATAAAATCCTTATTTAGTAGAAGAGCCCTTAATCTGTCTGATTTTATATCCATGGAAATAGTAATGTCCCATAATGATCACTCGGTCCTTTATGGTTTAATGGTCCTAGAATGTCTCCTCATAACCATCCTGTTTCCTCATAACTATCCTTTAGCAAACTCCATCAATATGGCCAAGATTTGCACCTAAAGTGTCCCAGAGTTGAAACTTGAATTTCTTGCATTTTTTAAACCATTCACCTCCTAAGTAATATCCTCTGGTCTCATTTTAAACAACATCTATATACTGATAACTCCAAAATTTACATCTTGCATTTGAACCTCTCTGCAGAAATCTAGAGTTATAAATCCATTTCTCTACTTGACATTCCCACTTGGATAAAAGTGATTTCAAATATGGCAAGTTCAGCTGATTTTCTTCTCGAACCTTGCATTTCCATCCAATAAATATCACCTTTATTCATCCAATTGGCTGGGACAAAAATGCTGTCATCCTTGTTTCCTCTATTTCTACCTCACTTTAAATCCATTAGCTGATTCTTTCAGCATTACCTTTGGACTCCATCCAGAATTTTTAACACTTCCGCTGCTACTATCCTAGTTTAAGCCATCATTATATCTTGTCTAGATTATTGCAATGCTATCCCTAACTGGTCTCCATGCTTCTGCCCTGGACCCCCTATAGTCTTTTTCAACTCAGCAGGCAGAGTAATTTGCCCACATAGAATAGCTACAGGCTTTTCATCTCGTTAGTGTAACTAACTTTCTTGCTCTTCAGAGGCTACCTATCATGCTCAGTTCTGGTTCACACATTAGGCCTGGATTGGTATGGCTCCGTGCCCAGAGCAATCTGGTTTTCTTCACTAACAGCAGCTTACAGTTTCACTTGTACCTTTAAAGAAAAATGTATAGAACTTCCCAAAGAGCATAATGCTATGGTATATGTAAGGACTCCAGCATTCCTTTCAGAGCCGTCCATATGTGACCAGCTAGGATTTAATGACTCTTGGCCCATTTCTTTAAGGCTGGGCTGTGGAATGGGTAGAAAATTTCAAGAGTTTAAGCTTTATTGCTCATTGATTAGTTTCACTTAGGTGCATTTGAATACTGAAATTCTCTATTTGCTGGTATCTTTATCTGTGATACAGGATTATTAAACCTATTTTTCTAACAACAAACACCTATGCTGATTTGGTCCCTATGCTGAGAAGTTCTGATATTTATTCCCAGGAGAGGTAAGATTGCACTTGCCTCTCTTCTATTTTAATGAACTGTGTGAATGCCAACAATGGCATGCTGTCTCACTGTAGGCACCTAGTTGTGTGGCTGCACACCTAATGGTATTTCTCTAGGAATATATTCGTCTCCTTTACGCTTAACACGTGCATTCTTTTCTTTTCTTTTCTTTTTTTTTTTTGAGATGGCGTCTCGCTCTGTCACCCAGGCTGGAGTGCAGTGGCGTGATCTCGGGTCACTGCAACCTCCGCCTCCTGGATTCAATCAATTCTCTGCCTCAGCCTCCTGAGTAGCTGGGATTACAGGCACCCGCGGCCACACGCCTGGTTAATTTTTTTGTATTTTTAGTAGAAACGGGGTTTCACCAGGTTGGCCAGGCTGGTCTTGAACTGCTAATGTCGTGATCCACCCTCCTTGGCCTCCCAGAGCTCTGGGATTACAGGCGTGAGCCACCGCACCCAACCAAGCATTTTCTTAGTTTTCAGAGCCCCTTGAGGTGTGCTGTTAGTTGCAGGATATGCAAACTGACAGGAGAGTGTATATGAATCAATCAAATATTGAGTGCTTGCAATGTGTAAGGCATGGTGATAAGCTAGGTTTAAGCAGAGTATTAAGAGGAGATGGAGAAAAAGTGTGTTTGTTTTAGAAGATCTCAGAGGCTCAATGTCAGACGGAGGGGGAAAGCTATAAAGGAATACTTTTCAATTCTGTCGAAAATTGTGAATTAGGAGTTTTACCTCCCTGTTTTAACTTATTTCTCTTTCTTGCTTCCTCCTCTCTCACATCTTTTCCTACTTACCCAGGTCCCTTAGACCCTCCCCCCATTGCAACCACACTACCCAGTAGCAGCATGATTTCCTTCAGTTATGCTTCGACTTTCCAGCCCCACTGACATTTACTAAACATCTCATTTCTTCAATTCCATTCCCGTGGGTTACAACTTGCTCTCTCATCTCATTTATATACTAATGTTCAAAAACCACTTAGTGCATTGATTTACCAGAGGCATTTACATTTTAATAGGCATCTTATTCATGACAATACTTGCTTTGAAAAAAAAACAAAACCTCTAATAATGGCATTAAAGGTGTTCTAGCAGGTTAGAGAGGGATATTTGTTTCTTAGATAGGTATGTATTTCTGGAGTCCTTCAAATTACACTTCTGTTGGCAGCCACCTATCTTGTTCAGAAGTAAAATTAACTCTATTTACTACTCATTTACTCCCCACATCCCACTGCCATGGATTCAATTTAAAAGAAACTTGCAACTGCTTAAATTACCTTAATCCACCTTTTTCACTTTCATTTAGCAGATTCCTGAAAAAAAGTGTTGCATTTTAGACTCTGTGAACCCTAGAGTTCTTTTTTATTTTTTTCATGTATTTGGTATATATTCACTGATGCACAGGTGATTGTTTCTTTAGATTTTTAATACATTACATCTGCATTTTCCAAATCAGAGGAGCTCTCATATGAAGGTTATGCTGAAGTATTGCTGAGGCTCTAAATAGGTTTTAAAATTCTTGTGCTCTAATAAAAAATTGATTATAATTTTAGAGAAAGACAAAAAAGACCAAGTAAATGTAGGCTAGCTACATGATAGATAAAGGTGAAGAGCCACATAGAAGAATGGCAACAAGAGGATTCCTGGACAGTGGTAAACCTGCAGCCAGGAAGCACTGCTGAAACATGAATGCTGGTCCATATGCCTCACACTTCTTGTGTGCTCAGTTGGAGCTGTATGAGGAGTAACAATTGTGAGAACTGTGTGCTCTTCTGACTGTAAAGGGAACTCCAAGATGCAGAGAGGTAAGGACAGCCTGAGGAACAGGAAAAGATAAAGTACTATCTAAAGAAGTAAAGAAAGCAAGACATTACAAGTTTTGACAGAGGCTTAAAATGTTGAATTTTTATAAAATGCTCTGAATCCCAGAAACCTCAAAGAAATCCAGAGATCTGGTGAATAGCAATGTCAGGAATATAAGACAAGTTGAGGACAAGGTGACTCTTATCATTAAAAGTTAATATAAGAAATTGAGAGTAGAAAATACGTACATGACTAGGTTGTATTTCTGTCAGTCTTTCTACCTCATGTGTAATCTTTTAAAGTCATCTGAATATTATCCTAAGCAAACTAACACAGGAATAGAGAACCAAACACCACCTGTTATCACTTATAAGCAGAAGCTAAACACTGAACACACATGGAGACAAAAATGGGAACAATAGACACTAGGAACTGCTTGAGCAGGGAAGGTGGGAAGGGGGTGTGGGTTCAAGGCTGCCTATCAGGTACTATGCTCAGTACCTTGGTGATGGGATCACTCATACACTAAGCCTCAGTGACATGCAATTTACTCATGTAACAAACCTGCACATGTACCCACAAATCTAAAATAAAAGTAAATAAAAAGCAACAAAAAAGAAAATAAAATCATTTGAATAATAGTAATTTTATAGAAAAAACTTTACTACTTAGATTTTGTGTGTTTTTTCCTTCTCTGGACCACACATTGCTGCATGTTGGACTAGACTCTCACTAATGGCAAAGTTTTCCCTCTTGGCAGCTACAAATTAGAGAAATAATAACATAAAAAGCAGCACAACAGATATTTAGACTTATTTTGCAAGTCTAACTAGTAAGTGATAGTAAGCTATGATCCCACAACACTGTTAGAGCCAATATCACACCGGTGGGCACATTTAAGACATAAATTTGAAAAAAATTAGAGCATCCTAATTAGACAGAAAGACATCCTGGCATCCTAGTGTTTATAGCTTCGCAGATGCTTGGCACTGACAGTATTTGTCTCATTGTGGAATGGTCAGGGCTAATGTCATGCATATTAACAAATATGTTTTTCGTTCCCCTCTAGCAGTTTTCTTGAGATGATAGGCTCAGGCCACAGGTTAGAAATCAAGACAGGACTCAAGAATGTGTGTGCAACTGGCTTAGAAGCACACTGCACTTGGGGAGGTGGCTGCTCTTGGGACTGAGAAATTAAAATAACTTTCTCCCACGTGGCAAAAGAGCCCACTCCAGCCCACTGAAGACTGAATGTGATAGATCATGTCTTCAGTGCTTTCGGATTCTAACTTGGTGAACTGCTTTAGGATTTCACCTGTGACCTAAATAAATCTCTTACCCTCATCTCTTGAGTTCAATTTCTCTATTGTGCTGCTTCCTAGTTCCTCAAGCATATGTTGATTATTTAATTATTATTAAATAATAATTCCTAGTTCCTCAAGCATACGTTAATTATTTAATTGAGATGGGGCTGCTCATAATGAAAGTGGAGGAAAAACACTTGTCTCATAGGGTTATCTGGATTACTGAATGTAATAATAGTAAGCAAGATACAAGGCATAGTCCTTGGAATACAGTGGGTATTCAATTATTGGAACAAAAATAATTCCCTTCCTGCCTTTCCACTCTTACCTTTCTGCCATTTCTCAAGATAATTTCTTTCTGTTAAAATAGCTCTTCTTTTGTGAATAAAAACACCATTTGGTTGCCTATTAATGTAAACAATCCACCAGAAATGAATAAGCAAATTACAAGCTAAAGTTTCTCAACTTTGGCATTGCTGACTTTTTAGGCTGGATAGTTATTTGTTGTAGGGGGTTATTGTGTGCATGGTAGGAAGTTTAGCATCATCTCTGGCTTCTAGTCACTAGATGTTACTAGCACTCCCTTAGTTAGAACATCCCAAATATCTCCAGACATTACCCAGTATCTCCTGGGCTGAATGGTCCCTGCTTGAGAACCACTGATTTAAACCAACTGGATTCATCACATCCATCCCCGTTGACCACCTCTCAGCTCTCTGTTTTTGGATGAATAGTGAAACAACAAAAGAAGCAAACATCAGACATTTGTTGAGAACAGTAACAGTAAGGTTTCACGCAATATTGTCATTTTGGGGGGTTGCATTCACAACGTGACTGGCACCCTAGAACAAAGTTTTTAGTATGAATGGTGTCCTCTGGAATTGGGTAGTGTCATAAACTTTGGAGAATGATATGACCAGGACACAGGCAGCCTACTTCTTTACCCCTTCCACCTGTAGTCTTAGACAGTGAGAATAAAGGTCTGTGACACTACACATTTCCCAATAGCAGAAAAACTCTAGTATGTTGACCACACCGTGTGGAAAACTGCAGGAAATTATTTCCAAAAATATAGAGACCAGCTGGGGCAACATAGGGAGACTCTGTCTCTACAAAAAATAAAAACTTAACTGGGCATGGTGGTGTGCAGCTTTGGTTCCAGATACTCAGGAGGCTGAGGTGGGAGGATTGCTTGAGCCCAGGAGGCCAAGGCTGCAGTAAGCAGTGATTATGCTACTGCACTCCACCCTGGGTAACAGAGCGAGTCTCAGTCTCAACACGATGCAAAACAAAAGAAAACAAAAATATAGATGAGAATAACAGGAGTTTTCTGAATAATTTTTAGTTTACCAGTTAGGATTTTTTAAACAGAATGACTCATATCTTGAATATTTTGTTTATTTGAGGGAGTTGTTGTCTCAATAATAACTGTTCTATGATATTTTGGCAAATAATGGAAATAGTTGTTGGTCTTGGAATGGCATAATTTATTGATTGACATTTGTTTCAAGATAAATTACCACTTGATAAAATACACAATTCTGAATCCTGCCAGTAGTTTCAGATACATCTGCTTACAATCATCCTATCATTGGCTAGTTATTTCTTCTGATGATTCACAGCTCTCTATATTCTCTGAATGTGATAAAAGCCAAATGGCTTTACTCTTAGCTTGAATTTTTCTTCTCTTCTTTAGTCTTATTCCTGACTTCCACATAAGCTCTTTAATACATTAAGCTTCTGAGTCAGTGGTCTAGTAAGAATTTGAATAACCCTCAATTTTTTGTAATCTACAACTCCAGGGTAGCAGAACATCTTCTTTTGGATATTTAATGTGCCATCCTCCTTATTGTCATTTTCCCAAGTATTTACAGATGCTGAAGTTATAAAAATTTCTGAAACTACACAGCTGTGATGAAAGATTACTATTTTTTGTTATTCATTACTTGAAAGTTCAAGTTTTAACACATGCAGTAGCAGCCAGGTAAAGACCTAGTACCTTGATCTTATCTTTTCTGTACACATTTTTCCCCCAGTTTTTAATAATGCTGTATGCAGCAGGCGTTATTGTGCTCTTTTCCTGAGAACATCCGGAGCTTTATCCATAGGGAAATAATCAGTATTTTACATTAGTGAAACCCAGATGAGCTGTGAGAGAAACATGCCATGAAGGGGAGGTTGAGTACATATGAGTACAGAGAGAAGAATCAGGCTGAGATGATGCCGAGAGTTAGAGGGTATAGCAGGGGTCATTTAGAGTATGAGGGCTGGAGGGGCTATTTTCAGATATGTGATGTTCAAGGTGAATTGTGATACATACACAATTGTCACCCTTACAGCTCTGTTATTGTCCAGTTTCAGTTCTGACCATTACTGAGCCCTTTGTGTTTTTTGAAAGAATTCTTTGTGCTAAATATTTATTTCCTTAATGGACTCCAAACATATTAAAGGGCAAAGAGTATGTTGCCTAAGCTTCTTCTTTATTTGACAAGAGAGCACACCATTTCCCTTGCTTGTCTTTAAAATCATCATTATCACTTTGTCTTCATAACAAGACATATTTATAGCATGACTACTATTTTTAGGGCACTGCCCATGGCCCAGTGATTAGAGCTCCTCATTGACTTGCCATTATACCATGAATCAAACTTTAATACTTTATGCTTTCTTTCATGGTGTCATACTGGAGTGCCCCCAATTTTTTGTAATCTCCTATTCTCCTATCCTCTCAGCTAATTTTAGGCAAATCTGTTCAGTACCCCTTCACCATTCTAATCCTGCTTTAACCTTGCCCATTGTCTGTACTGTTCTCATTTTTCTTTCCTTGCTTCCAGAGAACTCCTGAAGTTACACTCCACAAGGATCCTCTGTGAGCCATAAACAAGTAGCTTGTATGACTCTCACAGTGTCACCCTCCGAGAATATGAGGAAACCAAGATGCTTCAATTCTTGTGACCTGTAAGATTCAAAGGGGTCATATGCAACTGTTGCTGGACAAATTTCAGAGTGAAGACATTTTAACAGATATGTAGCAAGGTATTAGAGCTGACACAATATGTCCATAAACATCTTGATTTCTATCTGAGTGACTATAAGGAAATGCCTCCCTCATTCCACTGGAAGCAAAGGGCAGACATAAAAGAAAAATAACGCATATTAGTTATTTCCAGTTTGTATCCATTGCTTGCTTCATTTTCATATGTAGTACTGATGTTCATGCATTTCCTAGTTTGTAAACTCTCAAAAGACAAGAATTGTGACTGTTCACTTTGCAGTTTTCCCAAAACATGATCATAGATAGATAGGTATTAATGAAGTGTTTTGTTGATGATGCCGTTTAACTAAATAATTCTCACCTATCATTGTAGTATTTACTATTGGTGGTCATTGCCCATCTTTTTTTTTTTTTTTTTTGGAGACTGAGTCTTGCTCTGTCACCCAGGCTGGAGTGCAGTGGCGCAATCTTGGCTCACTGCAACCTCTGCCTCCCAGGTTCAAGCAATTCTCCTGCCTCAGCCTCCCGAGTAGCTGGGACTACAGGCGCCTGCCACCACGCCCAGCTAACTTTTTGTGTGTTTTTAGTAGAGATGGGGTTTCACCATATCGGCCAGGCTGGTCTTGAACTCCTGACCTTGTGATTCACTAGCCTCGGCCTCCCAAAGTGCTAGGATTACAGGCGTGAGCCACCGCGCTCAGTCTTGCCCATCATTTTTTGTTCCTGTTTTGTGTAAACACTTTGGAAATCTAATTTATTCAATTAACATTTGGCTGAGGGACTTAGAAACTGTGAATCCTGCTTTTGTCCACTGTCTTCTTTCTATGGGGTCCCTCAGGGAAAACCACAGAAGACGTATGAAGGCACTCTTAACTTTATAAAGCTATAAAGTGAGAACAGAGGTCCTAATTTGGACCAGAAACCATGAATTACATGGTGGTAATTCTCATATTTTCTTGTATGACCATGACCAAAACCAGTTTAAGTTTTCTGTGATTTTACTTCTTGCCTCATACGCTCTTCCCATGAAAGAATAAAAAATATGGGGCAAATTATTTAGTCTATTTGAACCCCAGTTTCTGCATGTGTATGGTCATAATAATACCTCATATTGTCATTGTGAAAATTAGATGGGTTAACATGTGTAAAGTGCCTAGAATACAACAGTGTATAATAGTAAGTGCCAAATACGTATGCATTATTACTATTATCTGGGGTACCTCTTAGTATGAAGTAATAGTCAATGATTTCCATAAGTGTTCTTTTACCTTTGAATAAACGCCCCTGGCAATTGAATTACAATTAGCTGTGTTTCTCTAAAGAAAGGGCTAATACCTTAATGGTTGAGGATGAAAGTATTTTTACTTGTTATGACCAGTATTATAGAAATGTTGGGAATATTTACTAGGAATTTTTGCCTAATGAGTACAAATTGCAGTAAATAGATACAAATTGAAAATGTATACACATTAATGACACAGGAAACACTCTTTTAAAAAAGCATGGATAAATTATATTTATTTGGGTTTTCTCTGTTTTTTTCTTAGTCTAGCTAATGGTTATCTTTTCAGAAAACCAACTTTCTATTTCACCGATCTTTTGTATTTTTTCTAGTCTCTATTTCGTGTAGTATTTCTCCTCTGATCTTTATTATTTCTTTCTTTGTACTAATTTTGGGTTTGGTTTGCTCTTGCTTTTCTAGTTCCTTGAGGTATATTGTTAGGTTGTTTATTTGAAATTTTTCTGTTTTGATGCAGGCATTTATTTCTATGGACTTTCCTCTTAGTACTACTTAGATACTGCTTTTGCTGTATCCACAGGTTTTGGTACGTTGTGTTTCTATTTCATTTGTTTCAGAGAATTTTTAAACTTCCTTTTAAATTTCTTTATAACCCATTGGTCATTCAGGAGTGTGTTGTTTAATTTTTATGTATTTGTACAGTTTCCAAAATTGCCCCTGCTATTGATTTCTAGTTTTACTTCATTGTGGTCTGAAAATAAATTTGTTATAATTTTGATTTTTAAACATTTGTTAGGCTAGTTTTGTGGCCTAACATATGGTCTATCCTGGAGAAGGTTTCATGTGCTGATGAGAAGAATGTGTATTCTGTAGCAGTTGGATGAAAAGTTCTATAAATGTCTATTAGGTTCATGTGATCTGTAGTGCAGTTTATGTCAGATTTTTGTTGTTGATTTTCTGTCTAGATGATCTGTCAAATGTAAGAATGGGATGTTGAAGTCTCCAACCATTATTAAATTGTGGGGATCTATTTTTCTCTTCAGATCTAATAATATTTGCTTCATAGATTTGGGTGTTCCAGTTTGGGCGCATGCATATTTATGATTGCTATATTCTCTTGCTGAATTGATCCCTTTGTCATTTTATAATAATCTTCTTGGTCTCTTTTTGTAGTTTTGACTTGAAATCTATTTTACCTGATATAAGTGCAGCTACTTCTGCTTTTTGGTTTTTGTTTGCATGGAATATCTTTTTCAATTCCTTCACTTTCAGTCTATTTGTATCTTTTCAGGTGAAGTGTGCTTCTTACAGACAGCATATAGTTTGGTCTTTTTTATTTTTATTTTTTCTAATCCATTCACCCAGGCTATATCTTTTAATTAAGGAATTTAAGCCATTTACATTCAAGGTTATGACTGATAGGTGAAGACTTATTCTTGTCATTTTGATAATTGTTTTGTTTATCTTTTGTTCCTCTCTTACTGTTTATTTTTGTGGTTTGGTGGTTTTCTGTAATGACAAGTTTGACTCTTTCATCTTCCTCATATGTGTATCTGCTCTATCAGTGAGTTTTTTATTTTTATGTGCCACCATGATGGTAGTTATTGTTCTGTTGCATCTACATATAATACTGTCTTAAACATTTTTCTAAGGCCAGCCTAGTGATGTTGAATTTTCTGTTTTTGCTTGTCTGGGAGACTTTATTTCTTCTTTATTTTTGAAGGATGGCTTTACTGGGTAAACTGTTCTTGGCTGACAGATTTTTTTTTTTCTTCTAGTGCTTTGAATATATCATCTTATTCTTTTCTGGCCTTTAAGGTTTCTGTTGAGAAATCTGCTGTTAGGTTGATGAGGATAAACTTATATGTGGCTTGTTGCATTTCTCTTGCTGTCTTTAGAATTCTCTATTTGTCTTTGATTTTTGACAGTTTGACTATAATGTGCCTCAGAGAGGACTTTTTTTTTTTCTTTTTTCTTTCTTTCTTTCTTTTTTGTTTTCTGAGACGGAGTCTCGCTCTGTTGCCCAGGCCGGAGTACAGTGGCATCATCTTGGCTCACTACAAGCTCCACCTCCTGGGTTCATGCCATTCTCATGTCTCAGCCTCCTGAGTAGCTGGGACTGCAGGCACCCGCCACCATGCCTGTCTAATTTTTTTGTATTTTTAATAAAGTTAGGGTTTCACTGTGTTAGCCAGGATGGTCTCGATCTCCTGACCTCGTGATCCGCCTGACTCAGCCTCCCAAATCGCTGGGATTACAGGCGTGAGCCACCGCGCCCTGCTGAGAGGACTTTTACAGGTTGGGGACTTTTAAACTTTCAGAATTCGAATGTCCATATTTATCTCTCCCAAGACTTAGGGATTTTTTATCTATTATTTTACTAAATGCATTTTTTAATGCCTTTCCCATCTTTTCTCTCAAATCAATGGGAAAATTATATTGCAATGATTTAAACACAGAAAGTCTCTCTGATGAGCCACCTCACACATAATCCTATATAGATAATATTTGTATACTGAATTATTGTATACATGAATTATTTAAAAATAATCAGCAGAAGCTTTGTCAAAAACTTACTAAATTGCGCGAAAGACACAATATATAACACTTTTAAACTAGTATTTGCAGAACAATTTTCCTTAAGTAAAAGTACTTTGTGTTCTAGCCACAGGATGAACTGCTGTTATCTTTTAAGTTTCTTTAACATTTTGTTTCACCTGGTTTTCAGGGAGCTAAAAAAACTAAATATCATCAGATGGAAAATAAATAAATATTTTGAAGCCTACACAAACAATATGGAAGCATTCCATATGCTTCCACATGGAGGGCAGAGGAAAAGTCAGTAACAGATATGCCACAATGTTTAAAATGGTTAGAGGGTGTGGACTGAAAATTTGTCTCTGAGCTTCCTATTTACAAAATAATAGCAGAATATATGAATTACAAGATTCTTCCTGGCCATTTAATAAATAGACCACTGAATTTCTTAAGAGAAGCAAAGAAGTTTTTGACCCTGAAGTCTAAGAAAAATTTAACACATGGATCTTTACAAAGGGGATACTGGATAGTGTGGTGGACATTGTTTTTGGTCACCTAGTTACCACAAAAACAGTAGCAAATATTATAAGATTCCTTTTTGTGTCCCTCAGAGAAGCCAATGGCAGAACATCAACTGACCTGATTAGAAGCAACTCTGCAAAATATCAAAGTAGGGAGTTTGGGGTAATATACTCTGGAAGACCTGAGAATTACTTTTTATAGCTTAACTTTAAGGAATCTGTGGAGAGGTGAGAAATGTACTGAGGTAGGAGGTAGAAGACATAAACTGGCCTGGTTCTGTTGGGTGTAAATGTAATTATGGGCATATCCACTCCTCTCCCAGGTGAGTTCCTCAGAAGCAAACTCCTAGGCATGTATTCAGGTACCAGTGACCTATTATGGTAGCGCTTATGGATAAGGTTAGAGAGGAATTGGGGGAGCGGGATAGGAAAAGGGCAGAAGCCAAATGGGGGTGCAGTTTCAGAAGTCTCCGCCTCAGCCTGATCCCTAGAAATTTAGAGATTAAAGCTCAACTAAGAATTTTCCTGGAGGTAATGTTCCTGATTTTTATAGCCTTACCTCAGTCAGTTCTTCGCTGTGATGGGCTGGGTAGGGGCTGGAGAGGAACCTAAGCAATCAAGATCCTCAAGCTCTCTATAAAAGGCAAGGGCTCTGGGGCTGAAGGGCAATTCTCCAAAGGACCTAGGGCAAACTGTTAGCCACTAAGGAAAATTAATCCTTTGAGTAGAATATGAAAAAGTTCTGCCTCAGCCCCTTCTCTGGGTCTCATGATTTCATCTATAATGTAAAGTGATAGGATTTGATGACCTCTTAGGTATTGTTAGTATGTGATGACAAAGTCTATGGTTCTAAGGTTACATTTTTTAGCTCTTTTGAGAATACTGTTCAAATTACTACATAGCTATGTAGCTTTAAGAGTTGAAAATGAAGAATTATAACCTTGTAGAAAAGTAAAGGTGATATGTTGAACTGGCTAAATTGCTGTTTGTTAATGTACAATGGCATCCAAGAGGTTTGTCTCTGTCGATAGATCTAGAGAGGCAATGAATGTTACACATGGGAAGGGACAGGCTGTGAAAGAGCCAACATGTGAGCAGTTGTCAGAAGATGGCACTTTTAAAACTAGGTTAAAAGCCAATTATGGAACACTGAATAAAAATGACTCAGCCTTCACAGCCTCTGTGACACCTGTTCAGATCAACTGATGGTAGTGTTTTTTTTCTTTTCTGATGGGAACAGGGTAGACCCTGTTTCTTTAAGGACTAGTGGGCTGTTGGAATATATTGTTATTCTCTTTCAGAACTCCTGAATCTAGTTGAATCTAGTTTTCAAAAATTACTAAAGACATAGAAGACTTGAATTACATCATGATTACACAATTACACACACTCACATGCAATGTCGATTTAATAGATATGTGTATACTGTTGTATCCAATGATTTGAGAATATTTCTATACATATCAGGGATTCTCAATTGTTTTGGTCTCCAGACCTCTTTACATTCTTAATTATGTCACCAAATAGCTTTTGTGAATATGGGTTATAACACACTGATTATATATGGAAATATATTAGAACATGTAGGTTATAATATATCTATAACTTATTATATTAGTAATTAAAACTGAGAATTTAAAATATTAATTTATTTAAAATGACAATAAACTTATTACATGTTAAAATATATTTTATGAAAAATAACTGTTTTCAATAACTGGAAAACAGTAGAATGACAGCATTTTACACTTTTGCAAATTTTTTTTGTAAATATTTTTAATGGATACATAATTGTACATATTTATAGGGTATATGTAATATTTTGATATATGCATAAAGTGTGCAATGATCAAAATCAGTAACCTCAAACATTTATCATTTCTTTGTGTTGGGAACATTACAAATATGCTCTTCTACTTACTTTGAAATATACAATAAATTATCGCTAACTATTGTCCTATCAAACATCAAACATTATAACTTACTCCTTCTATCTATATTTTTGGAGCCAATAACCAAGCTTTCTTCATTCCCCCATTCCCTTCCCATTCAGCCCAGACTCTAGCAACCATTATTCTACTCTTTACTTCTATGAGATCAACTTTTTTAGCTCCCATATATGAGTGAGAATATGCCATATTTATCTTTCTATGCGTAACTTATTCACTTAACAGAATGTATTCTAGTTTCACTTACGTTGTTGCAAATGACAGAATTTCATTCTTTTTTATGGCTAATATTCCATTGTGTATATATATCTTATTTTCTTTATCCATTTATTAATTAGTGGACACTTAGGTTGATTTCACATCTTGCCTATTATGAATAGTGCTGCAATTAACATGAGAGTGCATATATCTCTTTGTTATACTTATTTCCTTTCTTTTGCATATATACCCAAATCATATAGTAATTTCTATTTTTAATTTTTTCAGGAAACTTCATACTGTTTTCCATAGTGGCTATACCAATTTACATTCCCACCAACAGTGTATTAGCATTTCCTTTTTTTCCACATTCTCATCAGCATTTGTTATTTTTTGCCTTTTTGATAATAGCCATATTTACTGGGGTTAGATGATATCTCATGGCGTTTTCATCTTTGTAAATCTTTTTAATGTCTAGTAGAAGCAAAATATATTCTCATATTCTTCTCCGGCATTCGATCTGCGATATTTTGCTTTAGTTGAAGTATGTGAAGAAAATCCAGCCTCATGCCTATAGCTTCATATGTATCTGGAAAGGAAAAAAGTATTTTAAGAGTCATTCTAGATAACTGGAAATATTATTCTTTAATACATCAAAATTTGAAAAGTGGTGTGTTCTTAAATGCTAGCTGCAATATGGAATCTAAAACTATATCAATGAACCTTTCATACTCAGTTACATTAAAATCAATTGATCTCTTATGCACTTTGAAAACTCATGTTTGATTTTGTAATATCATGCATTGGTAATTTGTAAAATATTGGTTCACTGAGTTTGGGGATCTTCCAAATGTTGACAAATGGCATTTTACATTATCAAAAAACTAGATTCATTAACATTATCAATAATTTGATGAGAAAAGCCTTTAAGTGTTTAGAAAAGGGTCAAGCTGGAGTTATCTTTTCAAATTTCTAATTTTGTTTAAGAGTTGGATTTTATCTTTGGCAAGAACTATTGTCAATTATTTTTCTTGAACTTACAGTGACTTTGCTCATTTATGAGAAATGATTTGCAAAACACTCAAGTCTAAATAGCCATAGGTTGAGTTCCATTTTACCTATTTTACTTTCCTACACACTAGAAGTACTTTTTTACATTTTGCATTTCATCACACAGAATATTAAAAATATGTGCGCAAGGGTTGAGTATAAATAAAATTAATTATTTTTGCTGTTTCAATCAAGACATCTTAGAGAAAACAGGCACTTTTTGTTTTACTGCAAGTGTGTGGCAGTAAAGAATATAATGATGGCTAAACAAATTTTCCCACCATTTCTTTTGCACAACAGCACAAATGTTAACACAAGGAAGAAGGCAGATTATGTTTTAGTACTATTATACAAAAGTTTTGCCCCTGTGTTCCCTTAGAAAGGCTTTTAGAAATCCCCAGGAGTTCAAATAACATACTTTGAAAACTTCTGGTTCTATATATTATGCACATCATACATAATCCGTTATGCATATACATACACACATACGTGTTTGCAAATACACATTATACATACTATTCATATCAGGAACTTACTTTACTTCTTTTCATCCTATTATTGTGCCACCCGGCAGGCACCCTTGTTGCCTGGTCTCAGCTGGCATGCCATAATCTCCAGCTGGTATCCAGGGGAAATGGAAGCATTAAGGCTCAAACTTGGATATTTGTAATGTGACCTGGAATTAAAATTCTAGACAATACCAACCTTGTGGGAAAGGGAGAGAAAAGACCACAAAAATATGAGAGTATGTCAGGGTTCTTCTGTAATTGAAAGGAAGATATATAGAGAGTGATAAGTTTGAGAAACTTTAAGTATGAGTCTAGGGTGGAGGACAATCTCTGTAAAAACATAAAGAGAACATAAAGTTTAAAGCATTGGAGAAAAAAATAACAACTTTTCTTTCCTCTTTATTAGAAGCCAATAAAGAGGAAAAAGAAAATAAAAGTCTGGCCAAAAGAACATGTGAACTGATAGTAGTAATATAATAATAACCACAATGAATGTAATATATTTAGAGAGCTAAACTCAACATTTAAAGGACAGTCTTAGTTTGGATAGAAAAATTTAAAAAAAAATCATTCAACAATACATTGTCCAAAAGATACAATGTAAGGGATATAGAAACTAGAAAAAAAATACAAGAAATAACAGAGGAATGTTAGCCAAAAGAAGATGAGATATTAACCATCTTAATATGTGATAAAATAGAATTCAGGCAAAAAATTACAAAAGATGAAAAAATTATATTTAAATAAAAAGAACAATAAAGCAAGATAAACTAACAATTGTGAATATTTGTACCTAACACTATAACATCAGAATATATAATGCAACCATTGTAGGGAGAAATAGATGAACGAACTATGGTAGTTGTAGATTTTTGACACAATCCTCTGTAATAAGATAGGAAAAAAATTGCAGATACAAAAGCTCTGAACAAGGCAAATAAGTTTGAGTAATTAGTTTTATATATATATATATATATATATATATATATATATATATATATAAACTCTCAGCAACACTCAGCACCCATTTTATGCATTCTCATAGAATATTTACAAAACTTGACCATGTACAGAGAGAGTTTTGATACAGCCCAAGGACTAATAATAAAATAAGCATAGTAACACATAGTTAAGTGCTTACAATTTGTGAGGTACAGTTCTTAATAATTTGAATCCTACGAAAACCTTTGAAATAGGTCTATTATCATTTCCATTTTGCAAGTGATGAAACTAAGGCACACATAAGCTAAGTGACTTGTCTGTCCAATTCGCTCAGCAGTGCAATTACTCTTAACCATTATGATATACTAATAACATTGCACTGATGAATTTGAAAATCTGCAGGGCACATGAAAAAGAAACAATAATTATGCAAAGAATTATTTCATCTTGATATTAGAAAGACAAAAACCCAAGAGAAAGAGGAGCAATGCAATTCAGGGAAATGAAAATTTAAAGGACTGATAAAAATATGAAGATATGCTCAGTCTTAGTAGTAGTAGGAACATCTTCCTTGTCAGATTAGCAACACAAGGATGTATACTGCAGCACTTTTGGTGAAAGGGGGAAAAATAGAGCAAATGCTTGTCAATCTCAGAATGGTGGATTATATTGTGGTATATCCAGACAATAAGTACTCTGTGGAACTTAAAAAGAATGAGCTAGAGTTTAAAATTGGAAGGATTTCTAAATGTACAGAGAAAAGCAAGTTGTAGAGGAATGTTTCTAATATGATCTGCTTTTTTTATGAACAATGAGTCTCCAAAAACTGTATGTACGTAAATTTGGATATTAATATGTAAATTATATGAGCTCGAAACTATAGAACACCGATTACTTGGAGGAATGGGGATGCAGAAGTCTGGAAGGAAGCAGGGCATGTGTGCACACACAGTTCATAAGGGAAAAAGTGTTCATAATAAAAAAATCTCACTTATGTAAAATTTATTTATATATCCAGAGGTGGCATTAAAAATATTTAACAACCGGTATGGCACAGGTACAGACCAATCAGAACAGATGCTGGGCAGTACATTGTACGGGTGTGTGCTCACTGAATATCAGCACTGTTATTTCCCTACATACTTGTGCGTTTATTTCTGTGGGATGGATTCCTTGGAGTCGGATTGCTAGGTCAAAGGGTATGTGTATTTCTAATTTTAAAAGGAATTGCGAGATTGCTGTCCAAGAAGACTGTAGCAATTCACATTTCTTCTAGCAGTGTAAGAGTAGTCATTTTTCCCCATATCCCAACAGCCATGGAGAGCATATCAATCACTGAGCAGGGAAATATTCTAAGATAGGCAAATATTCTGTCTCTCAGCTGGAAGCCTCAGCTGTTGAAAAGAGTGAAAGGAGCTTGTGGTTTTAAAGAAGGTCTCTGACATGCTAATCTTAAACTCTGAATACTATGTGCTTGAGGTAGAATGCAACCAGCTGCTCCAGCCTCCCCCGACCCCGTAATCCCCACCAGCTCCAATTTAGGCCTTGCCCTTTCTTCCTAGGCTGAGGTGATAATTTTATTGCAGCGGATGTTCCCATCTTTGAGGTATGTGGTGCCATTTAACGCTTTTATCACTAAACCCAGGATTTCATGGTTCCCTTAGCAAACGGACACCATAATAACTTACTACTATTTTTAATAAACCAAAGTTCAAATCAGAAAACTGCAATGACAAAGGCAATGCTGTGGGTAATGCAGACTCATGGTAAACACGTGTGGAAAAGGTGAAGAAGTGAAGCGTTTTCTCTTATGGGATGTAAACATTCATTATTCTTTGGTTAGGGTGTTTGGCCCACTGACCTTGTGGAAAGCTTAAGGGTAGAGAGCAACAGAGAAGAGTCAAATATGATTCAGTTTTCAGATTGGTTTATATATTTATAAAGATAATGATATATTTATAAAGATAATGATATATTTATGATTATATGTTTATTATGATGATATATTTATAAAGAATGAGAAGAATTTTACTAAAAAAATTAAACTCAGTTTTGAACACTGAGTTTTACTTAATAACATTTATTGAAAGCCCATTATATTCTCGGTGCTGGGGATACAGAGATAAATCACACAGTCCCAGCCCTGAAGACACTGTTAGTGTAGAGTTATACATAGACAATTGAAGTATGCTGTATTTTAGTTAAAATGAAATTTTCAGGATATTATGAGCACCTTTTCTACAGAGGCCCAGGATCTATTTTGAGTACAGATTTGGTCATCACTCACCTGCTTTATCAATGCTTCATTACCTCAACTGCAGGATAAAAAAATTCCTCAGCGTGGCTTAGAAGGCCTTTCATCATCCTACTTTTCGACATGTCCTAACTAGGGAATATGGGGAGTATTGCTGGTACTTTGTCCAACTAAGGAGGGGAAAAAAGATTCCTCGTCCTAACCAAGGAATCCTGGGAGTCTTCTTGGCAATGTTGATACTGAGCTTATATTGGGAATTGTGTGAGTCCAGTGAGGTGTAAGAAAAGGGCATTCTGGATGGAGGGAAACCATGTACAAAGGCAGGGCAAGTGAAACATGAGTGGGAAAAGACAAGTGGCTAGTTTAGGTGTGTAGCTTGGATGGAAAGGAAGCCTGGGACAGCAGCAAGAAACTGGTTGAAAAGTAGGCTAATGAAAGGCCTTCTAAGCCATGCTGAGGAATTTTTTTTTTTTTAAATCCTGCAATCGAGGTGGTGAAGGTTGATAAAGCAGGTGAGTAATAACTAAAGAGTTATATTCAAAATAGATCATGGACATCTGTAGAACAGGTGGATTTGAATTTGAGAAGGAGGAGTGGTGGGACTGGAGACAGGAGGCCCCATCACTAGGGGCTGCCAGCACTTCAGCAGCATCTGATGGGATCCTAAGGCAGGGTGGAGGTCACCACCAGCCACAGGGACACAGATTGGGACTCCTCTTTCTAACAGGCATCTTCATGCCACCTATCAGTGTCCCAGACTGCCCACTTCAGTGCCCCCTCCATTGTGTCCCACCTTCCTGTCTCCTCATGTTTTTATCCAGCAAAGTCTATCTTTGTTAGATATTAGAGTAAGCAATCAATTTGACATAGAACCATGAAGTCACAGGCTCATTTTAAGAGGACCACCCTTAATTCTAAATTGGGAGCATTTCAGGTAGAGTTACCTAGTTAAAGAGCAGAATTTTTGGCTGTGTGTGTGTGTCATTTACATTTCATAGCTCGCCACCTGCTCTGCCTGCTTATAAAACCAGCCTTGTGCTGCATACAGCATGGTCTTAGGTGAACAAGTGAGGTTTTTTCTTCTCAACCTTTGACAAAGTCTCTGTATCAATTGATTTGGTTGCAAGAACTAAAAATAACTCTGGCTAATTAAGAAAAGTTATGATGAAGTTGAGAGTGAGGCAGGGTGAATTTCTTGGAAAGATGCATGATGTCTCATAGAATCAAAGGTAAATTGAGTAACCAGGCTGAGGAAGTAAGTAGCTGCAGTGATTTTCAAAGTCAGGAATTGATAAATTGTCCCTCTGTGATACTACCTTACAGGTGACTTGGCTCCCAATTTAGATTCCAGAGGTAAAGCGCTTGGTTGACTTAATTTTCTTACTGTAGCCATCCCTTGGTGAGGGTAAGATGAGGGTGAGGAGCCCCATGGATCAAACTGTATAGTTCCACTTAGAATGGGGGAGAGATAGTGGAATCTGTCACCAGTGGAACAGGAAATGGACACTCATGTTTACAGAATAAAGCTATGAAGGACATTTTTACAAAGGTGATGGAACGATATAGGTTTCATGGCTTCCTTGCAGTAGAAGGCCATTCCAGAAATTAGTTTTGTTTAAAATATGTGGAATCTTCAGTTTAAGGGATTTCTACTTTTCAAGTCCAAGAATATATACTCATAAGATTGTTAAAAATGTAGTTTTTCCATTTCTGACCAGATAAATTGTTCACCGAAGAGTTAATTACAGTAAAAGCTGCGTAAGCAGTCCATGTGTTAGTGGCATGGTACTGGCATAAAGACAATTCCAGAGACCCCTGAACAGTGTTCTTCATGAACTCCAGGCAGCCGGGGTCTCTGGTTTGCTAAGACCCTGGAAGCAGCCTTCACTTGCCTTTTTACAGCAATAACAGATGCTTGGCACCAGTTGATGTTTGCCACCATAAGTTTCTCTCTATTCAAGACCATAAGATGCTTTTCAGCTCTGTTCTGTCTTCATTGTGGAACTTTTTTCCTCCTTCATTAAAGATGGGCAGAATCCTAGTGATTTGGACTCTGGCTTTGACTTGGGAAATAAATTTCATGGAAAAATAGAGTGTGTGCCTTTGCTTTCTAACTTTAGTTTTTACTTGTCTGTGACTCAAACTGAAATTACAGCCTTCTATTATTTTCTCCTTGAATGATTTTTGTCCTGCTTTTAACAAATAAGAAGAATAAATCAGCATGAGAAAACCAGTGTCAGCATTAGAAAATCATGTGTAATAGCAAATGGAAAACCAACACCCATAACTTATAAAAATTAATGGCAGGGTGTGGTACACAGCTGCCCAACTGATGAGAAGAAAGCTATATTGTGAATTGCTGAGGAATTAACTATTGTAAGAGGAGAAGCATAGTAATAGTGGATTTAAGCTGGTAATATCAGTGTAGAGAATGGCAGAGAAGGAGAAACATATTTAAGCATTTGCATGAGAGTCAGTGTCTTTCTTTGATACATAGATATTTTTTTCGCTGTGGAAATATTCAGTGACGACTGCATTGGTTATGACAGTAGCTGCTGGTGAAACTGGAAAACATGAATTATTTTTTTATTTTATCATTATTATTATACTTTAAGTTTTAGGGTACATGTGCACAATGTGCAGGTTAGTTACATATGTATACATGTGCCATGCTGGTGTGCTGCACCCATTAACTCGTCATTTAGCATTAGGTATATCTCCTAATGCTATCCCTCCCCCCTACCCCCACCCCACAACAGTCCCCAGAGTGTGATGTTCCCCTTCCTTTGTCCATGTGTTCTCATTGTTCAATTCCCACCTATGAGTGAGAACATACGGTGTTTGGTTTTTTGTCCTTGCGATAGTTTACTGAGAATGATGATTTCCAGTTTCATCCGTGTCCCTACAAAGGACATGAACTCATCATTTTTTATGGCTGCATAGTATTCCATGGTGTATATGTGCCACATTGAGCTTCTGCACAGCAAAAGAAACTACCATCAGAGTGAACAGGCAACCTACAAAATGGGAGAAAATTTTCGCAACCTACTCATCTGACAAAGGGCTAATATCCAGAATCTACAATGAACTCAAACAAATTTACAAGAAAAAAACAAACAACCCCATCAAAAAGTGGGCGAAGAACATGAACAGACACTTCTCAAAAGAAGACATTTATGCAGCCAAAAAACACACGAAAAAATGCTCACCATCACTGGCCATCAGAGAAATGCAAATCAAAACCACAATGAGATACCATCTAACACCAGTTAGAATGGCAATCATTAAAAAGTCAGGAAACAACAGGTGCTGGAGAGGATGTGGAGAAATAGGAATACTTTTACACTGTTGTGGGACTGTAAACTAGTTCAACCATTGTGGAAGTCAGTGTGGCGATTCCTCAGGGATCTAGAACTAGAAATACCATTTGACCCAGCCATCCCATTACTGGGTATATACCCCAAGGACTATAAATCACGCTGCCATAAAGACACATGCACACGTATGTTTATTGCGGCATTATTCACAATAGCAAAGACTTGGAACCAATCCAAATGTCCAACAATGATAGACTGGATTAAGAAAACATAAATTATTCTAAGCAAAGGAAGATTTAGATGTAAGACACTTTGGCTAAGAGGATCTCAGTATAGACACGGGCAGGAAATCAGAATTTTATTCAGTTCTGAACACTGGACACACTTAAGTGGTATAAGTCAAAGGTGAAAAGAGAAAAATAAAACAAGGAAAGGTGAAATAAAGTTATTTCTCTGACATGGTATGTATCACTTCTGGTCATATACCAATGGTCAGAGCAAGTCATGTAGTCAAGCATACCATCAATAAGAAGGAACAGAGGCTCCGCTACCAGGTGGGATTGGTAAAGAGATGCTGCAAGCATTTTGAACAAATAACTCAATCAGTATCAGTATATTGCTGATATAATTGTATTACTGATACAAGTTTCTAAAATTATCATAGATTCTTAGTTTACATCTTCTTGAGCCATTTTTGCTAATACTTATTTTTCTAGAAAAACTTTCACTTCGTCCAAGTTTTTGAATTTAATACAATAAAGATTTTCATGTTATTCTTTTATTTTGTCTTAAATTTCTGCTGTATCTCTACTATATCCTCTTTTGCCCACTAGTATTCTGCATTTCTGAATTGTGACTAGTATTTTTGATTTGTGACTTCTGTTTTTTTTCCATGATCAATTTTACCAGTATTTTGCCCATTTGTTTTTCAAAAGAAAGGGCTTTGTAGTTGTTATGTATGGTACTTCTTGTTTCTATTGTATAAATGTCTGTCCTTACCTTTTCTGCTTAGCCTACTTTCCCTGGACTTATTTATTATACCTTTTAAAGTCTCTTAAGTCAATATTTAGATAATTTTCACTTTCCTTCTATATAAGCATTTAGCATTATATTCTCATTAGCTGCCTCTCACAGATTTCCACATATAATTGTTTCATTATCTTTCAGTTCTAAATATTTTCTGATTTCCATTATGATTTATTTGATCTACTAATTTGGTATTTTAAATATGTACACTATGCAACGTTGTTAGTTGTATTCTTCTAATAGTCTGTATTTCTAATTATTTCTTGTCTGCTTGAACTATCATTTCTGATAGAAATAAGTTTAAATCATCCACTGAGTCTGGATTTGTGATTTTTCTCCTTGTAATTATCAGTTTTTAAAATATATTGTGAAATTGTGCTATAACTTTCATAGAACAATTTAAGATTGTTATAGTTCCTTGATGAATTTGTCACTTGCTAGTGACAAATTTCTTTCTCACTTTGCTAGTGACTCTATTTCTTGACTTAAAATATATTTTGCCTAATATGAATATAGCTACTTCAGGTTTATTTTACTTATCACTGTGTGGTATATATTTTTATCCCTTTGTTTCCAATATTTTAGTTTCCCTATCTTCTAGGCGTTTTTCTTGTAGCTGGATTTTATTTTTATACTAAAACTTAAAATTTATTTAGGTTTATTTAGTACATTGACATTTATTGTGATTGATACATTTGAATTTTTTAAAGCCATCTCATTTTGTATTATTTTCTTGGTTAGAAGTATAGTAAGTTAATAGAATCCAAACTTACATGAGGGTAGTTGCTGGCTATGGGAGCTGCACCCCAGGATAAAACATACAATTGTACTTTTCATTTTCCTTTTCCAGGGGGTGGATTTTTTTTCTCTTTACAGAGGGAGTACCTCTTTAGGAACCCCATACTGATGTGTGTTACTTTGTTCTCTCTCTTTTTAAAAAAATTTAGCCCAAGGCCTTATCTTATGTCCCTGTATGGTTGCTTTAATTCAAATCCCTATGAGATTGACAACGGCTCAGGGTCACTAGGGCCAATCCTTATTTTTAGTTTTCTCTTTGTCTTTTTGGCTCCTGGACTTTTTTGTTTTAATTGTGAGTTCAGCTATAAACTTAAAAGAATATTTGGTATATTTTGCTCTGTCTTTGTGAGTGTTTTGAGGTATAAAGTATTGCTTCAGGATATCTTATCTACCA
Organism: Homo sapiens; assembly: GCF_000001405.40. Lineage (NCBI taxonomy): Eukaryota > Metazoa > Chordata > Mammalia > Primates > Hominidae > Homo > Homo sapiens. The sequence continues at coordinate 118,733,314 of NC_000001.11, read as the reverse complement.
TATCTCTGAAAATAAAACTGCTACCATGTTTTTTGTTTTGTTTTGTTGTTGTTATTGTTTTTAATTGAAAGTTTATCACTACTCCCTCCTTTCCATGCTTTCTTTCTTTTGGATGTATACATCCTTTAAATCCCTTCATTCCAGCTATAGTTACTGGATTCTTGAGAAAATAGATTTGGCACCTCCCATAAACTTTTCCCAAAGATTTCACCAAACAGGAGTATGTATGTGTACATGTTCAATTATGAAAAGATCTTTATATAGTTCTGGTGTTGGTATAAATTTGCATTAGCACCATGCTTAAGTTGTGATATAAACTTCATTTTTTCCAAATGAGTAATATTGGAATGTTACCAAAGCCTGAAATGCAAAATACAAAAAAACAAAATTATTTTTACAAATTAAGTCATGTATGCACTTCTTGTCCAGTGTGCCAAAGCTGAAATTTGATTTAGAAACCTGGAGGGTCTATGGTTTCTGTTCTTGAAAGATGCCTGATCATGACTATTCTAGTTTGTATGCATTTTGTAGAGTGAGATAAGTTATTTTTGTTACAGTTTGCAAATCCTAGCAATGATCTCTCAATGTTCAACTTTACATGAAATTTTAAGATGATATTTGAATGAAGTAAACTCCAAATACAGCAATCCATATTGACAGGAAAGTCTAGAATCAAATTAAAATGTTGAATTTGTCAATGAGGGGCTGAAGGACAGAACTTCAAGTTCTATAACACAGTGAAATTTTCTAGTCTCCTTTGTGACATTCCAATATCAAACTTGATCTTTAACAGTTTCATTATAGTGCAAACTTCATTAATAATCAAGCATTACACCAACATTTGGGAGCCAAAACACAGATTTTGACCACCAAATGTAACAATTATGATTTTAATGGGCAATTACTAAGTGGATGCTTTGTGCCAATAAATAAGCGTATCATGTTGCTTATCTTTTATTTGCAACCCTGCAAATAAGGAAAAGAGGCTCAAGAAGGTTAAATAATGCACGACCTTTCCTTCTGATCTTCTTTTTCTAAAATTAATTGGCCAAATTTTGAGAAATATATGCATTTGGCAGAGTTTCTCTAACAAGGATTTTTTTTAAAAATTCATTACTTTGAGAAATATTTATTGAACACATATCTCATGCCATAAACTCTGTTAGGCTTTCAGATGTCACTGTATTAATTTTTTTTCCTTTCTATTTGTACAAATATATGGAGCGCATTTGCAATTTTGTTACATGCATATACTGTGTTGGTCAAGTTAGGGCTTTTAGGATATTCATCACCCAAGCAATGTACATTGTACTCATTTTCCAATTTCTCCTCATTCTCCCCTCTCCCACCACCTCGCCATTCTGAGTCTTCATTGTCTATCACTCCACTCTCTATGTCCATGTGGATACTTCCTTTTTCACATTCATTTATAAGACAGAACGTGATATTTATTTTTCTGTGCCTGGCTTGTTTCACTCAAGATAATGACCTCCAATTCTGTCCATGTTGCTACAAAGGACGTGATTTCACTTTTTTATGGCTTTTAGTACTAGTAGTATTTTATACTAGTAATACTATATATATAATATATATTACATATAGTATAAATTATATATGGTATATTATATTTAATATTATAGAGTTATATACTATATTTAATATAATTAAATATATTTAATATAATTTAATATTATAAGTATAATATTAAATTATATTTAATATTATAGTTATATATTATGTATTATATATAAATTTATTTAATATTATAGTTATATATTACATACTATATATAAAATAATATAAATATACTAGTATTTAGTAATATTTTAGCTATAAAATACTTTGTGGATTGCATATATATTGTGTGTATATACATATATATACCACATTTTCTTTATCCGTTCATTCGTTGATGGGCACTTAGGTTGATTCCCTATCTTTGTTATTGTGAATAGTGCTGCAATATACATATAAAAATAGGTATCTTTTTGATAAATTGATTTCTTTTATTTTGGGTAAATACATAGCAGTGAGATTGCTGGATCAAATGGTAGCTCTATTTCTAGTTTTTTGAGAAATCTTCATACTTTTTTCCATAGTTTCCATAATTTACATTCCCACCAACAGTGTATAAGAGTTCCCTTCTCTCGGCTGGGCACCGTGGCTCACGCCTATAATCCCAGTACTTTGGGAGGCCAAGGTGGGCGGATCACAAGGTCGGGAGTTCAAGATCAGCCTGGCAAATATGGTGAAACCCCATCTGCACTAAAAATACTAAAATTAGCCGGGCGTGGTGGCAGGCTCCTGTAGTCCCAGCTACTTGGGAGGCTGAGGCAGGAGAATCGCTTGAAGGGGTGAGGCAAAGATTACAGTGAGCCAAGACTGTGCCACTGCACTCCAGCCTGGGTGACAAAGCGAGAGAGACTCCGTCTCAAAAGAAAAAAAAAAAAAAAAGAGTTTCCCTCTCTCCACATCCTCACCAATATCTATTATTTGTTGTCTTTTTAGTAATAGCATCAGGTCTACACAATATCCCTGATCAGACATAGCCCGAGAAATGTTAATTTAACAAAAACAAATAGAGACCGCAAAATGCCTTTAAGATACATAATAAATCATATTTTAAATAAACCAATTTTTTTTTTGAGACAGTCTTACTCTGTTGCCCAGGCTTGAGTGCAGTGTTGGGATCTAGGCTCACTGCAACCTCCGCCTCCTGGGTTCAAGCGATTCTCTGTGCCTCTGTTTGGCACCACCACTCCCGGCTAATTTTTGTATTTTTAGAAAAAACAGGGTTTCGCCATGTTGGCCAGCCTGGTCTTGAAGTCATGACCTCAGGTGATCCACCCACCTCTGCCTCCCAAAGTGCTGAGTTACAGGTGTTAGCCACCACTCCTGGCCTGAACCAACATTTCTTGAAGGGTCTTTATTTCCATCTTTCTCTCCCTATCAGGTCACCAGCATTTCTGAGTGCGTCTGTTTCTTCTACACTCTTTCATCCTTTCTATTTTATTTTTGGGTTTTTAAAAGCTTTATTGAGGTATAATTTATATACAAAATTAGCACATATTCAATGCCTCCATTTTGTGGGGTTTGTATATGTGGATACAACTGTAATAGCATCACCACAATCAAGATATGAAACAAATTTACCACCTCTAAAAATTTCCCTATGTTCTTTGTGGGCTTTTTTTGTGCATGTGTTTTAAGAACACTTACCATGAGATTTATCCTCTCTCTCTCTCTCTATATATATAAAATATATAAATATAAATATATATAAAATATATAAATATAAATATAAATATATAAAATATATAAATATAAATATAATATATAAATATATAATATATAATATATAAATATAGACTATATATAAATATAAATATATATACCATATATAAATATAAATGTATATATATCTAATTTTACTTTAAGTTCTGGGCTACATGTGCTGAATATTCAGGTTTCTTGCATAGGTATGCATGTGCCATGGTGGTTTGCTGCCCCTCTCAACCAGTCATCTAAATGCACAATATTATATTGTTAACTATAAGTCCTACGTTGTACAACAGACATCTAATATTTATTTGTCTTGCATAACAGAAACTCTATAGCCATTGTCTCAGTTTGGTTTGGCTGATGTAACAATATACCATATACTGGGTTGCTTACAAACAAGAGTTTATTTCTCACAGTTCTGGAGGCTAGGAAGTCCAAGATCAATGTGCCGGCAGATTTGGTGTCTGGTGAGGGTCCACTTTCTCACAGAAAACCATCTTCTCACTCTAACTTCGCCTGGGAAAAGGGGAGAGGAGTCTCTCTTAGGCCTCTTCTACAAGGGCACTAATCTCATTTACCAGGTTTCCACTTCCAAGACCTCATCATCTCCCAAAGGTCCCACCTCCTAATACCATTACCTTGAGGGTATTTTGATATAAGATGTTTTTGAGACATAAATATGCAGACCATAGCACCTTTTGAGCAAAAATTCTCCAATTCCTTCTTCCCCAACCCTTGCCAACCACCATTCTATTCTCTCTCCTAGGAATTTGACTACTTTACCTACTTCATATAAATGGAATTATGCAATATGTGTCTTTTGTGATTACTTATTTCACTCAGCATAGTGTCCTCTAGGTTCATTCATGTTGTCACAAATGGTAGGTTTTCCTCTTCTTAAAGGTAGAATAATATTCTATTATATGTATATACAACATAATTTTTATCCATTTATCTACTGATGGATGTTTGGATTATTTTCTTATCTGGACTATTGTGATAATGCTGCTGTGAACATGGAGATGCAGATATCTCTTTGAGATTCTGATTTACTTGTTTTGGATATATACCCAGAAGTGAGATGGCTGGATTATATAGTTCTTTCTTTAATTTTTTGAGGAATCTTCACACTATTTTTCATAGCGGTTGCACCATTCTACTTTCCCACCAGCAGTATATAAGGGCTCCAATTTCTCCACATCCTTGAAGAAAGTATCTGTTTTTTTCCCCATTATAGCCATTTTAACAGTATGAGATAGTATTTCACTGTGGTTTTTATCTGCATTTTCCTGATGATTATCAATGTTGAGCATCCTTTCATACACACGGTAGGTATTTGTACATCTTCCATGGAGATATGTCTGTCCAAGTCCTTTGCCTGTATTTTAATTGGTTTATTTGTTTCTTTTTGCTATGTAGCTGTAAGAGATTCCTTTGGATATTAAACCCTTATCAGATGTATGGTTTGCAAATATTTTTTCCCATTCCGTAGGTTCTATTCACTCTGTTGATAATTTTGTTTTCTCTGTTGAAGGTTTTTAGTTTGAGGTAATTTGATTTTTGTCTATTTTTGCTTTTTTTTTGTTCATGCTTTGGGGTCATACACAAAAAATCATTATTCAGACCACTGTCATGGAGGTTTTCCTCTGTTTCTTTTTTCTAGTAGTAGTTTTATAGTTTCAGGTCTTATTTTTAGGAATTTAATACATTTTGAGTTGATTTTTGTGTATGATGTAATGGGGTCCCATTTCACTTTTTTTTTTGCATGTGTATATCCATTTTTCCCAACACCATTTGATGAAGAAACTATGTTTTCTTCATTGTGTGTTCTTGACACTGTTATCAAAGATAAGTTGACCATCTATGTGTGATTTATGTCTGGGCTTTCTATTTTGTTCCATTGGTCTATGTATCTGTTTTTATGTTGGTACCATACTGTTTTGATTACTATAGTTTTGTAGTGGATTTTTAAATCAGGTAGTGTGATGCCTCTGGCTTTGTTCATTTTGTTCAAGACTGCTTTGGCTATTTGGGTTTTTCTGTGGTTCCATAAAAACTTCAGGATTTAAATAAATTTCTGTGAAAAATATCATGGGGGTTTTTGTAGGAATTGCATTAAATTTGTAGATTACTTTGGGTATTATGAACACTTTAATAATGTTAATTTTTTAAACCATGAACACAGAATATCTTTCCATTTATTTGTGTCTTCTTCAAGTTATTTCATCAATGTTTAATATTTTTCAGTGTACAGTTTTCACTTATTTGGTTAAACTTATTCCTAAGTATTTCAGTGCTTAGGAATAATCACTTAATTTGATGCTGTCATAAATAAAAAGTTTCCTTGATTTCCTTTTCAGATAGATTATTGTTAGTGTACAGAAAAGCTACTAATTTTTGTGTGTTGATTTTGTATCATGCAACTTTACTGAATTTATTTATTTCAACTTTTTTAAATTTTTATTTTACTTTCAGTTCTGGGATACGGGTGCAGAATGTGCAGGTTTGTTACATAGGTATACGTGTGCCATGGTGGTTTGCTGCACCTATCAACCCGTCATCTAGGTTTTAAGCCTTGCATGCATTAGATATTTGTCCTAATGCTCTCCCTCCCCTTTCCCCACACACCCTGACAGGCCCCAGTGTGTGATGTTCTCCTCCTTGTGTCCATGTGTTCTCATTGTTCTCCTCCCACTTATGAGAACATGCAGTGTTTGGTTTTCTGTTCCTGTGTTAGTTTGTTAAGGCTGATGGTTTCCAGCTTCATCTATGTCCCTGCAAAGAATATGAACTCATGCTTTTTTATGGCTGCACGGTATTCCATGGTGTATATGTGCCACATTTTCTTTATCCAGTCTATCATTGATGGACATTTGGGTTGGTTCCACATCTTTGCTATTGTAAATAGTGCTGCAATAAACATGCATGTGCATGTGTCTTTATAGTAGAATGATTTTTGATCCTTTGGGCATGTACACAGTAATGGGATTGCTGGGTCAAATGGTATTTCTGGTTCTATATCTTTGAGGAATTCCCATATTGTCTTCCACAATGATTGAACTAATTTACACTCCCACCAACAGTGTAAAAGCATTCCCATTTCCCCACACCTTCACCAGCATCTGTTGTTTCCTGACTTTTTAATGATCGCCATTCTAACTGGCATGAGATGGTATCTCCTTGTGGTTTTGATTTGCATTTCTCTAATGATCAGTGATGATGAGCTTCTTTTCAGACGTGTTTTGGCCACATAAATGTCTTCTTTTGAGAAGTGTCTGTTCATATTCTTCACTCACTTTTTGATGGGGTTCTTTGTTTTTTTCTTGTAATTTGTTTAAGTTCCTTGTAGATTGTGGATATTAGCCCATTGGCAGATGGATAGATTGCAAAAATTTTCTCCCATTCTGCAAGTTTCCTGTTCACTCTGATGCTAGTTTCTTTTGTCCTGCAGAAGCTCTTTAGTTTAATTAGATCCCATTTGTCACGTTTGGCTTTTGTAGCAATTGCTTTTGGTGTTTTAGTCATGAAGTCTTTGCCCATGCCTATGTCCTGAATGGTATTGCCTAGGTTTTCTTCTAGGGTTTTTATGGTTTTAGGTCTTATGTTTAAGTCTTTAATCCATCTTAAGTTAATTTTTGTATGAGGTGTAAGGAAGGGGTCCAGTTTCAATTTTCTACATATGGCTAGCTAGTTATTCCAGCACCAGATATTAAACAGGAAATCCTTTCCCCATTGCTTGTTTTTGTTAGGTTTGTCAAAGATCAGATGGTTGTAGATGTGTAGTGTTATTTCTGAGGCCTCTGTTCTGTTCCATTGGTCTATATATCTGTTTTGGAACCAGTACCATGCAGTTTTGGTTACTGTAGGTTTGTATTATAGTTTGAAGTCAGGTAGCATGATGCCTCCAGCTTTGTTCTTTTTGCTTAGGGTTGTCTTGGATATATGAGCTCTTTTTGGGTTCCATATGAAATTTAAAGTAGTTTCTTTTTAGTTCTGTGAAGAAAGTCAATGGTAGCTTGATGGGAATAGCATTGAATCTGTACATTACTTTGGGCAATATGGCCATTTTCATGATACTGATTCTTCCTATCCATGAGCATGGATTTTTTTTTTCCATTTGTTTGTGTCCTCTCTTATTTCCTTGAGCAGTGGTTTGTAGTTCTCCTTGAAGAGGTCCTTCACATCCCTTGTAAGTTGTATCCCTAGGTGTTTTATTTTCTTTGTAGCAATTGTGAATGGGAGTTCACTCAGGATTTGGCTCTCTGCATGTCTATTATTGGTGTATAGGAATGCTTGTGATTTTTGCACATTGATTTTGTATCCTGAGACTTTGTATTCCAAAATCTGGCAGAGACACAACAAGAAAAAAAATTTCAGGCCAATATCTCTGATGAACTTTGATGTGAAAATCCTCAATAAAATACTTGCAAACTGAATCCAGCAGCACATTAAAAAGCTTATCCACCATGATCAAGTTGGCTTCATCTCTGGGATGCAAGGCTAGCTCAACATATGCAAATCAATAAACGTAATCCATCACAAGAACAGAACCAATGACAAAAAGCACACGATTATCTCAATAGATGCAGAAAAGCCCTTCGATAAAAATTCAACATCCCTTCACGCTAAAAACTATCAATTAACTAGATGTAGAATGAATATATCTCAAAATAATAAGAGTTATTTATGACAAACCCATAGCCAATATCATACTGAATGGGCAAAAGCTGGAAGCATTCCCTTTGAAAACCGGCACAAGACAAGGATGCCCTCTCTCACCACTCCTATTCAACATGGTATTGGAAGTTCTGGCCAGGGCAATCAGTCAAGAGAAAGAAATAAAGGGTATTCAAATAGGAAGTGAGAAAGTCAAATTGTCTCTGTTTGTAGATGACATGATTGTATATTTAGAAAACCCCATTGTCTCAGCCCCAAAACTTCTGAAGCTGAGTTCATTTATTAGTTCTAACAGGTTTTATTTTTGTTGGTGGAGTCTTTAGAGTTTTCTATATCTAAGGTCATGTTATATGCAAACAGAAACGTTTTCACTTCTTTTTTTCCAGTTTCTTTCTTTCTCTTGCAAATTGTTCTGGTTGGAACTTCCAGTACTATGTTAACTAGAAGTGGCGAGAATGTGCATCCTTGTCTTATTTCTGATCTTAGAAGGAAGATGATATGGTTTGGCTGTGTTCCTCCCCAAATCTCAACTTGAATTGTATCTCCCAGAATTCCCACATGTTGTTGGAGGAACCCCGAGTGGGGGGTGATTTAATCATGGGGTTGGTTTTTCCAGTGCTATTCTCGTAATAGTGAATAAGTCTCACAAGATCTGATGGGTTTATCAGGGGTTTCTGCTTTTCTTCTCCCCCATTTTCTCTTGCCACCACCGTGTAAGAAGTGCTTTTTCCCTCCTGCCATGATTCCGAGGCCACCCCAGCCATATGGAACTGTAAGTCCAATTATATTACTTTTTCTTCCCAGTCTCGGGTATGTCTCCATCAGCAGTGTGAAAACCGACTAATATAAAAAGCTTTCAACTTTTCACTGCTGAGTGTGATATTAACTGTAGGTTTGTCATATGTGGGTGGTATTATGTTGAGGTACTTTCTTTCTATACCAATTTGTTGAGAATTTTTATCATGAAATGGTATTGAATTTTGTCTAATGCTTTTTCTGCATCTATTGAGATGATGATATACAGTTTTTGTTCTACATTCTGTAAATGTGATGTATTACATTTCTTGCTTCATATATGTTAAGCCATCCTCACTTCCCAGAGATAAATCCCACTTGGTCATGGCATATGATCCTTTAATGTGCTGTTAAATTTGGTTTGCTAATATTTTGTTGATAATTATTGCATTTATGTTCATTAAGGGTATTGGCTTGTAATTTTCTTTTCTTGTAGTATCCTTGGCCTGTGGCTTTCTTTTTTTGTGGTGTCTTTGTCTGGTTTTGGTATCAAGGTAATGTTGACTTCATAAAATTAGTTTACATGTGTTCCCTTCTCTTCAATTCTTTTTTTTTTTTTTTTTTGAGACAGAATCTCGCTCTGTCACCCAGGCTGGAGTGCAGTGGCGCGATCTTGGCTCACTGCAAGCTCCGCCTCCTGGGTTCACGCCATTCTCCTGCCTCAGCTTCCCGAGTACCTGGGACTACAGTCGCCCGCCACCACACCCAGCTAATTTTTTGTATTTTTAATAGAGAAGGGGTTTTACCGTGTTAGCCAGGATGGTCTCGATCTTCTGATCTCGTGATCCACACACCTTGGCCTCCCAAAGTGCTGGGATTACCCGCGCGAGCCACCGGGCCTGGCCCTCTTCAATTCTTTTTAAAAAAGCTTGAAAAAGATTAGCATAAACTCTTCAAATTATTGGCAAGATTCACCAGTGATGCCATATGGTCCTGAGCTTTGTTCATTGAATTTTTCAAAAAATTCCCAGTTCAATCTCCTTATTCTTTGTTTATATTTTTTAGTTCTCATAATTTAGTCTTTGTAGGATGTGCATTTCTAGGAATTTATCTCATCTGTCTCGGTTACTCAATTTTTTGGTTTATATATACATATTCATCATATTCTTTTGTGATTCTTTACATTTCTACAGCATTAGTTGTAATGTCTCATTTTCCATAGCTAATTTTATCTTGTTGCTTCTTTTCTTTTTTTCCTTAGGCTAAATGTCTGTCAAATTTGTTTATTTTTCAAGAAGGCAACTGAGTTTTTATCTTTTCTATTGTTTTTCTAGTCCATTTTATTTATTTCTGATGATATCTTTATTTCCTTTCTTTTGCTAACATTGGGCTTAGTTCTTGTTTCTTGAGGTATAAAATTATGTTGTTTATTTTAGATCTATTTTCTTTCTTAATGTAGGCATTTATTGCTATAATTTTTCTTCTTAGTATTACTTTTGCTGCATGCCATTCATTAGCTTTGGTATGATGTTTTTTCTTCATTTATGTACAAATAATTTTTATTTCCCTTTTTATTTATTCTTTGACCCATTGGTTGTTTAACAGTGTGTAGTTTAATTTCCACATTTTTTTAGTTTTACAGTTTCCTCCATTTATTGATTTCTAGTTTCATATCATTGCATTCTTTTTTAAAAATTATTATTATACTTTGTTTAAAGGGTACATGTGCACAATGTGCAGGTTGGTTACATATGTATACATGTGCCATGACGGTGTGCTACACCCATTAACTTGTCATTTAGCATTAGGTATATGTCCTAATGCTATCCCTCCCCCCTCCCCCCACCCCACAACAGTCCCGGGTATGTGATGTTCCCCTTCCTGTGTACATGTATTCTCATTGTTCAATTTACACCTATGAGTGAGAACATGCGACGTTTGGTTTTTTTGTCCTTGTGATAGTTTGCTGAGAATGATGGTTTCCAGCTTCATCCATGTCCCTACAAAGGACATGAACTCATCATTTTTTATGGCTGCATAGTATTCCATGATGTATATGTGCCACATTTTCTTAATCCAGTCTATCACTGTTGGACATTTGGGTTGGTTCCAAGTCTTTGCTATTGTGAATAGTGCCGCAATAAACATACGTGTGCATGTGTCTTTATAGCAGCATGATTTATAGTCATTTGGGTATATACCCAGTAATGCGATGGCTGGGTCAAATGGTATTTCTAGTTTTAGATCCCTGAGGAATCGCCACACTGACTTCCATAATGGTTGAACTAGTTTACAGTCCCACCAACAATGTAAAAGTGTTCCTATTTCTCTACATCCTCTCCAGCACCTGTTGTTCCCTGACTTTTTAATGATTGCCATTCTAACTGATGTGAGATGGTGTCTCATTGTGGTTTTGATTTGCATTTCTCTGATGGCCAGTGATGGTGAGCATTTTTTCATGTGTTGTTTGGCTGCATAGATGTCTTCTTTTGAGAAGTGTCTGTTCACGTCCTTCGCCCACTTTTTGATGGGGTTGTTTGTTTTTTTCTTGTAAATTTGTTTGAGTTCATTGTGGATTCTGGATATTAGCACTTTGTCAGATGAGTAGGTTGTGAAAATTTTCTCCCATTTTGTAGGTTTCCTGTTCACTCTGATGGTAGTTTCTTTTGCTGTGCAGAAGCTCTTTAGTTTAATTAGATCCCATTTGTCAACTTTGGCTTTTGTTGCCATTGCTTTTGGTGTTTTAGACATGAAGTCCTTGCCCATGCCTATGTCCTGAATGGTAATGCCTAGGTTTTCTTCTAGGGTTTTTATGGTTTTAGGTCTAACGTTTAAGTCTTTAATCCATCTTGAATTAATTTTTGTATAAGGTGTAAGGAAGGGATCCAGTTTCAGCTTTCTACATATGGCTAGCCAGTTTTCCCAGCACCATTTATTAAATAGGGAATCCTTTCCCCATTGCTTGTTTTTCTCAGGTTTGTCAAAGATCAGATAGTTGTAGATATGTGGCATTATTTCTGAGGGCTCTGTTCTGTTCCATTAATCTATATCTCTGTTTTGGTACCAGTACCATGCTGTTTTGGTTACTATAGCCTTGTAATATAGTTTGAAGTCAGGTAGTGTGATGCCTCCAGCTTTGTTCTTTTGACTTAGGATTGACTTGGCGATGCGGGCTCTTTTTTGGTTCCATATGAACTTTAAAGTAGTTTTTTCCAATTCTGTGAAGAAAGTCATTGGTAGCTTGATGGGGATGGCATTGAATCTATAAATTACCTTGGGCCGTATGGCCATTTTCATGATATTTATTCTTCCTACCCATGAGCATGGAATATTCTTCCATTTGTTGGTATCCTCTTTTATTTCATTGAGCAGTGGTTTGTAGTTCTCCTTGAAGAGGTCCTTCATGTCCCTTGTAAGTTGGATTCCTAGGTATTTTATTCTCTTTGAAGCAATTGTGAATGGGAGTTCACTCATGATTTGGATCTCTGTTTGTCTGTTATTGCTGTATAAGAATGTTTGTGATTTTTGTACATTGATTTTGTATCCTGAGACTTTGCTGAAGTTGCTTATAATTTGTGAATCTCTATTTCAGGATGGTTACTGAAGATTTATTTTATTCCTTTATTGTGTCATGTTTTTTTGATTCTTCACATTCCTTGAATTATTGTATTGGTGTCTGTGCATTTGAAGAATTTGTGCCTTTTACCAGTCTCTCAGAGCAGTGTTAGTTGTAGAAGGATGGCTGCCCCTTTTCCTGTTTCCCCTATCTGTTCCAGGTGTCCATACTCTGCTGGCAACTTCAGTGCTTGGTATGAGGTGAGAGAGAGACTGACTCCATGGGGAAATACATTGAAACAGTGGGAATAAGGCACACTTTGTTTCTCTTCTTCCTTCCTGGAAAAAAAAAAAAAAACACCTTGGTTCTGTGCCTTTTTCTAGTCTAGCAGAGCAGTGACAGGTGTAGAAGAATGTTCCTTCTCCTTTGCTCCTTGCTGTCTGAGGCACTCAGGTTTCATTGATCTTTTAGTGCACAGTATGAGGCAAAACGGAGATAGGCCCCTTCAGGAGTGCACCAAAAAGCCAGGAGGCATCTCTCTTTCCCCTCTATGGGAGAAGTCATGGGTCATACCAAGCTTCTTGGATTTGAGCTTGCTAACTTGGAGGAGGGCTTGATGTGCACAAAGTAAATTTGCTCTTCTTACCTGTATTGGCACATTTTTTTTCCTCAGCTTTTTGCTCATCTGGAATGCTTAAATTTATTAACTGGATTCTGTATTTCTCACATAGGTGCTCTCATCTGAATATTGTCATTATATCAGTGTTTTGGTAGAGGAACAAGGGCTAGGACTTCTTACTCGATGATCTTTCTGATGTTACTCCTGATGAAGATATTGTTGGAGAAGCATGGTGGCTCATGCCCTTAATCCCAGCATTTTGGGAAGCCAAGGCGGGCAGATCACTTGAGGCCAGGAGTTTGAGACCAGCCTGTCCAACATGGTGAAGCCCTGCCTCTACAAAAAATACAAAAATTAGCCAGGTGTGGTGGTGCACTTCTGTAATCCCAGCTGCTTGGGAGGCTGAAGCACGAGAATTACTTGAAACTGGGAGGTGAACCAAGATAGAACCACTGCACCTCAGGCTGAATGACAGAGCAAGACCCTGTACACACACACACACACACACACACACACACACACACACACACACACACGATATTGTTAATGTGCTTTATATCTCTGCAAAGTTGATGGAAAGTTGCAAACTTTACAAGGGGTTGAGGTTGATTGGCTAAGGGGTGATGACATAACTTTGGAAGTTTATGTGAAGACTAGTAGAAATTAATCAGATGGCTTTGTTACAATGGCCATGATTAGATGTTCACTCAAGCTTACCTATTATTTTCCTTTTAAACTAGTGGTAGGATTGGGAACATCTCACTGCATATATGTCAAACTATTTACTAAAAATATAGAATTTAGAAACTTTTTGATTATGGCATAGCATAGTGTCGGGATTATCTTGGAATGTTAAAGCATGGAAAGGTATATTTCTTCCTAAGGGCATAGTCGATGTTTATTTGTTTACATATTTATTTGCACAAGCTTCACAAGTAATTTTGATGTAATGGTCAAATGACTCACATAGTTCATCTATCATTCATTATTTCATGCTTTCATGACAAAGTTTGTAACAGAACAGGACTGCTTCATTGCCAACATTAGATGTAGGGAGAAAACAAATTCCTTTTGAATGCAGTAGTTTATTTTTTATTTTTTCCTAATCTGAAGATGCCAAGCCTATGAAAAAGGATGTTAATTCCCTATCATTGGATGGTTCTGATCTCCCCTGCCATTTTCATAAATACATTATGGAAACATAAGCAAGCTTCAAATTCTGTTAAAGAAGTGTGTGTGTGCGTGTGTGTGTGTGTGGGGTTGAATATTTACGTACACACATACAGGCTGAATACTCTTTATATGAAATTCTTGGAACAAGAAGTATTTTGAATTTTAGATGTTTTTCAAGTTTGGAGATGTTTGCCTTATACTTACTAGTTAAGCATCCCAAATCCAAAAATGCAAAGTCTGAAATGCTCCACTGAGCATTTCCTTTGAGTGTCATGCTGGTACTTGAAAAGTTTTCGATTTTGGAGCATTTCAGCAAGGGGCACAGCAAGTGCAAAGGCACTGAGGCTCAATGGAAGAGGGCACATTGAAGGGACTGAAAGGTGGCTGGAGAGCAGAAAACACATCTGGATGTGTATTGGTGAGAAGCTTATCTGCTTGATACATATATATATATATATATGTAATTGTTTTGACCCTTTAAGAAGATTAATTGAAATATCTCCTTTGCTGCCCTCTCTACTTTAGCTTCCTCTTTTTTCTGTCATAATCAAAAATGTTTCCTAGTTTTTTTGCAGAGGGTAGGGGGAGCTAATTGGGTCACATAGAATGGAACCTTAATACTTGCTTAAATTTAGACTTAAAATATGAATCTAAAAGAATGTTTTATGAGCCCAGACAAAATATAAAGAAAAAATTTTATATTAAGAATTCCGAATTGTCAATCCTCTTGACCATCTTTTGAGTAGATATGATTGGGTTTAGGCTGGTACGGTTAACAAAAAAACAATTAGTCCCTTAGTAGTATAAAAGACTTTTTAGAAAAAAATTAGGCGTGTTTTCCAGTATACTCAATGTTATTGGTTGAGGAAAGGAATGGCAGCACAAATTATGAGGTGGCCAGTCCTTCACTTCTGAATGCTAACCTACAGGATGATACTTTCTTCTGACTTTTCTTAATAAATTATAAGATTTAAAGTCATAGGCATTCTGGTGGTTTGCAGCCTCATAATAACCCTTCCAGAAGAACCTAAACTAGTCTCAGGTAATTATTTGTCTTTCGAATCTAATACCTTTTCTCCACCTTGCCAAGTCATTTGATGTGCGCCAGTTGGTGGAAGGAAAATTATAAATACCATTACCATCCGTCACTGCTGCAAATCACTGAAGTGGGATCCCTCTGCCTGTGTTTATCTAGCAACCAGTGTTGTGTTGCTAGTGTGAAGCTCACCCCACATGAACTCTTCAATCATTTAGCAGGACCTTTCAGCTTCTCCTTTAGGAGCAAGATCCAGTAAACATTTTAAACTGTCACTGTATCTGTGAGAGTTCATGTAAAGAAAAGAGAGTAGACACATCCCAGATACAAAAACTATCCAAGCCCATTCCCTATTCTGCTCATCTAGCAAGGGCAATAGGCTTCCATGAATATTTACAAGAATTTTAAAATATGAAGTTGTTTATCAACATTATTTCCTGATTATCCATATAATAATAAATTGCAGGTATTCTCTAGATATATTGCACTGTGTATAAACTTTTGTGCTGTTCTAGGATTAAATCATTCTAATCATCTCCTGTTTCTTCTAAGGAGGACTTGTGCTTATAACTTAACTATGTTACATACCTGATCACATGCTTTTAAAATCAAGTTACTCTCTTCCTTAAAGCCCTTCAGGGGTCCTCATCACTTACAGGATACAGTATAAAATCTGAATTTCTTAGCATGGCGTCAAGTCTCTTTATTTTACTTCTTTACGAGTATTGCTTCTATTTTCTCCTTTTTTAGGACAGTCTTCCTTCCATTGTTTGCCTTTTCCATCCTTGTGAAGCTTTGCACCTAACCCCTTTATCATGTGTTTAGAGAAGTATACATCAAATCTTTGTCACTTGTCATAAGCTGCCTTGAATTCTGGTAATTTTTAAAATGTGTGCATGCCATGCCTGGAGAGACAGCAACATGCCAATTTTTGTTTGTTTGGTTGGTTTTTGTATTCTTTGTGGTATCTTGCAGGCTAGAGGTGTGTGGTAAGTAACTCTTGGTAATCACAACAAAAATTAGCATAATGGTTAGTAATTTTGTACACTTTACATGAATGCTGAGCAATAAATAGGTCAACATCAGTCAACATTTCTTTTAATTCTTTGTTTTTTGAGTGGTATGCATCAGTTATATTAATATGCACATAATTATTTTTAAATGCCTTTTATTTCAAATATTAATAGACCTGTAATGTATATATTTAAAATAACAAAATATTCTTGGTGTGGTGCATATATTGGCCACATTGGTCACTAGATGGCACACCACAAGCTCCTGTGGGTCAGTTACACAAGCTGACCCATTATTTGAAGAAAGACTGCAAAGATTCGGAGCAATTTTCCTTGGGAAAAATGTCATCAGAGTGATATTCAGTAAGTGTATTTCAAAGTAAAAATTATATTTGTAATGCATACTTAAACTTTTATGACACATGTGAAGGTGAGCTGTATAGAATTGTTCATTCAACAGCTAATTATTGTTTTAAAGAAACTAGGTATTAGGTACTATGTCAGGCCCTGAGGAAGATAGCAAGATAATAAGATCTGGGCCCAGCTGAAGTTTAGATAAGAGC
This sequence comes from Homo sapiens, assembly GCF_000001405.40. Lineage (NCBI taxonomy): Eukaryota > Metazoa > Chordata > Mammalia > Primates > Hominidae > Homo > Homo sapiens. The sequence continues at coordinate 118,716,660 of NC_000001.11, read as the reverse complement.
ATAAAATAAGAGCTTAAGTTTCTACTTTACCTTCCAAGTGGTGACTGTGATGCTGGAATGGGGATTCCTTCTGGAATGGAATCTCCGATTTACAGGAATCCCACCAAGGTCTCTTTTGCAATGCAATTTGTCTCTTTGAAGTCTAAATTACAGTTTAAACAACTGTATTAAATAACTATATTCCTTTGTTGCATAAATATAAGGAAAATTATCAGTGATGGCTTAAGTTTCTGGCCTTTGTGTATCTATTTTACTTTTAATTTTTATGGATACATAATAGCTGCACATATTTATGGGGTACATGGGATATTTTGATACAAGCATGCTATGTGTAACAATCAAATCAGGGTAACTAGGATATCCATCACCTTAAACATTTATCATTTCTTTGTGTTAGGAACGTTCCAATGCCACTCTTTTAGTTATTTTGACATTGATGAGTATAGTCACCCTATTGCGCTACCAAACACTAGACCTTATTCCTTCTATCTAGCAGTATTTTTGTATTCATTAACCAACACTTCTTTATCCCCTCCTTCCCACCACCCTTCCCAGGCTCTGGTAACCATCTCTTATTCTCTATCTCCATGAGGTCAATCTTCTTAGCTCCAAGATATAAGTGAGAACATGCAATATTTGTCTCTCTGTGCTTGGCTTATTTCACTTAACATAAGGCCCTCAAGTTACATGTTGCAAATGACATGATTTCATTTTTATATGGCTGAATAATATTTCGTTGTGTATATATACCATATTTTCTTTACTCATTCATCTGTTAATGAATACTGAAGTTGATTCCATATTTTGGCTGTAGTGAAGAGTGCTGCAGTAAACATGAGAGTGCAGATGTCTCTTTGATATACGAATTTCCTTTTGGATATATAACTAGTAATGTGATTGCTGGATCATATGATATTTCTATTTTTATTTTTTTGAGAAATCTCCATACTGTTCTCCACAGTGGTTGTATTAATTTACATTCCCATTGACAGTGTAGGAGAATTCCCTTTTCTCTACATCCTTACTAGCATCCTTTATTACTAGTCTTTTTGATAAAAGCCATTTAAACTGGGATGAGACATCCTGTAGCTTTGATTTGCATTACTTTATGATTAGTAATGTTGAACAATTTTTCATATACCTGTTGGCCGTTTATATATCTTCTTTGAAAAAATGTTTATTCACATCTTTTGCTAATTTTTAATCAGATTGAGGTTATTATTTTGTTTTTGCTGTTGAGTTGTTTAAGCTTCTTATATATTCTGGTTATTAATCCCTTGTCATATGGGTAGTTTGCAGATATGTTCTCTCATTCTGTCTTCACTTAATTGATTGCTTGCTTTGCTGTGCAGAAGCTTTTCAGCTTGATGTAGTCCCATTTGTTAATTTTTGCTTTAGTTGCCCAAGCTTTTGAGCTCCTATTGAAGCAATTTTTGCCCAGACCAATGTCATGGATCATTTCCCCCAATGTTTTCTTCTAGTAATTTTATTGTTTCAATTTTACATCTAAGTCTTGTAATCACGTTGATTTGATTTTTGTACATGGCAAGAAGTAGGGCTCTCATTTCATTCTTCTGTATATGAATATCCAGTTTTTCTAGCATTATTTATTGAAAATATTGTCCTTCCCTTAATGTACATTCCCAGTGCCTTTGTTGAAAATAAGTTTTTTGTTAAGGTGTAGATTTATTTCTGAGTTTTCTATTCAGCTCCATGGATCTACGTGTCTGTTTTTATGCCAGTATCATTGTTTTGGTTACTATAATTTTGTAGTATAATTTGAAGTCAGGTAATATAACGCTTCCAGCTTTGTTCTTTTTGCTCAGGATTGTTTGGACCATTCTGAAACTTTTGTGAGTCCATGTAAATTTTAAGATTATTTTTTCTATTTGTGAAGAAGGTCACTGGTATTTTGATAAAGATTGCCTTGAATACTATTAGAACTGATAAACGAATTCAGTAAAGTTGCAAGATATAAAATCAACATACAAAAATCAGTAACATTTCCACAGGCCAACAGTGAACAATCGGAAAAAATAAGCCAAGAAAGTAAGCACATTTACAATAGCTACAAATAAAATAAAATACCTAGGAGTAAACTTAACCAGAAAAGTGAAAAATCGCTATAATTAGAACTATAAAACATTGATAAAAGGAATTGAAGACACAAAACAATAGAAATATATTCCATGTTAATGGATTGGAAAAATTAATATTGGTTATATTCATATATATATACGCATATATATACCCAACTTATCATGAAGTTGGAGCATGGCAGGAGCCAAGCCCATGGAGCATGGGTTCCTTCACTTTACCCATATGTGTATGTGTGTGTGTATATATATATGCATACATGTATATATATGCATATATATGCAGGTATATATATGCATATATATGCAGGTATATATATGCATATATATGCATGTATATATGCATGCATGTATATGTATGCAGGTGTATATGCATATATATGCATATATATGTGTTGCTTCACTGAACCCTTATATATATGCATATATATATATGCATATATATATGCTTTTATAAAGTCAAGGAAATTTATTTCCTGAGGTCATGACACAGGAAGTCGAATCCTAGCAACTTCTCATAATGAAGAGGAGCTCTCATAATGAAGGTCAGAGTGCTGATTGACCTGCCAGGTGGACCACAAAGCTGCAGTCTGTGTTATCTTATTACAAAACACTCAATTACCTTTGTTTAGTGTTAAAACCGTGGAGTGCCCAGAGCCAAGTATCAGCGAGCAGATCCTGAGCATGCTCTGGATGCCAACCAGGCCCCAGAGAAGCAGCCACATACAGAGCCAGGCAATGCCAGGTTTCACTGTGAGAACTTGAGAAGCAGGGAGAGCATCAATAATTTATAGAAAGTCCTGCTACTGGGTCAGATTGAGACAAACCATTGCGTGATGGAGTTTGCATCAGCAGGCTGAAGATGTTTCTGGTTTTTTATCATTATTATTTGGGGCTCCAAGAGAGGGTCTTGGGGGCCACCTGAGCCCTGAAATTGGGAAATTTCTCATAGCTGCTCATGTCAGGAGCCTTCTTACTGCTGCTGGTGGTCCACGGTGTGTCCCATACCACAAAGCCTCTGAATGCACCTTGGACTCTTCATGCACTGGGGAGTTCATGTATACCTGCAGCACCTTGCTATCTACCACATCAGCCAGGTATTCCTCCTCTAGGTTGAGGATGTGGTCAATGGCTTTCTCCATGTTCTCTGGGAGCCTCATCATGGTGCCACAGTTGGGGTTTGGGCCTCCTCTCTGTGGGAAACAAATGTCAACTTTGAATTCATCCACGATTTTGGATCCATGATTTTTGCTGCAGGCACCAGTGATGTGGGATGTCCAATGGAACGTCCTCAGAATCCATCTGCTCAAGTTCATCCATAATAATCAATATAGTATCTTGTGTAGCTTCTGTATTCTTTTTGTACCCTGTGATGGTAATTTGGTCCTGGGGCTGCTTCCCATCATCCTCAACAGTAAACTGGATGTTCACGCCATGCTCCAAGCAGATTTGGGTAACCATTGCCCCATCTCTCCCAATAATCTTGGGATGGCATTTGGAGTCTTCAATGAGACTCCATTTAAAACTCCTTAAAGCCCAGTCCTCCTGTCCAGCCTGCAGCTCCTTCATTTTTATATTATTAATTTTTCTGCCACAAGTAGACTTGGAGTAAATGTAGGATAAGGAAGACTCACTACCCACATCTTCTGATCAAGAAAGGACTTATCATGAAGTTGGAGCACGACAGGAGACGTGTGTTGCTTCACTGAACCCCAGTTCCAGGGATATATTTTCTTTCTTCTGGATCTGCTCCCTACTGACCTTAACACATCCCTTTACCTCCTTAAACTTTAATATCAACATCTGAGTAGAGGTTTGCTCTAGGCCTGCATCACAGTACTAGTGCCTTTATTTTCATCTGTGTCTTCATTTCATCTTCATGATCTCTCCCTAGCTTAAAATTCTTCAGTAAACTTCCATGACTTTCAGGTTAAAAGTCTAGTACCCAGCTTGTCACACACAACCCTACATAATCTTGTCACATCAACTTTTCTAGCCTCATGGCCTGCCACTTCTTCTTCTATATCTTGAGTTACTATTTGCAGTTTCCCAAACAAATTATGCTATTTTTACACGTTAGTTCTCTGCTCTCAACACCTTCCTTCCCCCCTACTCCTCATATATCTCACTAAATCCTTATTAGTCATTCATTCTCTGCTAGGGAATCATTTCCCTAGTGTCTTCCCTGGCCCCTATAGTTATAATTAGATTTTTTACTTCCAGGTTTCCAAAGCATCCTGTATGTTTACATTCACTTATCCTACTCTGCTGAGAATGTGTTTTTGTTGTTGCTGATTTCTAAATTTTTTAGTTACTCTCTTACTTTATCCATCATCATCTTAATCTATACGCTCTTGAGGTGAGTAACTGGGTCTTTTTAATCTTTGTGTCACTGGGTCTTGTAAATTGCTTAATATGCAGGTCTTCAGTAAATGTTGAATGAATGAATGAATGAGATTTCTCTAGGCAACATTTGAAAATTATTTTGGAGAGTGTTGGGGGATGGTGGACATATTAAGCAGGAAGCTTTTCTAAACAGATTACATAGCAGAAAAAGGAAGACTACATTGATATTGAAAGAATTAGCTGACCCAAATAGTATATTGTTTACCTCCTCAAGAAGAAAGTAGGAGAATAGGTAAACATGTCACAGTGATCTGCAGTGTGTTTAAATATCAGTGAATGTAGATTCATGAGCCCAAAGCCATTGTGCAATATTATTGAAAGCTCAAGTTTTTTTCAAACTGCAAGTACATAAGACTCCACAGTTCCCTGGGCAGGACTTTAATTATACATACTTTAGGTAATTAGCTTATAGGATAAAAATAACCCACAGAGTATTAAACCTGAAATCGGATACACAAATTTACATGTAGATGTTTGCTGTAGTATAACTTTGACATCTTTTCAGAAAGAAACATGTCCTTCCTTTCCCCAATACTACATTCACAGAGGCAAGTAATCCCAACAACTTCCTTCACACAATGGGTTACATACCTCTAGCCTCATGAATGGTGACCTCACACTGGGGCTACCTTGTGCAGGCTTTAGTACCTCTCAGGGTCCCCAGTCCCCTTAAATGAATGATTACTGACGTTCACATGGGGCTCCTAGGTGAAAATACCCACTATCTATTGCTTTTTCTCCAAAAGCTATTTAATCCTAATTTATAACTCATCTTGTTCCCTTTCCCCTCTTTGCAATCTCTTCGGAGTATCTGATTTATAGTTATTCCTAACAGTAATTGCTAAAATATTACATTACAGAAATTTTAAAATCATTTAATGTTTTCCATTATAAATAGCACATTTTAATAAAAAATGCAGAAATTCAAATAAAGAAATTTAAAAACATTGTTCTTTTATTCTATACGATCATTAGTATTTTAGGGTATTTCCTCCCATGTATTTTTATACACAGTTTTTTCAACCACGAAATATTTTTGTATACGGAAGTTTTAGTAAACATTATAAGAAAAACTTTTGTATTTTTATGAACTCTTGATAAAATGCATCTATTTTCCAATTTATTAACTCTATGTTACAGAGATAAAGCTGTGTGTTAAATACACTGTTTTCTCTTCCTGGCATACAATAAGATTACATTTTAGAGCCCCTCTTACAGTTAGGTTGGAACCTATGTGACTGAATTACAACCAATGGAATGTGGAAAAAGTGATGCAAGCCTCTTTTAGGACTTATCCCTAACAGTACTCTGTATGATCCTTTAGCCTTTTGTTCTTTGTCCTTGAAAGCCACATAGTCCAAATACTGTAGCTATTAATTTATGACAGAAGGTGTGTGGATTCCTCAGTCCCTGCTTGGAGAAAAGCTGACAAGAAGAGCCCTTCAACCCACATTGCATTGTGCCATTAGTTGTGTAAAACCACTGCAATTTTGGTGTTATTTTTTCACTAGGGCATAGCTTAGCCCATCCTGGTTAGTATATATATTGCTTCTTTTGGTAATTGCTTAAAATCCTTTTTTTGTTATTATAAATTACAATATGTTAATATTTGCATTGAGTTTTGTTCTTTTCTATTTCAAATTATTTTTAGATGGATTTCTAAAGGTAAAAATTTTGATCAAAGGATATAATGTTTACTACATATTTGTAGTTTCTTTTTACCTATTTCTCTCACAGCATTATACATATTTATATAATAATTATGAACATGTCTCTTACTCCTATGAGATTGCAAGTTGCTCAAAGGAAGAGCAGTACTTTATTCACTTTTGTATCTCCATTACCTAGCACAGTGTTTATAACCTACTAGGCACTGAAGAACATTTGCAGAAAACATGAAGAAGTGGGTATAGATTGTTAAATGACAGCTATATTGTAATCATTCTCACGATTTTGGCATTAGTAATGGCAAATTCTACCTCTAAAACTTAATATACTTACCCTTTTATTTCTACTTATTGTTCTGGCCCAAAGTAGGCATTAACTTAAGGCTAATGCTTGACTACCAAACATCTAGAGAAGTAATGAAAGTGTGTCTGAAATTACAGATGAGGCAGTTCCTTCTTCCCATTGTTATTGTGCCTCTGATCTTAATTTTGGCTGTATTAGTATGTCCTATAAAGTTAGAGACTCTATCTATATAATGTAATATAAAAAGCAAAATGTTTTAGATGATTTGAATACTTTTCTAAACAACTGGGTTATATGGTTAATGCAGATCAATTATCTGGCATGTGGTCATAGATATCCTAAATAAAGGATTTTTTCACTGGTTATATTAATGAATGTCAAAATTTCATTTGAATGGAGGAGTAATGTATTTTATATCTACCGCATTGTAATTGCTCTATTGGTTTAGTAATAAAGCATATGCTTATTATATACATTTACCCATATTATAGGTCAATTTATACTCTTTATGTTCTTTAGACTATATATATACATATATGTGACAAATATCAATCACATTTTTATTTACCTATAGACAGAGATTACACCTTGTCCCTGAGAAAAGACATGTCTTCTACACAGATGGGAGGGAAGGACCTAGACAGGGGTAGAGAAAAAGATACTTGTCTAAGTATATTTATGAGGAGGCCATAAGATAGATGGAATCTTAACTTAGTGTGCTCTATTTTCTCCATTTTGTTCTATGAAAGCAGGAGACCACATCTTTGCTGAGTCTTAATGAAATGGTGCCCATCCAATTTGCTGCCCTGTGATCCTTTCCTCCCTCCTCTGGGACCTTCCTCTTTTTGCTCTGGCATTGCCAATGTTTGTCTTCCTAACAGTTTCTTTCATTCTGCCTGGAGATAAGCTCAAGCTCTTTCATAACTCCCTCCAAATATCCCTTTGACTGTCATCCTCTTTCTCACTAACACCCAATCATTCTCGTCATCGAAGTTTTTTTTTTAATTTTTATTATACTTTAAGTTCTCGGGTACATGTGCACAACGTGCAGGTTTGTTACATATGTATACATGTGCCATGTTGGTGTGCTGTACCCATTAACTCGTCATTTACATTAGGTATATCTCCTAATGCTATCCCTCCCCCAAACACCCTCCCCACAACAGGCCCTGGTGTGTGATGTTCCCTTTCCTGTGTCCAAGTGTTCTCATTGTTCAATTCCCACCTATGAGTGAGAACATGCGGTGTTTGGTTTTTTTGTCCTTGCGATAGTTTGCTGAGAATGATGGTTTCCAGCTTCATCCATGTCCCTACAAAGGACATGAACTCATCATTTTTTATGGCTGCATAGTATTCCATGGTGTATATGTGCCACATTTTCTTAATCCTGTCTATCATTGTTGGACATTTGGGTTGGTTCCAAGTCTTTGCTGTTGTGAGTAGTGCTGCAATAAACTTACGTGTGCATGTGTCTTTATAGCATGATTTATGTTCCTTTGGGTATATACCCAGTAATGGGATGGCTGGGTCAAATGGTATTTCTAGCTCTAGACCCCTGAGGAATCACCACACTGTCTTCCACAATGGTTGAACTAGTTTACAGTCATTAAAAAGTCAGGAAACAACAGGTGCTGGAGAGGATGTGGAGAAATAGGAACACTTTTACACTGTTGGTGGGACTGTCATTTAAGTTTTTTAAAAGGAAATCCAGATTTTCTAGTTTATTTGCGTAGAGGTGTTTGTAGTATTCTCTGATGGTAGTTTGTATTTCTATGGGATCGGTGGTGATATCCCCTTTATCATTTTTTATTGTGTCTATTTGAATCTTGTCTCTTTTCTTTTTTATTAGTCTTGCTAGCGGTCTATCAATTTTGTTGATCCTTTCAAAAAAACCAGCTCCTGGATTCATTAATTTTTTGAAGGGTTTTTTGTGTCTCTATTTCCTTCAGCTCTGCTCTGATCTTAGTTATTTCTTGCCTTCTGCTAGCTTTTGAATGTGTTTGCTCTTGCTTTTCTAGTTCTTTTAACTGTGATGTTAGGGTGTTAATTTTGGATCTTTTCTGCTTTCTCTTGTGGGCATTTAGTGCTATAAATTTCCCTCTACACATTGCTTTGAATGTGTCCCAGAGATTCTGGTATGTTGTGTCTTTGTTCTCGTTGGTTTCAAAGAACATCTTCATTTCTGCCTTCATTTCGTTATGTACCCAGTAGTCATTCAGGAGCAGGTTGTTCAGTTTCCATGCAGTTGAGCAGTTTTGAGTGAGTTTCTTAATCCTGAGTTCTAGTTTGATTGCACTGTGGTCTGAGAGACAGTTTGTTATAATTTCTGTTCTTTTACATTTGCTGAGGAGAGCTTTACTTCCAACTATGTGGTCAATTTTGGAATAGGTGTGGTGTGGTGCTGAAAAGAATGTACATTCTGTTGATTTGGGGTGGAGAGTTCTGTAGATATCTATTAGGTCTGCTTGGTGCAGAGCTGAGTTCAATTCCTGGGTATCCTTGTTGACTCTCTGTCTCGTTGATCTGTCTAATGTTGACAGTGGGGTGTTAAAGTCTCCCATTATTATTGTGTGGGAGTCTAAGTCTCTTTGTAGGTCACTCAGGACTTGCTTTATGAATCTGGGTGCTCCTGTATTGGGTGCATATATATTTAGGAGAGTTAGCGCTTCTTGTTGAATTGATCCCTTTACCATTATGTAATGGCCTTCTTTGTCTCTTTTGATTTTTGTTGGTTTAAAGTCTGTTTTATCAGAGACTAGGATTGCAAGCCCTGCCTTTTTTTGTTTTCCATTTGCTTGGTAGATCTTCCTCCATCCTTTTATTTTGAGCCTATGTGTGTCTCTGCACCTGAGATGGGTTTCCTGAATACAGCACACTGAAGGGTCTTGACTTTTTATCCAATTTGCCAGTCTGTGTCTTAAATGGATAAATTCCTCGACATATACACCCTCCCAAGACTAAACCATGAAGAAGTTGAAACTCTGAATAGACCAATAAAAGGCTCTGAAATTGAATTGAAATTGACCAATAAATTCAGGGCCAATAAATTCAGGGCCAATAAAAGGCTCTGAATTGAAATTGACCAATAAAAGGCTCTGAATTGCAATAATCAATAGCTTACCAACCAAAAAGAGTCCAGGACCAGATGGATTCATAGCCGAATTCTACCAGAGGTACAAAGAGGAACTGGTACCATTCCTTCTGAGACTATTCCAATCAATAGAAAAAGAGTGAATCCTCGCTAACTCATTTTATGAGGCCAGCATCATCCTGATACCAAAGCCGGGCAGAGACACAACCAAAAAAGAAAATTTTAGACCAATATTCTTGATGAACATTATGCAAAAATCCTCAATAAAATACTGGCAAACCAAATCCAGCAGCACATCAAAAAGCTTATCCACCATGATCAAGTGGGCTTCATCCCTGGGATGCAAGGCTCGTTCAATATATGCAAATCAATAAATGTAATCCAGCATATAAACAGAGCCAAAGACAAAAACCACATGATTATCTCAATAGATGCAGAAAAGGCCTTTGAGAAAATTCAACAACTCTTCATGCTAAAAACTCTCAATAAATTAGGTATTGATGGGACGTATCTCAAAATAGTAAGAGCTGTCTATGACAAACCCACAGCCAATATCATACTGAATGGGCAAAAACTGGAAGCTTTCCCTTTGAAAACTGGCACAAGACAGGGATGCCCTCTCTCACCACTCCTATTCAACATATTGTTGGGAGTTCTGGCCAGGGCAATTAGGCAGGAGAAGGAAATAAAGGGTATTCAATTAGGAAAAGAGGAAGTCAAATTGTCCCTGTTTGCAGACAACATGATTGTATATCTAGAAAACCCCATTGTCTCAGCCCAAAATCTCCTTAAGCTGATGAGCAACTTCAGCAAAGTCTCAGGATACAAAATCAATGTACAAAAATCACAAGCATTCATATACACCAATTACAGGCAAACAGAGAGCCAAATCATGAGTGAACTCCCATTCACAATTGCTTCAAAGAGAATAAAATACCTAGGAATCCAACTTACAAGGGACATGAAGGACCTCTTCAAGAACTACAAACCACTGCTCAGTGAAATAAAAGAGGATACAAACAAATGGAAGAACATTCCATGCTCATGGGTAGGAAGAATAAATATCGTGAAAATGGCCATACTGCCCAAGGTAATTTATAGATTCAATGCCATCCCCATCAAGCTACCAATGACGTTCTTCACAGAATTGGAGAAAAACTACTTTAAAGTTCATATGGAATCAAAAAAGAGCCTGCATTGCCAAGTCAATCCTAAGCCAAAAGAACAAAGCTGGAGGCATCACACTACCTGACTTCAAACTATACTACAATGCTACAGTAACCAAAACAGCATGGTAATGGTACCAAAACAGAGATATAGAGCAATGGAACAGAACAGAGCCCTCAGAAATAATGCCACATATCTACAACTATCTGATCTTTGACGAACCTGAGAAAAACATGCAATGGGGAAAGGATTCCCTATTTAATAAATGGTGCTGGGAAAACTGGCTAGCCATATGTAGAAAGCTGAAACTGGATCCCTTCCTTACAACTTATACAAAAATTAATTCAAGATGGATTAAAGACTTAAATGTCAGACCTAAAACCACAAAAACCCTAGAAGAAAACCTAGGCATTACCATTCAGGACATAGACATGGGCAAGGACTTCGTGTCTATAACACCAAAAGCAATGGCAACAAAAGCTAAAATTGACAAATGGGATCTAATTAAACTAAAGAGCTTCTGCACAGCAAAAGAAACTACCATCAGAGTGAACAGGCAACCTACAAAATGGGAGAAAATTTTCGCAACCTACTCATCTGACAAAGGGCTAATATCCAGAATCTACAATGAACTCAAAGAAATTTACAAGAAAAAACAACCCCATCAAAAAGTGGGCGAAGGACATGAACAGACACTTCTCAAAAGAAGACATTTATGCAGCCAAAAAACACATGAAAAAATGCTCACCATCACTGGCCATCAGAGAAAGGCAAATCAAAACCACAATGAGATACCATCTCACATCAGTTAGAATGGCAATCATTAAAAAGTCAGGAAACAACAGGTGCTGGAGAGGATGTGGAGAAATAGGAACACTTTTAAATTGTTGGTGGGACCGTAAACTAGTTCACCCATTGTGGAAGTCAGTGTGGCTATTCCTCAGGGATCTAGAACTAGAAATACCATTTGACCCAGCCATCCCATTACTGGGTATATACTCGAAGGACTATAAATCATGCTGCTATAAAGACACATGCACACGTATGTTTATTGCGGCACTATTCGCAATAGCAAAGACTTGGAACCAACCCAAATGTCCATCAATGATAGACTGGATTAAGAAAATGTGGCACATATACACCATGGAACACTATGCAGCCATAAAAAATGATGAGTTCATGTCCTTTGTAGGGACATGGATGAAATTGGAAATCATCATTCTCAGTAAACTATCACAAGGACAAAAAACCAAACACCGCATGTTCTCACTCATAGGTGGGTATTGAACAATGAGAACACAACGAGAACAGGAAGGGGAACATCACACTCTGGGGACTGTTGTGGGGTGGGGGGAGGAGGGAGGGATAGCATTAGGAGATATACCTAATGCTAAATGACGAGTTAATGGGTGCAGCACACCAGCATGGCACATGTATACATATGTAACTAAGCTGCACATTGTGCACCTGTACCCTAAAACTTAAAGTATAATAATAGTAAAATGGAAAAAAAATAAATAAAAGGAAATCTATAGTGATCACCTCTACTTCCTTGTGTCCCCTCTGTCCTTGAATCACACAGTGACTCCATATTTTGCTGATAGTGTTTGGTCTAACATCACCATTGACCTTAGTTGAAAATTCAGTGGGTGTTTGTAAATTGTCGTCTTATTCAATCACTCTGCAGCTTCAGACACTAATAAACATTCCTTCTTTCTCAAAACTCTCTCCTACATGGCTTCTGGGACACCATATTCTCCTATTCCACCTCACTCCTAAGTTCCCCCTCTATTATTTAATTCTTCTCAGACATTGTTTACCAGATTCTACCCTCTTTCTTTGAAGTCACTGCTATAGTTATCCACATTGAATGTAGGTCTCTCAATTTTAGCTGTTGTTTTAAACAAGATGTGATAATGCAAAAACAGAAAACCAAATACTGCATGTTCTCACTTAGAAGTGGGAGCTAAACATTAAGTACATGTGGACACAAATATAGGAACAACAAACACTGGAAATTCCAAAAGTGGGAGGAAGGGAGGAGGGCAAGGGCTGAAAAACTACATATCTGGTAATACGTTCACTACTAGATTCTAGTGATGAAACCACTAGAAGTCCAAACCTCAACATCATGCAAATATAACCATGTAACAAACCTGCCCATATAACCCCTGAATCTAAAATAATAAAAATTAAAGGTAACCAAAAAGATGAAATTCTAAGAAGTATAAAACAAATAGAAATCTGTACTTAAGTAAATAAATAAGGTTCAAGTATAATGTCATGTACTGAGTATATTAAAATATTCTGATCTTCACAGAAGTTCATGTTTAGAAATCCCTTCCATCCTTCCTTTGTTTGTGCTGTACTTAACCTTATAAAATAAAGTGATAGAAAGTGAAGGGATGGAAAAGATATTCTACACAAATGGAAACCAAAAAAGAGCAGGAGCAGCTACACTTAGACCAAGTAGAGTTCTAGTCAAAAACTGTAAAAAGAGACAAAGAAGGTCATTATATAGTAATAAAGGATTCAATCCAGCAAGAGGATACAATAATCACAAATATATATATATATATGCACACAACACCATAACACTGAAATACATAAAGCAACTATTAATAGATTTAAAGGAAGAGAGAGACTACAATACAATAACAGTAGGAGGACTTTAACACCCCACTTTCAGCAATGGAGAGATAATCCATATAAAAAATTGACAAAGAAACATTAAAGTACATTCTAGATCAAAAGGACTAACTGACATTTACAGAATGTTTCATTCAATTGTTGCAGAATACACATTCTTCTTATCAGCAAATGTAACATTCCCCAGGTTAGACCATGTTTTAGGCTGTAAGACAAATCTTAACAAATTCAAGAAAAGTCAAATCATGTCAAGTATCTTCTTCTGACCACAATGAAATAAAACTAGACATTAATAACAAGAGGAACCTGGGAAATGGTACAAATGCATGGAAATTAAACACCATGCTCCTGAATGACCAATGGGTCAATGAAAGGATTAAGAAGGACATTTTAAAAATTCTTGAAATAAGTGAAAATGGAAACACACATACCAAAACCAATGGGATATAGCAAAGCAGTACTAAGAGCAAAGTATATAGCAATAAATGCCTGCACCAAAAAAGTAGAAAGACTTCAAATTAACAACCTAACAATGTACCTCAATGAACTAGAAAAGCAAGAACAAACCAAACCCAAAATTAGAAAAGAAGAAATAATGAAGATCAGAGCATACATAAATAAAATTGAGACTAAAAATGCAAGAGATCAGCAAAATAAAAATTATATTTTTTGAAAAGATAAACCAAGTTGACAAATCACTAGTGAGACTAAAAAAAGAGAGCAAAATAAATAAATCAGAGACAAAAACAAAACACTACACCAAAAGTACAGAAACCAAAACCAAGGAAAGGATCATTAAGACTATATGAACTTCTAAGCACCAACAAATTGGAAAACCTATAGGAAATGGATGAATTTTTGGACATGGATAACATACCAAGATAGAATCATGAAGAAATAGAAAACTTGAGCAGATTATTAGTGAGTAACAAGATCAAAGCAGTAATAAAAAGTCTCCCATCAAAATAAAAAGCTCAGACCTGATGGTTTCCCTGCTGAATTCTATCAAGCATTTAAAGAAGATCTAATATCACTTCTTCCTAAATTATTAGAAAAAAAAAGAGGAGAGAATACTTCCAAACTCATTCTAGGAAGGCAAGCATTACCCTGACACCAAAACTAGATAAGCAGACAACAATAAAAGAGAACTACAGATTAATATCCCTGATAGGCCAGGCATGGTGGCTTACGCCTGTAATCCCAGCACTTTGGGAGGCTGAGGTGGGCGAATCATGAGGTCAGGAGTTTGAGAGCAGCCTGAGCAACATGGTAAAACCCTGTCTCTACTAAAAATACAAAAAATTACCTGAGTATGGTGGCAGGCACATGTAATCCCAGCTACTTGGGAGGCTGAGGCAGGAGAATCGCTTGAACTCGGGAAGTGGAGATTGCAGTGAGCTGAGATCATGCCACTGCACTCCAGCCTGGGTGACAGAGTGAGACTCTGTCTCAAAACAAACAAACAAACAAAAACAATAAATATAGATGCAAAAATCTTCAACAAAATACTAGCAAACTGAATTCAACAACACATTAAAAAGATAATTCACCATGATCAAGTGGGATTCATCCCAGAGATGCAAGGATGGTTCAACATATGCAAATCAAAAACCATAATATTCACATTAGTAGAATCAAAAACAAAAACAATATCACAGCATCAATATATGCTGAAAAGTGTTTGTTAAAATTCAACATCTCTTCATAATAAAAACTCTCAACAAACTTGGTATGAAGAAACATACCTCAAAATAATAAAGGTCACATGTAATAAAACCATAGTTAACATTATGCTAAACAGGGAAAAATTGAAAGCATTTTCTCTAAGATCAGGAAAAAGACAAGGACACCAACTTTCACCAGTTTTATTCAACATAGTACTGGAAGTCCTAGCCAGAACAATTGGGCAAAAGAAAGAAATACAAGGCATTGAAATTGGAAAGCAAGAAGTCAAACTGTCCTTGTTTGCAGACAACGCAATCTTATAGTTAGAAAAATCTAAAGAGTCCACAAGAAAACTGTTAGAACTGATAAACAAACTTAGTAAATTTAAGCATACAAAAATCAGCATATGAAAAACAGTGGCACTTCTATATGCCAACAGTGAACAATTTGAAAAAGAGATCAAGAAAGAAATCCCATGTACAACAGCTACAAAAAAAACCTGATGAAAGAAATTGAAGAGGGCACCAAAAAATTAGAAAGGTATCCCATATTCATGAACTGGAAGAACTAATATTGTTAAAATATCCATGCTACCCAAAGTAATCTATAGATTCAGTGCAATCCCTATCAAAATTTTAATGATATTCTTTATAGAAATAGATAAAACAATCCTAAAATTTGTATGGAGCCACAGAAGACTCTGAAAAGCCAAAGCAATCCTGAACAAAAAGAACAAAGCTGGAGGGATCACACTACCTGATTTCAAAATATACTACAAACCAAAACAGCACGGTACTGGCATACAAACAGAGGCATAGACCAATGGGATGGAATAGAGAAACCAGAAGTAAACCCACACATTTACAGCCAACTCATTTTAAACAAAGATACCAAAAACATATATTGTGTAAAAGACAGTCTCCTTAATAGATAAAAATAAATATTATATAGTTTTCCTGAGAAAACTATACATCCATATGCAGAAGAATAAAACTAGACTCAGATCTCTCACCATATAAAAATCAAATCAAAGTAGATAAAAGACTTAAGTGTGAGTTGAAACTATAAAACTACTAGAAGAAAACACTAGGAAAATGATCCAGGACATTGGTCTGAGCAAATATTCTTTTGGTCAGATCTGAAAAGCACAGACAATGAAAGCAAAAATAGGCAAATGGGAGCCTATCATGCATAAATGCTTCTCCATAGCAAAAGCAAAACAAACAAACAACAAACAAAAACAAAACAAATGAACAAACAAAAAAATCATAGTGAAGGGACAACCTACAAAATGGGAGAAAAAAACTGTAAACTACCCATCTGACAAGGTATTAATAACCAAAATATATATCTAACCCTTGAACAACATGCAGATTAGGAGCACTGACTCAACCCTCCACAGTAAAAAATCAGTGTATAACTTTTGAAAACTTAACTACCAATAGCCTATTGTTGACTTTACCAGTAACATAAGCCGTTGACTAATACATATTTTGTATGTTGTATGTTTTATGTACTGTGTTCTTGTAATAAACAAAAGAAAAGGAAATGTCAGGAAAATTATAAGGAAGAGAAAGTATATTTACTATTTGTTTAGTGGAAGTAGATTATCATACAGGTTTTCACCCTCCTCATCTTCATGTTGAATAGGCTGAGGAAAAAGAGGAGTAGGAGGGGTCGGTCTTGCTGTCTCAGCGGTGGAGGAGGTGGAAGAGGTTGAAAAGGTGGAAGGCAATGCAGGAGAGGCAGTCACACTTAGTGTAACTTTAGGGAAACACATCACAATTTCTGCCTGACATTTTTGCTTTTTCATTTCTCCATCGATGTTTCTATAGCTTCCCAATTCTTTTTCCACTGTTTGCTTTGGTTTCAATGCTCATGTCATAGAAGCGTCCATGTTGTTAAAAAAAAAAAAAAAAAAAAAAGACAGTATTGAGTAATCAAAACCTTTTCGCCTGATTTTCTAATATCAGTTTGGTCTTTGCTACCGTTTCTTTTACGTCTTTCCCCTCATCTTCTGGCACTGTTTGGAAGCATTCATTTCCAGCAAGTTGTCTCCTGCGTAGTGTCTATTAGCTCTTGAATTTCTTCAAGATCCATATACTGAAACACTTCACTCTCCAACTTTTTTGCCATATTGACAATCACTTTCATAATTTCACTTATTGACTCTGTTATAAATCCTGTGAAGTCATGCAGAACATCTGGACACAGCTTTCTCCAGCAGGGATTTATTGTTTTGGGCTTGAGGGGTTTCACGGCTTTTTCTATAACAACGATGGCATCTTCAATGCTGTAATCCTTCCAGACTTTCATGATGTTGACTCTATTGGGTTTCCCTTCCAAAGCATTGACATTCATTTCCATAGAGTACCATGTGTAGTGAATCTTAAAAGCCTTTATGACCCCCTGATCCAGATGCTGAATTAGACATATTGTGTTTGAGGGCAGCAAGACAACTAAGAGACTTTCTATGTTGAACTCGTGGGGTTCTGGGTGGCTAGGGGCATTGTCTATCAGAAGAATTTTAAAAAGCAATCCCCTACTGGCAAGGTACTTTACTTCCTGACTTCAGCGAAAAAGCACAGATGAAACCAATTAGAATAACAGTTCTCACTGTCCAGGCCCTCTTGTTGTACAACCAAAAGACTGGCAGCTGGTGTTTATCTTTTCCCTTCAAGTCTAGGGGTTTAGCACTTTTATAGATAAGGGCAGTCCTGATCATAAACCCTACTTCATTTGCACAAACAGTAGAGTTAGCCTATCCCTTCCTATCTTAAATCTTGGTGCTCACTTTTTTTTCCTTACTAATTAATGTACCTTGTGGCATTTTTTTTTCCAGAATAGGACATTTTTGTCTTCACTTTTCAGACATATATCCTTTCTCCTCAATGATCTTCTTAATCATGTCTAGGAATCATCTGCCTCTTGGTTGGCAGAAGTGGCTTCTCCTATTATCTTGATATTTTAAAAGTCAAACCTCTTTCTAAAATGGTCAGATCACCCTTTGCTGGCATTAAATTCTCCAACTTCTGATCCTTCGCCTTCCTCTTGCTTCAAGTTGTCATGTCATAAGTTTGCTTTTTCACAAATCGTATTAGAGTTGTTAGGTATGGCTTTCTTACAGCAATCTTGCTCCCACATACAAATGGCATTTTCAATATACAACACAAAGGCATTTCAAAAAAAGCACAAAGATTTTGTGCCTGCTGGTATAGCTGCAGAGATTGCTTCACAAGTTTCCTTTTCTTTTCTTTCCTTTCTTTCGTTTACAACAGTCCTTATGTGAGATTCATTTATCTTGAAATGGTGCCCAACTACAGCTGCAGACCTTAATTTATGGCACATATCATGCAAATCAACTTTTCCTTGTAATGTCATGATTTCACTTCTTGAAAGCACTTCCAGTATCACTAGTAGTACTTTGTATGGGTCCCATGGTGTTATTCAACATTTAAGGTATTGCATTAAACATGATAAAAAATGCAAGAATTTAGAGAGATCATTTTTACTGTGATATGCAATTTACTAGAGAGTCAGATGGCTTATGTGGAGGTGATTAGTGTCACAAGATATTTTAAGAGGATACTCGCAATACTTGAGCTACCTGCAATAGCCACAGGAGGTAGGTACACAATTATTACAGTAGTAGAGCATGTACTATAGGTAACTTTATGCAGTTATGATTTCATACCACATTTTTATGTTTCTTGACATTTCTCTAGAATGTGAATGGTGCTATGTACAGTCTATAAGTGTTTGTGTAAAGTTTGATGCATTTTAACGTTTTACAGTAGATTTGTGTATATTTTATGGTAGTTAATGATAAGATACACTAGTATCTGCATGTATTTTATGCACTTGTGACATGCCTAACTTAAAGTTTTTTTTTACTATTATACTTTAAGTTCTAGGGTATATGCGCACAATGTGCAGGTTTGTTACATACGTATACATGTGCCATATTGGTGTGCTGCACCCATTAACTCGTCATTTACATTAGGTATATCACCTGATGCTATCCCTCTCCCAACCCCCCACCCCAAGACAGGCCCCAGTGTGTGATGTTCCCCTTCCTGTGTCCAAGTGTTCTCATTGTTCAATTCCCACCTATGAGTGAGAACATGTGGTGTTTGGTTTTTTGTCCTTGCGATACTTTGCTGAGAATGATGGTTTCCAGCTTCATCCATGTCCCTACAAAGGACATGAACTCATCATTTTTTATGGCTGCATAGTATTCCATGGTGTATATATGCCACATTTTCTTAATCCAGTCTATCATTGATGGACATTTGAGTTGGTTCCAAGTCTTTGCTATTGTGAATGGTGTCGCAATGAACATATGTGTGCATCTTTATAGCAGCATGATTTATAATCTTTCGGGTATATACCCAGTAATGGGATGGCTGGGTCAAATGGTATTTCTAGTTCTAGATCCTTGAGGAATCAACCCACTGTCTTCCATAATGGTTGAACTAGTTTACAGTCCCACCAACAGTGTAGAAGTGTTTCTATTTCTCCACATCCTCTCCAGCACCTGTTGTTTCCTGACTTTTTAATGATCACCATTCTAACTGGTGTGAGATGGTATTTCATTGTGGTTTCGGTTTGCATTTCTCTGATGGCCAGTGATGATGAGCATTTTTTCCTGTGTCTGTTGGCTGCATAAATGTCTTCTTTTGAAAAGTGTCTGTTCATCTCCTTTGCCCACTTTTTGATGGGGTTGTTTTTTTCTTGTAAATTTGTTTGAGTTCTTTGTAGATTCCGGATATTAGCCTTTGTCAGATGAGCAGATTGCAAAACTTTTCTCCCATTCTGTAGGTTGCCTGTTCACTCTGATGGTAGTTTCTTTTGCTGTGTAGAAGAAACTCTTTAGTTTAATTAGATCCCATTTCTCAATTTTGGCTTTTGTTGCCTTTGCTTTTGGTGTTTTAGACATGAAGTCCTTGCCCATGCCTATGTCCTGAATGGTATTGCCTAGGTTTTCTTCTAGGGTTTTTATGGTTTTAGGTCTGACATTTAAGTCTTTAATCCATCTTGAATTAATTTTTGTATGAAGTGTAAGGAAGAGATCCAGTTTCAGCTTTCTACATATGGCTAGCCAGTTTTCCCAGCACCATTTATTAAATAGGGAATCCTTTCCCCATTTTTTATTTTTGCCAGGTTTGTCAAAGATCAGATGGTTGTAGATGTGTGGTGTTATTTCTGAGGGCTCTGTTCTGTTCCATTGGTCTATATCTCTGTTTTGGTACCAGTACCATCCTGTTTTGGTTACTGTAGCCTTTTAGTATAGTTTGAAGTCAGGTAGCCTGATGCTTCCAGCTTTGTTCTTTTGGCTTAGGATTGACTTGGCAATGCGGGCTCTTTTTGGTTCCATATGAACTTTAAAGTAGTTTTTTCCAGTTCTGTGAAAAAAGTCATTGGTAGTTTGATGGGAATGGCATTGAATCTATAAATTACCTTGGGCAGTATGGCCATTTTCACAATATTAATTCTTCCTACCCATGAGCATGGAATGTTCTTCCATTTGTTTGTGTCCTCTTTTATTTCGTTGAGCAGTGGTTTGTAGTTCTCCTTGAAGAGGTCCTTCACATCCCTTGGAAGTTGGATTCCTAGGTATTTTATTCTCTTTGAAGCAATAGTGAATGGGAGTTCACTCATGATTTGGCTCTCTGTTTGTCTGTTATTGGTGTATAAGAATGCTTGTGATTTTTGCACATTGATTTTGTATCCTGAGACTTTGCTGAAGTTGATTATCAGCTTAAGGAGATTTTGGGCTGAGACAATGGGGTTTTCTAGATATACAATCATGTCATCTGCAAACAGGGACGATTTGACTTCCTCTTTTCCTAATTGAACACCCTTTATTTCCTTCTCCTGCCTAATTGCCCTGGCCAGAACTTCCAACACTATGTTGAATAGGAGTGGTGAGAGAGGGCATCCCTGTCTTGTGCCAGTTTTCAAAGGGAATGCTTCCAGTTTTTCCCCATTCAGTATGATATTGGCTGTGAGTTTATCATAAATAGCTCTTACTATTTTGAGATACGTCCCATCAATACCTAATTTATTGAAAGATTTTAGCGTGAAGTGTTGTTGAATTTTCTCAAAGGCCTTTTCTGCATCTATTGAGATAATCATGTGGTTTTTGTCTTTGGTTCTGTTTATATGGTGGATTACATTTATTGATTTGCGTATGCTGAACCAGCCCCGCATCGCAGGGATGAAGCCCACTTGATCATGGTGGATAAGCTTTTTGATGTGCTGCTGGATTCGGTTTGCCAGTATTTTAGTGAGGATTTTTACATCGATGTTCATCAGGGATATTGGTCTAAAATTCTCTTTTTTTTTATTGTGTCTCTGCCCGGCTTTGGTATCAGGATGATGCTGACCTCATAAAATGAATTAGGGAGGATTCCTTCTTTTTCTGTTGATTGGAATAGTTTCAGAAGGAATGGTACCAGCTCCTCCTTGTACCTCTGGTAGAATTCAGCTGCGAATCCATCTGGTCCTGGACTTTTTTTGGTTGGCAGGCTCTTAATTATTGCCTCAATTTCAGATCCTGTTATTGGTCTATTCAGGGATTCAACTTCTTCCTGATTTAGTATTGGGAGGGTGTATGTGTCTAGGAATTTATCCATTTCTTCTACATTTTCTAGTTTACTTGCATGGAAGTGTGTATAGTATTCTCTGATGGTAGTTTGTATTTCTGTGGGATTGGTGGTGATATCCCCTTTATCATTTTTTATTGTGTCTATTTGATTCTTCTCTCTTTTTTTCTTTATTAGTCTTGCTAGTGGTCCATCAATTTTGTTGATCTTTTCAAAAAACCAGCTCCTGGATTCATTGATTTTTTGAAGGTTTTTTTGTGTCTCTATCTCTTTCAGTTCTGCTCTGCTCTTAGTTGTTTCTTGTCTTCTGCTAGCTTTTGAATGTGTTTGCTCTTGCTTCTCTAATTCTTTTAAATGTGATGTTAGGGTGTCAATTTTAGAACTTAAATTTTTTTTTAATATTTCTAGGCTACTTGGTTCCCCTGCAAATTTCTTCGAATTGGTGAAAATCTTCAAAAAAATTTCCAATATATTCACTTAAAAAATCCAAATATAAGTGGACCTGTGCAGTTGAAATCCATGTTGTCCAAGGGTCAACTATATAAGAAACTCAACATCAGCAAATAAGTAATCTGACTAAAAAATGGGCAAATGATATGAACAGACATTTCTGAAAAGAAGACATAAAAATGGACAGCAAGTATATGAAAAATACTCCACATCTCTAATCGTAAAGGGAATGCCAATCAAAACAACAGTGAGATATCCTCTCAATACCAGTTAAAATGGCTATTATCAGAGATACAAAAAATTAAAAGTGCTGATAAAGAGAAAAGGAAATTCTTATATATCATTTGTAAGAATGTAACTTAATACAGCTATTATGGAAAATGGTATGGAGGTTCCTCAAAAACACTAAAAACATAAATACCGTATGATCCAGCAATCTCAGTCCTGAGTGTGTGTGTGTGTGTGTGTGTGTGTGTGTGTGTGTATACATATATGAAAGGAAATAAGTATATCAAAGAGATATCTCCACTTCCATGTTAACTGCAACACTGTTCATAATAGCCAAGATAGAGAATCAATCTAAGTGCCCATGAACAGATGAACGGGTAAAGAAAATGTGGTACATACACACAATGGAATATTATTCAGCCATAAAAGAATAAAATCGTATTATTTGCAGCAACATGGATGTAACTGGAGGCCATTATGTTAAGTGAAATAAGCGAAGAACAGAAAGACAAATATCACATGTTCTCACTCATACGTGGGAGCTAAAATAAATGGTGGATCTCACAAAGATAGAGGTTAAACTGATGGTTACCAAAAGCCAGGAAAGAGAAGGGGAAGGAATAATTAAGGAGAAGAGAGAAAAGAAATGGGTTTATTACCACTGAACTATATAATTGAAAATGCTAAAGATGGTAAATTATATGTGTATATTTTATCTCAATATTTTTTTTTTTACAAATCTGCTGGACATAGAATGAAAAAAAACATATCTGCATCACCACGTTTATTGCAGCCACTATTCACAATCGTCAAGGTATGGAATCAACCTAAGTGTTCATCAATGAATGGATGGATAAAGAAAACATGGTAGATATATGCAATAAAATATTATTCAGCTGTAAAAGAGAATGAAATCCTGTCATTTGCAGCACCATAGGTGGAACTTATATTAGGAGGTAATTATATTAGGAGGTAATTATATTAAGTGAAATAAGCCAGGCACAGAAAGACAAATATCTCGTTCTCATTTACATATGGGAACTAAAAATTTGATCTCATGGAGGTAGAGAAGGATGGTTACCAGGCGTTGGGAAAAATAGGGGTGAGGAAGAGATAAGAGAGATTGGATAATGGGGACACAAATATAGTCAGATAGAAAGAGTAAGTTAAAGTGTTTGATACCATCATAGGGCGAGTATAGTTAACAATAATTTATTGTATATTTCAAAATAGTTAGAAGATTTGGAACTTTTCCAACACAAGAAATGATAAATAATTGAGGCGACGAATATCCTAAATGTCCTATTTTGATCATTACTGATTGTATAAATGTATCAAAATATTACAGACACCCCATAAATATGTACAATTATAATGTATTAATAAAAAATGAAGTGATATATTTTTGTCCCACCAAAAATAAATGTCATTCAAAGCAAATCTTATAACATAGTATAATACATTAAAGTACAACTTGGACAAGAAAGATGAAAATATTTATCACATGTATCGTTTACTGCACTTGGCACATGGTTGAATGGGATCAGAATACTTCACACTCAGGAGGAAGCCACAAAAAACAAACACCAGGTAATCAGCTCCAACTTTTGTGAGGACATTTCTTTCCCTAAGAGATGTAATTCAGGCTTAAAATAGTATGAAACCTGAATAAAAATGTAAAAGTAAGAAAGGAGGTAAGGTTGTTAGTTTGCAGTGCAGCGTGAAATGCAGTGACTTTTGGAAGTTTACTCACAGGACAGATAAAGTTGCCTTGCCTTGGGTGAGTGAATCCACTTCAGACTTAACCAGAATCCTGGGATGGAACAGAAAAAGTAAAGTGACAATTCTTCAAATGCATGCCTGAGAGAACACTGAGAACCTTCCAGATTTTTTAATTTAGAAAGGAGAAAGTGTTGACATCTTGGACAATCTGTTTACTTGATAATGTTTGAACTGTGAAAGGCATAATTAATTTCCTGACCTCACACAGTGATGATGACATCATCCTTCTGCTTTCACTTTCACTCTTCGGTGATGATAATATAATTGGATTATAATCACCTTGACTTAAAAAAATGACTTAATTTCTCAAATTGCCAAGATTACCCAAAAGCTCTGCAGAAAATTTACTTTTTCAACATCTAAATATGAGAAAACTTGCTAGTCAGAGGGACTCTATTAATATTAGGAAGACTACACAATTCAATGCATTAATATTTGAGAGAGTTTCCTGAAGAAATCAGGAATAAAATGGTAGTGCTGATAGGTAAAATTAAACTCAGTAATTACTCCTTAAACATTATAATTTATATTAAGAGACCACCAGAGTGGGTTTCTCTAAATGAGACACCTTAAAAATTCAAGTAGAAATGGTGAATGTCAGTGTTTCTTAGTCACAGATATGCTTTAGAGCCCTCAGTGAAGTGTATGTGCCTGTGTGATGTCTGTGTGTGTGCATATATGTGTGTGTGTGTTCACTTTGGCACCCCCTCTGGACATTTTAATTTAACAGATCTGGGATAGGACCTGGAACTCTACATTTTTAAAAAAGTTACACAGGGCATTCTCATGGGCACCTGCATTTGGGAACCACAGGTCTATGCTGGATACACTATACATTGGGCCCTAACTGAAGATGACAAGTGAAATAAGTGAGAGAGAGGAAGCAGAGAACGTAATTTTCAGGTCATGGACAAATTTTTTACTGTAGAATATGAAGGGGTATATACAAAATGTCATGACTATGACAGCAATAAGTGTATAAATTAATGTAACTCACTGGCTCCTCAACTTCCACTCCACAATGCAAGTGTCATTTTCTAAACTGACTGTAGCACAACTTGATGTGAAAAAAGGCCAAGGTTTTCTGGTAGATAAAACTGGGCCTGTACTACATAGCTGTTAATGAAGCACATCATACGTCTGTCATTGGGATTCACACTTGTAAGCAGATAAATGTACTCCAGGACATTATGCTAAGTGATATTATTCAAATGTCATTTCCTTAAAATTTACTCTCAAGTGTCTCCTCTGAATATTCATAGCACTTCATTTGTAACAATATCAGAAATTCTACCCTCTTCCTTTGAATAAAGGGATTACCAACCTGAAGGACATTACCCAGAATGAAAAATACGGCATGATTTCACTTATGTGCAGAATCTTTAAAAATCAAATTTACTGAAACAGAGAGTAGAAAGGTGGTTGCCAGGGGTGGGCGGGAGGCAGAGATAAGGATATGTTGGTCAAAATGTGCAAAGTTTCAGTTATGTAGGATGAATAAGTTCTAGAGATCTAATGTACAGCATGGTGACTATAGTTAATAATACTGCATTATATTGAAAATTTGCTAAGAGAGTAGATCTTGAGTTCTCATCACACACAAGCACAAAAATGAATATATTAACTTGATTGTAGTAATCATATCACAATTGTATATGTATATGAAAACATCATGTTGCATATATATACAATTTTTATTAAAGAGTAAAAATTAAAAAAAGAAATGCATACTTCTAGACCAATTAATTCAAGATCTCTAGGGATGAGGCACAACCATGTGAGTAACATCATCTTAAACTGAAAAAAAAATTCCCCATCTCTATATACCACTGCTCTGCACATGCTATTTCTTATTTTAAACGCTTCATTGGTCTTTTCATGACAAAGTATGAGCTTGACAATCTAGGCCTAGTATTGTGATTGGCCACAATCTGGTTTCACATTTCATTTCAGTCTCATATTCTAAACTTTCTTTTAGGCATTCTAAATTCCACCCGAACCGTGCAGCTCATCATTCTATGAATACGGTTTGCTTTTGTTCATGCTGTACCCTCCACCTGAAATGTCCTTAGCCTCTATCAACTCACTCTAAGATATTATTCAGATGTAATCTCCTTCTTAAAAGTTACTCTCAAATATCTTCTCTGAAGAGTCATAGTGCTTCATTCATAAAGATATCTGGAATTCTACCCCCTTCCTTTGAATGAGGGGATTATTAACTCTTCAAAGGCAGATATGCTTAGAAAGGAAGATGTCATCTTTCATCTACAAGACTATAACTGCCTCCTAATAGGTCAACCTGCCACAGTAAGTAGCTAATCAGTCATAAGCAAGTCAGGGGAGGACTCCCCACCACCACCAGGAATGTCAAGTGACCATCAGGTGATGGTCAGGTGGTTGTTACATTGTATTTCTAAAATAATAATTGGTTGCAGCCAGTGGCAGGGAAAGGCAGTCTTCCAATAGATAGAATAAACCTGAAACTGGTGATCAGCAGCTTTCCAATAGGATCCCAGGAGTTGGGGAGTGGGCTCAAGCATGCAAAATGACAGAGTTTAACTGGCATATGACCTTCTAGGAACATTCAGCTGGTAAAGGAAGAATGCCTTAAGTGAGCATGCATACAAATACAGTAAACGCATTGCGCATGTTCCCCTCCGAAGCACTGGCAGGACACTGTGCATGTGGATAGCTCACCCCAAGGCAAGAATAGGAGAGAAGGTACACAAGACGCTGGAAGCATGGCAAGGTATAAAACCCCAAGTCAAAGGTCAAACCGTGCCCTGATCTCTCAAATTGCCTGCTTGGCCCTCTTCCAAGTATACTTTACGTCCTCTCATTACTGCTCTAAAGCTTTTTAATAAACTTTCACTCCTGCTCTAAAACTTGCCTTGGTCTCTCACTCTGCCTAGTGCCCCTCAGTCTAATTCTTTCTTCTGACAAGGCAAGAATTGAGGTTGCTGCAGACCCATACAAACCCACATTCATTTTTGCCTCTTTCTGACCTGTTTTTCACCAGAATGATTTATTAAAATGTAAATATGATGTCACCACCCATCCCAATTAAAACATTTCATCTTCTCCCCAATGCTCTGAAGATAAAGACCACAATGTAAATACCGTGAAAGACGTGGAAATGAGGAGAGGTAAAGAAATGGAGTAGAAAGATGCCAATTCACCTACTTCATGATTGTGCTGACTCTAGGCTCTTCAGTTCAATAATTTTCTCTGCATTTGCCCTTTTGAATCATATCAGCACAGCAAGGTTCCAAATGCAAGGATTCATACGTGAATGCTGTTTAAAAGAAGTCTTCAATGTGTCTACAATGTCTCTAAGATTCTGACAGAGAAAAATTAGATAGCAGAAAGACAGCTGTGAGATCCTGGGGTGCAAGGTCTAATTACCAGCATATTATATGGTCAAACAAAAATTCTCTTTGCAATAACAAAGTCTAATCATTTCCCTTGCCGGTCTGCTATTTTTCTATTGCATCATCTGTGTGGGAACATAGTGACCCACAGGAAAGTTCTCAACACATTCTGACTTCACCCAGGTGATGAAGCTAAAATGTAGTTAAAAAAATAAATAACAGGCTTTGAAAATATTCTTCTTAACTATTTTTTTTGGTTTCTGGTAGAAGCTGAGCTGAATTAGAGTATTAAAAAATTATACAGGCAATTAATGCTTTATTTTTACCCTTACCATTCCCTAAGTATCAGTTTTGTCTCTAAATAGGTATTTTTATTGTAAAAAAATTAAACTTATTTCTTAATAGTTTTTATCTTTTTTTAATTTTTTTAAACTTTTTAGAGACAGAATCCAGTTCTGTCACCCAGGCTGGAATGCAGTGGTACAATCATAGTTCACTGTAGCCTCAACCTCCTGAGCTCAAGCCATCCTCCTGCCTCAGCCTCCTAAGTAGCTAATTTTAGTCCCCACCACGCCTGGCTAATTTGTGTATTTTTTTTTTTTATATAGAGACAGGGATCTTGCTGTGTAACCCAGGCTGGACTTGAACTCCTGGCCTCAAGCAATCCTCCCACCTCAGCTTTCTAGTGTTAAGATTATAGGCGTGAGCCACAGGGTTTGGCCATTTTTAATCTTTCAAGAGGAATTTGTCGGGCGTGCTGGCTCATGCCTGTAATCCCAGCACTTTGGGAGGCTGGGGTCGGGGGGGGGGAGTGGATCACCTGAGGTCAAGAGTTCAAGACCACCCTGGTCAAAATGGTGAAATCCCATCTCTACTAAAAATACAAAAATTAGCTGGGCATGGTGGCGGGCGCCTGTAATCCCAGCTACTCTGTAATCCCAGCTACTCTGGCGATTGAGGCAGGAGAATGTCTTGAGCCTGGGAGGCAGAGGTTGCAGTGAGCCGAGATCACACCACTGCACGCTAGTCTGGGCTACAGCATGAGACACTGTCTCAAAAAAAAAGAAAAAAAAATTTTAGGTTTACAGAAAAGTTTAGCAGAAAGTAGGGAGAGTTCCTATACATCCTCTCTCCTCATTGCACACAGTTTCTTCTATTATTAATATCTTGTGTTAGTGTGGTATATTTGTTACAATTGATGAACCAATATTGATACATTATTACTGATTAAAGTCCATAGATTACATTAGAGCACAAAGTTTATGTTGTACAGTTCTATGGGTTTTGATAAATGTATAACTTTTTGTATCCACAATTACAGCATCATGCAGAATAGCTTCATAGCCCTAAAAATCACCTGTGTTCTACCTATTCATCTCTTCTTCCCTCCTCCTGAACAGGGCTGGAAACAACTAATTTTTTTTACCATATTTTTATTTTTACCTTTTTCAGAATGTCACATAGTCCGTTTCCTTTGAAGAACTTTTAACATTATTTTCAGTGCATCTCTACTAGTGACAAGTTTCCTCAATTTTTGTTTGTCTGAGAAAGTCTTTATTTCTCCTTCATGTTTGAAAAACAATTTTATTGGATATCAAATTATAGGTTGGTGGGCTTTCTTTTACTTTCAATACTTTAAAAATTTCACTCCACTCTCTTCTTGCTTGCATGTTTTTTGAAGAGATGTCTGATGTATTTCTCATTCTTCTGTAGGTAATGTGTTTTCTTTCTGGCTTCTTTCAATTCTTTTTTCTAATTTTATTATTTATTTATTTATTTTTTGGTCTTGACTTTTCGGAACTTTCAATATGATGTGTCTAGGTATAAGCTTTTTGGTATTTGTCCTTCTTGGTATCCTCGGAGTTTCCTGTATCTGAAGTTTGGTGTCCATCATAAATTTTGGAAAAATTTAAGCCATTGCTTTCTCAAATATTTCATCTATCCCCTTCTTTTTTTCTCCTTCTGGTATTATGATCCCTAGATATTTTAAGGTGAAATTGTTTGAGGATCAGAATTAATAGCAATTTTGATATAATTTTTTTGTTTACCTTCTCTTCTTCCTACCTTCTCTCTCATATTTGTTATCCCTTTCTATATAAAAATATAATATTTTAATTTTAATTTTCCTTTAATATAAAATTCTACAACACTATTTTGCAGGAGAAATTGCTTAAATGGAGGAAATGTTAGGCTTGTGGTTGAGAGACTCAGAATGGGTCAATGGTATGCAGCTAGGAGAAAAGAATGAAATGAGATTTCAATTACATGTGAAATTAGAGTTTTAGATTAGATTGGAATGAATCCTTAACAACTGAACATGACTGGAAAGTTAAGGGTTCTGCCAAATATGTCAGATATTGTCTAGAAGATATACGTCTAAAGGCAGATAATGAGGGATTTCCATATTTACTCTCCACCAAGTTGAAGCCGATCAATATTGGCTATATTAAAACCAGAAGAAAATGATCTTGAGGTGAAGGCATTAATAGGGACAAAGTGAAATATTATGTGACAATAAAATTAAACATCTGCAAACTAAAAGTAATTATCCTGAACCCACATGCATCCAAAAAAGTCTCAACACATATAAAGTGAGAATTGATTGAATTACAAAAATTATTAATAAAATTAATAGAGGGAAATTATTTTACACTTCTCCAATAAACCACTGATCAATTTTCAGCAACACAATTTACAAGCTAGATATAAATTCCTTACCCAAGGAGTAGAGATTACACATACTTTAACAATTAGATTGATGGTTTATAAAACTTAACCACATACTGATCTACAAAGGAAGTTTTTATTAATTCCATACATTCTTTGACCAGTATGCATTAAAATTAGAAATCAATAACAAAAAGCCAAAAAATGGTGTTAAAATCAATCACAAGAAAAAAATTTTTTAAAAATCACACTTCTAAATAATGTATACATTAAGAATAGGCAATCACAGTGAATTAAAAAACATTTGGAAGCCAAATGTCAGTGAGAACATTTCTTATCAGAACTTGCGAGATAGCCTTAAGATAGCATTTGAAGAGGAAATTAATAGTCCTAAAAACATATATTAGCAGTGAAAATTTATAAACAGTTTAACTCATAAAAGTAGTAAAAAGAGCTATAGAATTAAAACATTAGAAAGGAGGAAATGATAAGGATAAAAGAAAAATAATTCAACAGACAACAAATAAACAATAGAGATGATCAAGAAAACGGCTGATACTTTGAACAAACAGAACAAACAAACCTCAAAATGCAAAAATCTAAGAATGAGGAGGGTAACATGACCACACATATTAATGATCTTAAAAATATAATATTACAAATATTTTATGCAATTATTTTGAAAATATGGGTAAAGCCAATTTATAGAAAATATAATTTAATACATTTGACTAAAGAAGAACCACATAACCTTAATGGCAGAGCAATCATCAGAGACATATTTAATCCATTTGACTTAAAAAGGAACTCCAAAAATGAAACATCTTGACATAAACCTCCCCCTGAAATAAGGTTCAGAGGCTTTATTAGCCTGTTTTACCAAGTCTTTATAACTTAAAAAACTTAGAATTTTTATTTATACAACCTCTTTCAGCAAACAAAAATGAAAAGCCTTGACAAAATAAATTAAATCAAGGATACTTGAAGGAAAAAAAATTATAATGCATTCTAACTTATAATGTGGATATTCAAAAGTTCTAAATAAAATATCAGCAAAATAAATAACTATTTGTATACAAATGATACATTGATACCCAGTAGTATTTAATTTATGGAATACAAAGATGGCTCAACATTGGAAAGCTTACATTTATATCATCATATTAACAGATTAAAAGAGGAAACCATATGATCATGTTAGTATATGTAAGAAACAAAAAGATTAAAAAGTTCAATTTATTTATGACAATAACTAGAATTAGCAGGGAATACTCCTAACTCATAAAAAAATATTTCCTCCAAGTGAACAAATATTTTACTTAAAAAAAGAAATTTTAGAAGCTTTTCCATTAAAGTCAGTGTGCTAGCTATTTTCTTTTTGCACATATGGATCCCCTCTCTACCCTCCTCAACATGGCTCTGTCCCCAGAAATGTGGCCTGTAGAGTTTACATCTATGGGCTTTCTTGCCCACTGGTTTCCAACTGCCATCAGACATTGAGGAACTCCATATCTCAGAGAGGAAAGAGAATCAAGATAGAGTATTTATTCCTGTTTTCTGCCATGTGAAGTCACCCAAGCTGATTCTGTCCCTTAATGTAGGTCATTACTTTTCTCAATGTGACCTGCTTTACATGACAATTTTTTTTACCTTTATCAAGTTATCCATCCATGAACATATATGTGTGTGTGTACATATATGTGTGTATATATATGTGTATATATAGAGTACCTCAGTACTTTTCTCATTTATATTAATTTCAGAGGTCGTATATTTTGTGAAAAATTTGAAACACAGAAGTATATGAAAGAAAATTATATATACATACAATTTTTAAAAATATGAATATTCCATATACATATATTTTTTAATTTGTTTTATAGCTTATTTGTCACAAGTCATAGACACCATCTGGTGTCAATAAACAGGGACTGATATTATTATGTTTTAACAGCTGAATGGGTATTCTAAAGTATGAACTACCATAATTTATATAATCATTTTTTAAATTGAGGGGCATTTAGGTGGTGTCTAATTTACCACTGTTCTAAGTAATGTCAAAATAGATATTCTCATGTGTATACGTATCCTTGGTGCATTTTAAAAGAGTTGGAATTGTGGAGTCAAAGTATATGCATATTTATAAATTTGCTAGAGATTGAAAAGTTGCCTTGCTGAAATATACTATAATGAGACAAGAAGAGTACCTATTTCTCCACATTCTTATAAGCATTGGCTATCAAAGATTATTTAAATGTTTGTCAGTGGATTAAGGTGTAGGGAGTATTTCAATGTGTTTTAAAAACATTTACTTGATTACTAATGAGTATGATCATGTCTTCTTAAACTTATGAGTTATTTTTATTTGATTGTGAAGTGCCTAATTACATTATTGGCTAATTTACTCAATCTGGCTGTCTTTTTTTCAATTTGTTTATCAGATATCAATCTTTTTAATAATATATTTCAGGTATAATTTTTTTAATTTGACTTCTTTTTTTTACTTCTTTTTTTATAAACAATGTTTACTTCATTCTTTTTTCTTTTATTGATACATAATATTTTACATATTATGGGGTACAAGTGAATGTTTGTTACATGCATGAAATGTATAATGATCAATTCAGGGTTTTTGGGAGTATCCATCACCTTGAGTATTTATTATTTCTATGCATTGGGAACATTTCAAGTCCTTTCTTCTAGTTTCTTTGAAATCTACAAAATATTGTTTGCTAAGTATAGTTATCCTAGTCTGCTGTAAAACCTTAGAACTTTCTTCTTCTATCTAATGGTATGTTCCTACCATTAACCAACCTCTGTTTATTCACCCACCACTCTCTCTCTC
Organism: Homo sapiens; assembly: GCF_000001405.40. Classification (NCBI taxonomy): domain Eukaryota; kingdom Metazoa; phylum Chordata; class Mammalia; order Primates; family Hominidae; genus Homo; species Homo sapiens. Next base: position 118,683,664 of record NC_000001.11, on the reverse strand, counting down.
TCGCATCTCTGGTATCCATGGTTGTATTCTCTATGTCCATGAGATCAAGTTTTTTAGCTCCCACATATGAGTGAGAGCATGTGGTATTTGTCTTTCTGTACCTCGTTTATTTCACATAACATAATGTTGCTACAAATGATATTTTATTCTTTTTTGTGGCTTAACAGTATGTCATTGTGTATTATGTACTGCTTAGGAAGGCCAGCTTCACCCTCAGTTTATAAAAATACACTGTTTTCTCTTTAATACTTTCATAGTTTTGTTTCTTACATGTACTACTTATTCAATCTGGATTTACTTTTGTATACTGCATGAAGTATCCAGTCATATTATTTTTCTATAAATGAACATGTGACAAACTTTCCCCCAAAATACTAAATGCCATCTTTATCACGTACTAAGTTTTTACATGCATTTCACCTGTTTCTAGACGTTTTGGTTGATATCATTGATTTATTTTCTTATTCCATTACTGTGTCACCCTGTTTTAAGTTTTGTAGTCTAAATCTATATTTTGATACTTGATAACACAAGTACTCCCTTCTGTATTGAACTTTGAAATATTTTTCTAGATATTCTTATATACTTGTCTAAATACACTTCCATTTATCTAGTTTACCAAATTTATCAAGTTTTGCCTTCACATCTTCTCAAGTAAAATTCTATTGAGATCTTAATTATAATGCCACTGAATTAATAGATTTATTCGGGGGAGAAGTGACATCTTTAGAATACTGAGATTTCTCTTTCAGAAATATAGTATATCTCCATTTATTCCAACCTTCTTCATGACTGTCATTAAGTTTTATATTTTTTATAAGAACTAAGGGAGGATGTATCTGACTATATAAAGCTAGAAGATTAAGTGTTGCTCAAATGCCTCTCTGCTGATCCCCTTTTCTCCCTAAAATGTTGTAAGGAAACTACATCATCAAGAATTAGAGCAAATGGAAATCAAGATACCTATTAAGTATTAGCTGGGTTAATACTGAGCATTTCTTTGCAAAACTATGATAAAACTGGGCCAGATGTGTGGTTTTAACCCCAGTCTTAAGTAGGACTTCTACCTTACCTTGAGACTGAAGGCAAACTTATTCAGCTTTTAACTTATATTTATGGGGCATTGTTCTACTAGGCATTAGGGATATAGCAGATAAAAAGGAAGGGGGAGAGGGATGAAAAAAGTCTTTATTCTCACGGAGCTTATATTCGAGGATTGAAACTTGTGCCCTTATTTTCCTGCGTCTATCAGTGAGGTACAGGAAGCCAAAGCAGTGACAGCATACTCAACTTCCACATGGAATGAAAACTAGAAACAAAAAAGGCCTTAACCCACGGTGGCCATGCCCACTAGCAGTAACAAACAAATGAAAGGACTCCCTTGAGAGCAGGGAGCTACCTGCTTCTGCTCCTACACACACACACACACACACACACACACACACACACACACACACACACATATAATTTAAATTATACATATATATGGTATAAAAGGTAGGCATATCTCATTTACTGAATGTTTGTTATATTCTAGGGACCCTACTAAGTACATTGCACACATTACCTAATTTAATCTTCAAAGAAAATTTACTTTTCTTTTATAGATGAAGAAACTGAGACTCAGAGCAATTAAACAACTTGGCAAAGCTTATACTGTTAACAGAACAGGAAGTCACACTCACTCACTCTTCAAATGTTACATCCTTTCCTCCCTGGCATTCTGCCTCTGATATTTCATCCATTATTTTGCAATCTTTTATCGAATATCATTACTGTTATATAATGTGTCAGGTACTGGAGATGAAAATGATGAATCAAATAGTCTCTGCTCTTGTGGAGCTGTCACATTGATGAGAAGTGATACACGAACAAAAATTATAATGTGGTCTGTTAAGTACAATGATAGGAACATGCACGAAATGTCCCATGGAGGCTTCTGGAATTAGGGAAAAAGCTTCCTTCTTGCTCACCTCCTTTCCTTTATTTTGATCCTGAGCTTGTGAAAATACACAAACTTTAGGGGAGGGGGAGATTGATACTTCTGTCAGGTGGTAAACATGAAAATGACAGTATTTTAGTTACATTAGTCAGTCGGAAGAAAACATTTTTTCTTCTCAATTAAACAACAATAAATCTATAATCAATGCCAGGTCTTGCAATTGGCTCATTTAATACTTATTGAGTGCTTAATATGTGCCAAGAACTGTTCTTAATGCTTGAGACACATCAGTGAACTTATGATCTGGTGGACAGAGAGAAACCGAAAATAAACAATAAAAACAAACAAATAATGTAGCATGCTATTAGGTGATAAGGACTATAAGAAAAAGAGAAAAAGTAAAAGCAGAACAGGTAATGGGGACCACAAGTGCTGGAAGAGAAGTGCTAGGTGGTGGCAATTTTTAATAGGATAGTTATTGAAAAGATGACATTTTAACAAATCCTTAAAGGAGGTAAGGGAGTTTGCTAAGCAGTTGGAGGGAATAGCATTCCAGGCAAAGGAAAGGTCAGGGTAAAAGTCCTTAACCAGGAACATGACTGGATGTGTTAGAGGAACAGCAATGAGGACAATGTCATCAGGGTGGAGCAAGTGAGAGTAACCCAGAATGGCAACAAGGAGCCACATTAGTCTAAAAATCTAATGACTTTTAGACTATTTTAAGGACTTTGGTTTGTATTCTGAGTGAAATGAAGAGACAATGGAGTGTGACCTTAAGGAAAACTAACTAGAAGGCTATTGGCAATAATTCAGGCAACAGATTATGGTAGATTGGACCCAGATAATAGTAACCTGGTGACGGGAAGTGGCCAGATCCTGGATATATTTTGGAGGGGAAGTCAAAAGGATTTCCTGATTGATTGAAAGTGGGATGTCAGCTTAAGGAGATTTTGGACTGAGACGATGGGGCTTTCTAAATATACAATCATGTCATCTGCAAACAGGGACAATTTGATTTCCTCTTTTCCTAATTGAATACCCTTTATTTCCTTCTCCTGACTGATTGCCCTGGCCAGAACATCCAACACTATGTTGAATAGGAGTGGTGAGAGAGGGCATCCCTGTCTTGTGCCAGTTTTCAAAGGGAATGCTTCCAGTTTTTGTCCATTCAGTATGATATTGGCTGTGGGTTTGTTATAAATAGCTCTTATTATTTTGAGATACGTCCCATCAATACCTAATTTATTGAGTTTTTAGCATGAAGCGCTGTTGAATTTTGTCAAAGGCCTTTTCTGCCTCTATTGAGATAATCATGTGGTTTTTGTGATTGGTTCTGTTTATATGATGGATTACGTTTATTGATTTGTGTATGTTGAACCAGCCTTGCATCCTTCAGCAAAGTCTCAGGATATAAAATCAATGTGCAAAAATCACAAGCATTTCTATGCACCAATAACAGACACACAGAGAGCCAAATCATGAGTGAACTCCCATTCACAATTGTTTCAAAGAGAATAAAATACCTAGGAATCCAACTTCCAAGGGATGTGAAGGACCTCTTCAAGGAGAATTACAAACCACTGCTCAATGAAATAAAAGAGGACACAAACAAGTGGAAGAACATTCCATGCTCATGGATAGGAAGAATCAATATCATGAAAATGGCCATACTGCCCAAGGTAATTTATAGATTCAATGCCATCCCCATCAAGCTACCAATGACTTTCTTCACAGAATTGGAAAAAACTACTTTAAAGTTCATATGGAACCAAACACAAGCCTGCATTGCCAAGACAATCCTAAGCCAAAAGAACAAAGCTGGAGGCATCATGTTACCTGACTTCAAAATATACTACAAGGCTACAGTAACTAAAACAACATGGTACTGGTACCAAAACAGAGATATAGACCAATGGAACAGAACAGAGCCCTCAGAAATAATGCCGCATATCTACAACTATCTGATCTTTGACAAACCTGACAAAAACAAGCAATGGGGAAAGGATTCCCTATTTAATAAATGGTGCTGGGAAAACTGGCTAGCCATATGTAGAAAGCTGAAACTGGATCCCTTCCTTGCACCTTATATAAAAATTAATTCAAGGTGGATTAAAGACTTAAATGTCAGACCTAAAACCATAAAAACCCTAGAAGAAAACCTAGGCAATACCATACCATTCAAGACACAGGCGTGAGCAAGGTCTTTGTGTCTAAAACACCAAAAGCAACAGCAACAAAAGCCAAAATTTAGAAATGGAATCTAATTAAACTAAAGAGCTTCTGCACAGCAAAAGAAACTACCATCAGAGTGAAAAGGCAACCTACAGAATGGGAGAAAAGTTTTGCAATCTACTCATCTGACAAAGCTCTAATATCCGGAATCTACAAAGAACTCAAACAAATTTACGAGAAAAAAACAAACAACCCCATCAAAAAGTGGGCAAAGGACATGAAAAGTCATTTCTCAAAAGAAGACATTTATGCAGCCAACAAACACATGAAAAAATGCTCATCATCACTGGCCATCAGAGAAATGCAAGTCAAAACCACAACAAGATACCATCTCACACCAGTTAGAATGGTGATCTTTAAGAAGTCAGGAAACAACAGGTGCTGGAGAGGATGTGGAGAAATAGGAACACTTTCACACTGTTGGTGGGACTGTAAACTAGTTCAACCATGGTGGAAGACAGTGTGGCGATTTCTCAGGGATCTAGAACTAGAAATACCATTTGACCCAGCCATCCCATTACTGGGTATATACCCAAAGGATTATAAATCATGCTGCTATAAAGACACATGCACACGTGTGTTTATTGCGGCACTATTCACAATAGCAAAGACTTGGAACCAACCCAAATGTCCATCAATGATAGACCGGATTAAGAAAATGTGGCACATATACACCATGGAATACTATGCAGCCATAAAAAATGATGAGTTCATGTCCTTTGTAGGGACACGGATGAAACTGGAAACCATCATTCTCAGCAAACTATCGCAAGGACAAAAAACCAAACACTGCATGTTCTCGCTCATAGGTGGGAATTGAACAATAAGAACAAGTGGACACAGGGTGGGGAACATCACACACTGGGGCCTGTCATGGGGCGGGGGGAGGGCGGAGGGATAGCATTAGGAGATATACCTAATGTAAATGACGAGTTAATGGGTGCAGCACACCAACATGGCACATGTATACATATGTAACAAACCTGCACATTGTGCACATGTACCCTAGAACTTAAAGTATAATGAAAAAAAAAAAAGGAAAGTGGGATGTAAAAGAGAAAGAATAAACAAGGATGACTCCTTTGTTTTTGTCTTCAGCCACTCAGGAATAGTGATATTTCAACAAATCTGGGGATGGCTGAAGGTAGAACAAGTTTGAGGAGAAGACACATTCGTTTTGAAATGTCTATTAGCCACCTAAAAAGAGATGATGAGTAGGTGCTCGAATATATGAGTCTGCAGTTCAGGAGAGAGGTCAGGGTGTGAGATGTGTTTGGGAGTGGATAGCATATGGATAGTATTTAAAGGAATGAGACTAGATTGGATCACTGAGAAATAACCGTGTTTAAGTTATGGCCGAATCCATTTAAGTAAATTGGACAGGATGAGACCAAAACATTTGAGCCATTTCCTTTACCATAACCCTGTAGGCGTAGAATAGAACTTAGGAAAAAAAATTATCTCATAATGGACAAAGTTCTCTTATGAATTTTCATAAAGAGGTCCAGTCCTTAGATATATATTTAAAAGACCATTTTTCTTACTAGGTTAAAATGTGGTGTTAATGAATCTAACATCTGGTCCTCATATAGTCCAGTTTGTTTCCTTTCATAGGGACGATTTTCCAGATGTGGGGTAAAATGTTCTGATACCATACGCTGTGTTCCTCTTTCTAGTCAGCTTTATAAATGTGTGCTGTTAGTTACAAGGAGTACAACGAGGAGGGATAGAGTTGTTTCACTGGCAACTCATGAGCAACTTTGCCTAAGCAGAAGCTCATTTATCAGTAGTACCATTTCTACAAGGCCAACTGGAAAACTGAAATAATTATAATCATGATTACTAAATTATGCAAATATTTCTTAAATAAAAAGTAGCTTGGAACCTGATTATTTAGATAATTTTGTGTGTGTGTGCATACACCCTACTTTTTTTAAAGCCAAGAATCATCTATCTTCTACTCTGAATATTTTAAAGTAGTATATCCACATCTTAAACAGATAAAATATATGTAAATTATTTTTCCTGAGTTTCTCATTTTCCAAAATAAACATTTCAAGAATACATTTTCTGATGATTTGTGAAAACATGTGAGTGCAACAGAGTCTCTTAAAAGTTTTTCACGTTACAAATCTGGTCAAGTTCTTCCCATGTTTCATATTAGTTTTTTTTTTTTCAGGTCATTGTAAATAGTTTAGGATCCATTAGGTATTTTTCAACTCCTTGCTTAGACATAACTCAACATTCCCAGACAAGTATTTTGTTTTGCCAGTTACCATTTCTTCTCTCAAATAAAATCATGATTTACTGAAGCTGAACACTGATGAGAGAGAAGGGATATGTTTTCTTCCCATCTTTGCCCATTTCCTCTATGTTTAAAAAGGAGTCCTCTATTCCTCAAGCTTCAAAGGGGAGGTATAGGAATGAAGACTGCTGCTTCTTCCTCTCCATCTCCCCCACTGACCCTTCCCACTAGAAGAGGAATAGCTAATTTGATTTTTCAGGCATCGGCATTCTTTGGGCCACATTATAAGGAAGTGGGGTTACTGTCACATAAAGGTTAGAAACAGGTTCCACTCTGTCTTTTCAACTGCTTGTCTCATGGAGCAGTAAGATAGGAGCTGGCACTTGCTAGGTGATCCAGTCTTTATGCACGTCTGTCAGCAGAAGCTTGGAAGTAGACAGGATCTGCAGGATGCAGGTACCAAATTCTACCATAAAGGCAGAGCCTCTTCCAGAATGTAAATTTCAAGAAATAATGCAAATGAATTGGCTTTTTCATTATTTTTTCTCCTTAATTAAAAGGGAGAGCCCACGAACCACAATATTTATTGGAACACTAAGGCAGTTTGTGAAGGGGCTGGCTTCGTTACCTAATGAAGACTTTGACCAAAAGACAAAAGCAAAAAGTAGACATGTCATGAATAGCAGAATTCTGATATAACAGAATGGTCTGATACTCTCTCTAATATTGATAAGATCATCTAATAGATGTCTGATAGATGATATTACATTCCACCTGAATAAGTAAAAAATCCGGCTGAGTACTTACAGAATGAGCATTTTTTTATTGATTATTGGCTTACCTTTGGTTTGCAACTAAATGAATAACAAAATAACTTTTAATGTACTTAATGCTTTCAGAAATGAAAGTTTTATATTTGTCTATTTCACTTCTAATTATTAACATTCTATGCATCTGATAATTCCACTTCACAGATTAAAATTCTGCATTCGCTCCTCATATTTTCTAGAATAAAACTGAAACTCCTTAATTTAGCCACTCTTGGCTCTCCGTGATCAGATTCCTACGTATTTTTCTCACATCCAGTGACATAGTTTGGATACTTGTCCTTGCCCAAATTTCCTGTTGGAGTTGGGGCCTAGGGGGAGATGTTTGGATCAAGGGAGCAGATCTCTCATGAATGGCTTGGGCCATTCCATTGGTGATAATTAAACTCTCTCTCTGAGCTCATACAAGATCTGGTCATTTAAAAATGTGTGGCACCTTCTCCCTATTCTCTCTCTCTCTTGTTCCTGCTTTCACCATGTGACTTGCCAGCTCCCTCTTTGCCTTCCACCATGACTGCAAGCTTCCTGAGGTCATATCAGAAGCCAAACAGATGCCTGGCTGTACAGCCTGCAGAACCATGAGCCAATTAAACTTCCTTTCTTATAAATTACCCAGTCCCAGGTATTTATAGCAATTCAAGAAGGTACTCATACATTCAGCTACAAAATATACTGAAAAGCCAGCTTCGGACATCATCTGAGTCAGAAGTAACATTTTTCCCTGTCTTTCATCATAGTTGCTCAACCCATTTCCCACCCCCCGCCGGCCTTACTTATCCTGGTCTCCATGTTTTTGGCTCTCTAACAGAGCATAGTCTCTATTCTTGGCCCTCCTATTATTTTTTAGAGACTGGTTTAAACACCCACCTCTGGCTTATGAGCTTTGCCTCTCTGCTTGATATTGGTATGTGACTTGCGGCTTTCTCATATTTCTGGCATGTCTGACAATCTTCTCCACGCTGAAACCCCCCAGTGCCTTTCTCATACCCACTCCTGCCTCCTTGCAAAAGGAGTAGAACCAGGTGTTTGCTGAGCATTAAATTTTAAAAAGTGAGTTCTCTGGAAGATCTTAATGACTGGTGCCTTCACTCTATGTGCTATACAGGAAGACCAATCAAAAGGAATGGATGTTTGGGTCCTTTGTTCAAGCTATCTCTTTTCTGGACAGAGCTGGAGATACATGGAAAAATAATTCTACTCATTAGCCCCTTTTACTAATTTCCCTGCTAATCACCTCTATGATGTTAACACCTTTAGTTTTTATCACACAAGACACAATACAATTGATGCTACAATTTAGACATAATACAGATCCCATCCTAAGGTTACTTTAATTGGAATATAGCATAGAGATTTCCCAAAAGTGTTCAATCATCCACTTATGGATTATTTCTGCAGATAACTTTTTTGTTGTTGTTATTTCATTCATAAGAAATAACCCTTAGGGATTCTTATCTTAGGTTCCTACTACTCAGACATGCTAAAATGTTTCTTAGCATCAATATTTATCATTCTTGTGATGTGTGGTTTTGCAGCTATACAGTGTGAGAATGAGCATACTATATTTAATACAAAAGGCAAAAATAAAAGAGTACTTTGGTTTGAAGGATATACTCAATAGTTGAACTAGCTGCTGCTGCTTTAGATAGTTTTGTGACTTTAAGTAGAACTGCCAACATTTGTTCTTAGGTTGCTCCCTCTAACTGTTCCTACCTTGGCTCCATCCTGTGATTGTTCAAAAGGAGCTTCATAAATAAATGTGTAATGTTGCTCGTATGTGTTGTGAGACTCTAGGATATTATTTCTCACCTTCTCATCATATTTCATGGCGGACTTTGAGTTTTAGAGAAGCAGTGACCCCAGTGAAATAGTTCCCCAAAACAGCTCTGATTATTCCAGACTTGGCAAAGCTCCTGGCAAGAGCTCAGTGTGAGAAACCAGAGGGGAGCTCACAGAATTGGCTGGCAGGTGGCTCTAGACTGGTGTGGGATAATAATGGAGATGCAAGCTAAATCCCATGCATGGAGTAGTTTGGTCAACGTGAGGAGGAATAGCCAGTGAGTGGAAGCTCTAAATAAGGGCATGTCTTTTCCAGCAGCACTGACTTTCTGGAGCTTGTGAAATCATGACAAATAAAAACCAAATAAGTCTATAAAAGTACCCAAAACGTGAAAGAACCAAACTGATTTTCCAGTCACAAACAGAAGAATTTGAGGCAGTTGGCTTAGACCTCAAGCAGTTCCCTATAACTCTAATTAACGGCTTCTCTTTCCCAACTCTCAAAAGAGATCTAGTAGTTTTTCTAAAAAATGCAGACAAGGAGGAAAAGAAAATTTTAAAATATTATTCACTAGGTAATTATTTATGAATTTTGTCCCCAAACCTCAATCTAAGGAGAAGACTGAGATGTTGATTTAATTTCCACATCTCTACTTCTCCCAGGTTAATGTATCATATTTTTGTAGAATGAGGATGGGATTTGGAGAACAAAGTTTATATTGTTAATTGATCCCCCCCCCCCCAGCTATAACATCCCTAAGAAGGATTATGAAAAGTCAACAGAAGTTTATTTAATCTTAGAACTATGTTTAGGCTTAGTATGGTGTTACCTGATTGTGCCAGCAAGACTAAATGAAGCCCAAATGCTCCCCATCCTCATTACTAAACAGAGCAACACATTACTAGGCTCTTTTTTCCTGGCTATGACTAAAGCATTTTCACCCAGCCCCTAACACGTTGTCTTTGGCGCATAGGTGAGGAGACTGAAATCTGAGCATAATTGACTCTCAGTCTGCAAGTCTCATTTTCTTGGCTCTGTCCCATAGGCACCCCACTCTCACCTACTGCCCCTCCACCACTCTCTGCTAAACTTCCCACCATCTCTACACATATCAGAGTTTCTGTAAATTCACACTTTCCATCTTAACAGCCAGGATATACAAATACTTTCCAATTGACACCAATCTTAGAAAGACTTTTTTTTAACTGAATGGAAGGAGTAAAAGTTGCAAAGACTGAAGCTTAAGACTTTTAAGATTCAATTGGGATAAAGATAAATTTCCTTCCCAGCTATATAACTATCACTACACTGGAAGTGGCTGGCTTTTTGATATGCCCTCTTTGCATATAACTGGGACTCATATAATACCTGAAATTACCAGAAGCTTGTTTTTGGGTTGGAAAAATGTCTGAACCTGGAGTGAAATACTTGGATATGTGACGTGGTATCAGAGTTTTCTTTGAGAGCTCCATAGTGAAAGCCAACATTAAACATTATTATTATTATTATTATTGCCATAGGCTTTCCATGTCCAGTTCTGTGTAGATCAAAATGCTAATGGAATATTCATCAAAGATAGCCATGGAATCTAGGACCTGCATTTAGGGTTGGCCCAAATATATTTTGAACCCTTATATTTTGGCTCAAGCTACCACTCAGAAGCCTGAAATATGTATTGTTCTGATGTACTGTGCTAGGGAATGTTGTTGAATGGTGTTGTAGAAAGTGACCAATTTGAAGGAAAACAAAAATCAACAAATACCAAGAGATATACAGTAGGCAGAACTCACACCATCTCACAGAGACTGTAAATTTCCTAATTCTGGGTGATCTATAGTAAGTTTTCTCTCTCTCTTCAACTACAGTTTCTAGTAGAGAAATTCTTCCATTCTGGGATTAATAAGATCACTGGGTTATCCTTATTCTCATATTTCACCCATTTTAATAGAATCTCTCTGCTGTGAGGTTTCCTAATGGAATTTCTGATTATGCCAGCTCTATTATTTGTCTTTTTCAGAGCTCTATTAATTGGTGAATATCTTGCCTTCCTCCAAGTCACACACAGTCTCTGTCATCAGGGCACAACTACTCTTCCTGGACACTTAAACTCACTAGGGAAATCTGCCCTTTCCCTCTAGTTGTTAGCAGTTCCCATTCTCTGTCTTGTTTTTCATGTTGCCTACCTTCAAAGTGGGCTTCATATCCTCTTTAGATCTTGTTCCTTAAAGGACACTAGCCCAACCTCTAAGGGTCATTACCTTGGTCTCCAGGCCACTTAAGTATCTGGTTCGTATCTTCTTTCTCTTTTCTTATTTAATATTTCTCCAGCCAAGTAAATTTGTGATTTTGGAAGTACATATAACTTTGGCCAGCCCTATCCTAATGATTTCCAAATCTATTTCTCCAGTGTAAACCTTTCCCTGAATTCCAGATCCATATACTTGGTGTAGCACATCCTATTAGTGCCTTACTTATATCCTCTCGACATTAATCTTCAACATGCTGAAGACTACTGAAAGAAAACACCTGCTACTCTCCACCTATGAGCTTTTTTGTCTGGCTGTAGGGGAATGTTTGTCTTATACACAGGACAAGCTAGCAGAGCTGAAGGAGTTAATGGCTCCAGACACAATTCTCAGTGATGATACAGATTTGTTGGATAACAACACCAGTATCTAACCCCATGGTTATGGTAATGCTAAGGTATATCCTATGTTGTCCTCCAGCGTTACCAGTGGTGCAAAACTTTAATTTCCTTGACTGCAGTGATGACTAGCTTAACCAAGAACATTTTATAGGCTTTCTTCCCTTCCCCATCTTACTTTCTCACTAACCTGCTGGTGTTTTCCATGACACCTCCAAAATAAACTACTTGTATTGGAATTATTGTCTCAAGAGTATATTTATGAGATAACTCAAAGTAAGGTGTCTAGAAAACTACATGACTTTTCTATCTGACTGCTTCACTTACAACTACCTCAATAATAATTCATCAGAAACAACTTATCTTCTACATTCAATATGTTTTACTTCCTCTATGCTTAACTCTCTATCCATCAAGTCACTCAAGCCCAAATTCTCACACTTCAAAGACAATTTTTCACAAGTTCCATTAATTCTACCCTGAGAATATTTCTCAAATCTGTATCTTTCCTCTTCATCCTCACTATTGCTATTTCATTTGAGGTCTTACCTTCTCTTTCCTGTGCTCTTACATAATCAGTTAGTTGTTCTCTTTGCCTCCAGTTTCAATGTTGGAAATGAAGAAGAGGAAAATTTACAATGACTTTCAGGCATTTGGTGGTCATAAGAAAGACCATACAGAATAGGTAGAAGGCTTAGAAGGAAAGATGTTAAGATTATTTTCATATATGTTGAATTTGAAGAGTTTAACAAGCCACTAAAATAGAAATGTCCAGAAGTTCAGCTGAATGGGCCATGAGATCATGGGAGTGGTCTTCTTTAGGAAATATATGTATATATTTGAAGCCATGGAAATGTAGTAAAGCATGCAGAATGGAAAACGAAAAGAACTAAAGGCAGAAATTGAGGAATGCTAAATTTTAAGGATAAACAGAAGAATAAGATCTAGCGAAGGAAACCTAGAAGGGATAATATGAAAGACATGAAGAAAACCATGACAGAGGAGGAAAATGAAGATGTTATAAAAGACTGGAACGCAGAACATCTCAGTGAGACCTTCGCTAACCATTCTATTTAAAATAATATTCCCTCCCCACTACTCAGAAGTTCTGATGCCCCTTCTCAGTTTTATTTTCTTCCAAAGTACATTTTACCATCAAATTTATATATATATATTTTAATTTTAATTATTTTTATCTTATCTCACCAGAATATGGACACAGTTTTTGTATTTTTTTTCTGTTTTGTTATTCTCAGTATCTGAAATATTTCCTGACAAATAGTGAGCATTCAGTAAATATTTGTGGAAAGAATGAAAATGAGGGAGTTGTTATTCCTGTTTAATGGTGTCCAGTGGTTGATTAAGATAAATTCAGAAAAGCAGTGGTGCTTTTGTGATTAACAGGACACTAGTGACATTTATCAGGATGGTTGTAAGCGGAAGTATTAATGTAGTGAATTGAAAAGTAAAGTTTGGAAAGCATTGAGATTGACTCCAGACCAGTGCTTCTCTAACTATCCATGCTAAAGAATCAATTTGTTGCAATTTAGTACTTTTGTAAATTACAATAAAAACAAATTACTAAGAAAATTAAACAAAATACAAAGATGTATAAAATATAAGCTCCTATAGCATTTTTTCCTAGATCACCAAGCCTCTGTTCATGTTTTTAGCCTTCTTTTCTCTCAGTGTTCACATTCTTCCATATGGATATACAGTTTTCGGCACATTATTTTATTTATTTTTATTTTTTGAGACAGAATCTGACTCTGTCGCCCAGGCTGGAGTGCAGTGGTGCACAACTCGGCTCACTGCAACCTCCATCTACTGGGTTCAAGCAATTGTCCTGCCTCAGCCTCCTGAGTAGCTGGAATTACAAGGTGCCTGCCACGACACCAGCTATTTTTTTTTTCTTTCTTTTTATTTTTTCTTTAGTGCAGACCGGGTTTCACTATGTTGGCCAGGCTGGTCTTGAACTCCTGACCTCATGTGATCCACCCGCCTTGGCCTCCCAAACATTTGGGATTACAGGCGTGAGCCACCATGCCCAGCCTGAACATTATTTATTGAATATAATTTGCTTTCCTCATTGGATTACATAGCCTCTTTTGACAAAAATCAAATGACCACACAAGTATGGGCCTATTTCTGGGATTTTTATTCCTTTCAATTCATTTATTGGTCAGTCTTTATACTAATAAAATACTGTCTTGATTATTCTAGCATTATATGTCTTGAAGTTAAGTCGTGCTTTATCCTGCAAGCTTGTTTTTCTTTTGCAAGGGTGCTTTGCATAGATTGTTTGCTTTCTCACATAAATTTTAAAATCAGCTTATCGAATTCTACAAAAAGGGTATGGAGATTTTATTTGGGATTGCATTGAATCCATGTATCAATTAGGGGATAATTAGCCCTCCATTTACTTAGCTTTTAAAAAATTTCTCAGAGAAATGTGTTTTAACTTCCTATGCATAGGCCTTGAATATCTTTCATTAAACTTTTTTCTCTTTTAGTGTTTTATGGTCTTTGGCACTATTAAAAGAGATCTTTATTAAATTATAATTTCAATTATTTATTGCTGGTATGTAAAAATACAATTGGTTTTGTAAATAACCTTGCATCCTGTTACTTTAAGTGCTTTTTCTGCATCCTTTGAAATGATCTATCTTTTTTATTTTTTATTCTATTAACACGATGAGTTACATTGATTTTCAAATGTTGCATTTCTGGGATAAACCTCACTTGGTAATTAATAAAATATTCTCATTTTTACATCTTGCTATATTCACTTTGCTATGACTTTAGTATTTTTATACCTATATTCATAAGAGCCATTTCTATTTTTTGTAGAATCATTGTAACTTTTTTTGAAACAGGGTCTTGCTGTGTCATCCAGGTTGGAGAGTAGTGGCACCATCATTGCTCACTGCAGCCTTGAACTCTTGGGCTCAAGCAATCTTTTCACTTTGGCCTCCTGAGTATCTGGGAGTACAGGCATGTGCCACCATGCCAGGCTAAATTTTTTTATTTTTAGTAGAGATAGAGGTATTGCTATGTTGCCCAGGCTGGTGTTGAACTCAAGCAATCCTATTGCCTCAGCCTCCCAAAGTGCTGAGATTACAGGTATGAGCCACCGTATGCAGCCATTCAACTTTTTTTTTTTTTTTTTTTTTTTTTTTTTGAGGGAGTCTCGCTCTGTCATCCAGGCTGGAGTGCAGTGGCACGATCTCGGCTCACTGCAAGCTCCGCCTCCCGGGTTCATGCCATTCTCCTGCCTCAGCCTCCCAAGTAGCTGTGACTACAGGTGCCCACCAACACACCCGGCTAATTTTCTGTATTTTTAGTAAAGACAGGGTTTCACCGTGTTAGCCAGGATGGTCTCAATCTCCTGACCTCGTGATCCGCCTGCCTCGGCCTCCCAAAGTGCTGGGATCCCTGAGGGTCTCGATCTCCTGACCTTGTAAGCCACCGCCCCCGGCCTGTCAACTTTTAATATTAGGGTTATGCTGGCTTTATAAAACAAGTCGGAATGTTTATTCTTAATTCTGAAAGGGTTTTTGTAAGATTGGTTCCATCTGCTCCTTAAATATAGAATTTATTAATAAAATAATTGGACCTAGAGTTTTCTCTGTGGGAAGGTTTTTTGGTAATAAATTGTTCTTTAATAGATATAGAGCTATTCTGACTAAGTCTTGTGTCTGTTTTGGTAAGTTAAATTCTTTTCAAGAAATTTTTCCTTTTTATTTTAAATATATTTATTGACATGTTTTTCATAATGTTCTCTATTGACATAAGTTTTTCATAATGTTCTCTATTATACTCTTTGTGTGTAGAATTTGTAGTGATAATCTGTCTTTTATTCCTAATAGTGGTAATTTGTGCTTTCTCCCATTCTTTTTTCTTTCTTCCCATTTTTTCCCCTAGTCTACCTAGGGATTTTCACTCTTGTTGATCACTTTAAAGAGCCAACTTCTGACTGTCAATTTTCATGTATTTGTTTTCCATTTGGTTGAAAATAGAATCAAAATTTTATTTTATTCATTATCAAATCATTATTGTATTTCATTTTTCATTTTGGTTACTTTTGCACTTTTTTATGGATGATTGAGTGGAAGCTAGGACCATTTATTTTATGCTTTTCCTTTTAAATATAATATTTAAAGACATACATTTCCCATTAGGAACTGTTTTAGCTACACCCTACAAATTTTAGTATGTTGTATTTTCCATTATTTAGTTTCAATTATTTTCTACTTTTCTATGATTTCTTTTATGACCCCTAAGTCATTCAGAAGTGTGTTATTTCCAATTTTTAAAAGATAATTTCAACTTTTATATTAGATTCACAGGGTACATGTGCAGATGTGTCACATAGGAATACTGCATGATGCTGAAGTTTGGGGTATGTATCCTGTCACCCAGATAGTGGGCATAGTACCCAATGGGTACTTTTTAAAACCCACCCCCTCCTCATCCTCTTATAGTCCCCAGTGTCTGTTGTTCCCATGTTTACATCCAGGGGTACTCAATGTTTAGCTCCCACTTATAAGTGAGAACATGTGGTATTTGGTTTTCTGTTTCTGTATTAATTTGCTTAGGATTATGGCTTCCAGCTCTATCCATGTTGCTGCAAAGCACGGGATTTTATTCTTTTTTATGGCTGCATAATATTCCATGGTGTATATGTACCACATTTTCTTCATTCAACCCACTGTTGATGGGCACCTAGGTTGATTCCATGTCTTTGATATGGTGAATAGTGCTACAATTAACATACAAACACACATGTCTTTTTGGTAAAATGGTTTATTTTCTTTTGTATATATACTCAGTAATGGGATTGCTGAGTCAAATGGTAGTTCTGCTTTAAGTTCTTTGAAAAAGCTCCAAACTGCTTTCTACAGTAGCTGAACTAATTTATATTCCCACCCACAGAATATAAGTGTTCCCTTTTCTCTGCAGCCTCACTAGCATCAGTTTTTTCACTTTTTAATAATAGCCATTCTGACTGGTGTGAGACAGTATCTCATTATGGTTTTAATTTGCATTTCTCTGATGATTAGTAATGTTGAGCATTTTTTCATATGTTCATTGGCCACTTGTATGTCTTCTTTTGACCAGTATCTTTACATATTTTGCCCATTTTTCAGTAGTGTGACTTATTTTTGCTAGTTGAGTTCTTTAAGTTCTTACAGTTTCTGGACGTTAGGCCTTTGCTGGATGCATAGTTTGCAAACATTTTCTCCCATTCTGTAGTCTGCCTGTTTACTCTGTGGATAGTTTCTATTGCTGTACAGAAGCTCTTTAGTTTAATTAGGTCCCACTTGTCAATTTTTGCTTTTGTTGCAGGTGCTTCTGAGGACTCACAAATCCCTTCCAAAGGCTGATGTCTAGAATGGTATTTCCCACGTTTTCTTCTAGTATTCTTACAGTTAGAGGTCTTACTAAAGTTTTTAATCTAGCTCAAGTTAATTTTTGTATATGGTAAAAGAGAGAAGTCCAGTTTCAATTTTCTGCATATGGCTAACCAGTCGTCCCAGCACCGTTTATTGAATAGGGGTTCCTTTCCCTATTGCTTATTTTTGTCAACTTTGTCGAATATCAGATGGCTGCAGGTGTGTAGCTTTATTTCTGGGTTCTCTATTCCGTTCCATGGGTCTGTGTGTCTGGTTTTGTACCCGTAACATGCCGGTTTGGTTACTGTAGTTTTTTGGTATGGTTTGAAGTTGGGTAATGTGATACATCTGGCTTTGTTCTTTTTGCTTAGTTAGTATTGCTTTGGCTATTTGGGCTCTCTTTTGGTTCTATATGAATTTTTAGAATAGTATTTTCCTAATTCTGTGAAACATAATCTTGGTAGTTTGATAGGAATAGTGTTGAAGCTACAGATTGCTTTGGAAATTACAGCCATTTTAATAATATTGATTCTTCCAATCCATGAGCATGAAATGTTTTTCAATTTGTTTGTGTCAACTATGATTTCTTTCAGCAGTGTTTTATAGTTTTCCTTGTAGAGATCTTTTGCTTCTTTGGTTAGATGTATTCCTAGGTATTTAATTTTTTTGTGGCTATTGTAAATAGGATTACATTCTTGATTTGGCTCTCAGTTTGAACACTATCCCTGTGTAGAAATGCTACTAATTTTTGTACACTGATTTGAAACTTTGCTGAAGTTGTTTATTAGTTCCAGGAGCCTTCTGGAGGAGTCTTTAGGGCTTTCTAGGTATAGAATCATATCTTCATTGAAGAGAGATGTTTGACTTCACTCTCAATTTGGATGCCTTTCATTTCTTTCTCTTGCCTGATTGCTGTGGCTAGGACTTCCAGTACTAACTTGAAAAGGAGGCGAGAGCGGGCATCCTTGTTTTATTCTAGTTCTCAAGGGGAATGCTTCCAGCTTTTGCCTATTCAGTATGATTTAGGCTGTGGGTTTGTCATAGATGGTTCTTATTATTTTGACATATTTTTCTTAGATGCCTAGTTTGTTAATGGTTTTTATCAAGAAGGGATTTTGGATTTTATCGAAGACTTTTTTCATGTCTATTGACATGATCATATCATTTTTGTTTTTAATTCTGTTTATGTGGTAAATCACATTTATTGATTTGTGTATGCTGAACCAACCTTGCATCCCAAGAATGAAGCCTACTTGATCATTGTGAATTAACTTTTTGATGTCCTGCTGGAAATGGTTTGCTAGTATTTTGTTGAGGATTTTTGTGTCTATGTTCATCAGGGATATTGGCCTGTAGTTTTCTTTTTCCATTGTGTCTTTGCCACGTTTTGGTATCAGGGTGATGCTGGCTTCATAAAATAAGTTAGGGAGGAGTCCCATTTTGAATTCTTTGAATAGTTTCAATAGAATTGATACCAGTTCTCAAATATTTTGTATTTTACTAGAGATCTTATTGTTAATTGCTTTCTAATTCAATTCCATTGTGGTCAGAGAACATATTCTGTATTATTTCAATCCTTTTAAACTTATTGAGACTTATTTTAGGTCACAATATATAATCTATCTTGATATATATGCTACATGCAATTCAACATTTATATTCCATAGTTGAGAGCAGTCTTTTATAAATATCAGTTAGATTAAGATAATTAGTAGTGTCACTGGGATCATCAATATGTTTATTAATTATTTATCTTTTAATCTATACATTGTTGGGAGAGAAGTGTTAATATTATTAACTATGCATATGAAATTGACTATTGCTCCTTTCTATTCTGTCAAATTTTTCATGTATTCTGAAACCCTATTAGCTGTGTACACATTTATGATTACTATGTTCTTGAATTCACCCTTTGATCATTATGAAATATTTATTTTTATCTCTGGTACTACTGTTTGTCTTGATGGCTATTTTTATCTGATATTAATATACTGTCTCAGCCTTCTTATGCTTACTATGTGCATTTGCATGGTCTATCTCTTCCCATCCATTTACTTGCTTGGAGTTTTCATCTCTCTGCTAACATTACCTATCTGTTATTGCATATTGCCTTTTTCCAGCAAAGCCCTTATTATTTCAATTACATTAACTCCCTGATAATTCCAACATTGATGTCATAGCTGTGTCTGGTTCCGATGCTTTTTCTCTTCACACTGTGTTTGTTCTTGCATTCTGGCATGTCTTGTAAATTTTTAGTTGAAAGTTGGACATGTATTGGCTAATAAGAACTAAATTAACTAGGCCTTCAGTGTGAGGATTTATGGTAATCTGACTCCAGTTGGGCTGTAGTTAACATTTGCTATAGCTATAGGTGCCAGAAGCTTCTAATTCCTCTAGTGTCCTTATATTATATTTGTTTCCCCTCTTGACTTTGAGCTTCCCTAAGTATTTCTCCTTAGAGTCTGTCTTGTAGCTCTTTCACCTGTAATTCACTGTTAAATACTGTTGGTGTGGTAGTAAGATGTGGAGGAGGACTGTTTTATAATCTTCTCATTAAATCTCAGGGTTTTTTCTTTTCTTTCCTTTTCTTTTTTTGAGACAGCATCTTGCTATGTTGCCTAGGCTCACCTTGAACTCCTAGGCTCAAGCCATCCTTCCACCTAAGCATGCCGAGTAGCTGGGGGACCACAGGCATGCACAACTGTGTCTGGCTAAATCTGTTTTAATGGGCCTCTCTCAGAGCTGTAACCTTCACATGTGTTTATCTAATGGTACATCTTTTTTTGCCCACCCCTTCGCTCACCTTATATTCCGTTCCCTGTCTAAAGTGTTCTAAGTCATTTCCTTGAAGCCCTGACCTCTGTTGACTATGTTGTTTTTGTTAGGTCAGACAAGAAGTCTAGAAGTGGTTGCAGTGGGAAGGATGTCCTTCTCCTAGCTGGAATATGACTCTGGCAAAATCTTTCCCCAGGAAAGGAGAGTAGAACTTTGTTATGAAGTATGCACTGGATATATTTCACAATGATTACTTTTCCCCTTCACCTGCTAGAACCAGGAGCTAAGCTTTCTTGCATCTTCATTGTGAGAATGGCATGGGGTTCCTCAAGATAAAGCTTGCCAAATGTGTAGTTCCCACGGGATCGGCACTCTCAGGCTAACCCACTTTTGGCCTCCATCAAATTGTCATAATTATTATTTGTTTTTACCAGTTTTGCCTTCAGTAGCTTCTGCTCTAGGTAACTAGATCTTGGCTGTGTCCCGATGGATTTGCCTGTCTCTCCAGATATTGAGGTGATAGTTTGCCTTGCAAGCTTATTTCCTTGATGGGCCCAAGAGGAGCTGTTGATTCTTAATTTTTCAAGCTGTCTTGTTCTAAGGATGGGATTGATGACTTCCAAGTTCTTTACATGCCAGAGCTAAAATGGAAGTCCTAGATTCATCTGTTTATTTTCATCTTATCAGTATAATTTTTTTATATTTATAGTGCATCTTTTGTAGATAGCATGTAATTGGGTCTTGATTCTTTATCTATTCTGGCAATCTCTGCCTTTTAATTGTTGTTACGGTTCTATTTAGCTCTACTATTTTATTATTTGATTATTCTTTAGCTTCTCCTTTTTTGGTTCTTTTAAAATATTTTTTCCACTTATTTTTGACTTATTTGGATAGTTTTCAGAATTTCATTTTACTTTGTCTATTGCCTTTTTAGCTATACTGTTTATACTAATTTTTTATTGCTCATGCTAAGAATTTCAGTATACATTCTTAACTTTTAATTATTTATTTGCATTAATGTTAGACTGCTTACATTAAATGTGAAAACCTTGCGACACTATGACTCCATTTACTCCTCCCTACATCCCTTATGCCAGAGTTATGTTTTACATCTAAATAGGTTATAAATTCCACAGGAAATGGTGTAATTTTTGTTTTAAACTACCTATTTTAAAGATAATTAAACCATATGTATACATGTGTCACCCTAAAACTTAAAGTATAATAAAAAAATTAAAAAAAGATAATTAAACCAAAAAAGTTTACATTTAACTAGGTATTTCCCATATCTGATCCTTTATTTCTCTTCTGAAGATACAAATTTTTATCTATGTTGTTTTCTTTCAGCCTGAAAAACTTCCCTAGCATTTCTCATATTGCCGTTCTACTGGCAATGAATAATCTCAATTGTCTTTTAAGTGTCTTTATTTTACCTTTATTCAGTATTTTTAGTGGTTATAGAATTTTTGGCTGAGGATTGTCCCCCAGCATTTTAAAGATATTACTGTATTATCTTGCATAGTTTTTGATGAAGAATTAGCTGTCATTTGTGTCATTTCCCTCTTTATGTAGTGAGTCATTTTTCTCTGTTTTTATCTTTATTTTATTTTTAGTGGTTATAGAATTTTTGGCTGAGGATTTTCCCCCAGCATTTTAAAGATGTTATTGTGTTATCTTGCATAGTTTTTGATGAAGAATTAGCTATCATTTGTGTCATTTCCCTGTTTATGTAGTGAGTCATTTTTCTCTATCTGTCTTTATCTTTAATTTCATCAGCTTGACATTCTTAGACCTAATTTTCTTTGCACTTAGCCTGCTTGCGGTTTTTGAGATTCTTGAATTTGTAAATTTATATCTTCCATCAAACTGAGAACATTTTCAGCATTATTTTAATTTTTTTTCTATGCTATTCACTTTTTCCTTTTATTCCTGGACTCTAGTTACATGTATATTGCCCCATATGTTGTTGAAGTACTATTCACCTTCTTTCAATTCTTTTTGCTCTCTTTAAAATTTATAATTCTTCTCGTCTATCTTTAATTCATTGGCTCCCTAGCTTCATTTTGCTTTTAAGCCCATCTGCTGAATTTTAAAAATTTAAAAATCATGTTTTTCAGTTTTAAAATTTCCATTTAAATAACTGGAGAGGCATGCTCCTCTCAAAAATTCTGCTTTGCACATTTCATCTGTGTCAGAAGCACTGAATTCTTATCTCTGTTTCCTAACTTCAAAAAGATCTATTTGCTCAACTTGGGAGCTCTTTTCCAGGGACATCATGTGGCAAATGATTATGGGCACAAAGCTGGTGTGATTTGGTACTCTTGCCACAATTATGTCCTTTCTTTCAGGAATCACAATCCTGCACTGTATGTTTTCCAATACTTAAACATTGTTTCATGTGTTTTGCCCATTTTTTATAGCTATTTATAGTGGAGAAATAGTCTGGTACTATTAATAATTATTCTGACATAGCTGGAAGTGAAATTCTGTTTGCACAAAATGAAAATTACCAGGTCTTAAAGACTCTGATGAAATATGTTTCTGCAGGGACCTAAGAGTCTTCAGTAGCTCCCCTTCTTTCATAGTTAAGAGTGTCATATTGGAATAAAGAGGGTAGGGGAAACAACACCATCTGAAAATTGTATTTATTATGATTAAAGTCAGATTAGAGGAGAAATGTCAGCATGGCCATAACTCATGTAATTCAGATAAAGTCAAGAAAACATACCAGCAACAGGAGATGCACAGCCTTTTAGAGATTGGCAGAAGTCTGATTAGAATCTGGAACCACAGAAATAAAAATGCTGTTTGAAATTTTAACGAGGAGTAACTGAAAACAGAAGAGGACAATCTTCTTGCCAGATGGGAAATATATTAGTAGATGCACAGATTAAGGAGGCTTTGCTTTGGCTTTGGCCTCTGGTCACTCTCAGCATAGCACTTGAGTGCAAACTAACAGCCAGAGGGAGGTGTATTCCCTCTGATCTTTGGTGCCACATTTCTCACCACAAAATTTTGCAGCCAAGTATTTTCCAGGCACCCTGGGTTTTTCTAAGCAGGGCTGCCATGCTTCTTGGCAAATATTACTGTTTATGTCAATCTGATTTTGATAGCTATCTGAAGAGTGAAGGGATTTACTGTTCAAAGAAGATGAAAGATTGAAAGAGGCCAGAGATCTTACCCAAGAAGAACCCATTAGAGATAATTTTGCCTCATCAGAGATTGTCTATATGCCAAATATGTAAAAAGGAACATCTAAAGACAAGTTTATAAGAAGACAGAATGACAGGTAAGCAGACATCAGCAAAATTTGTTTCCCTGAAGGTACAGACAGAACTCAAACAGCTAAGTTGACTGCCATACAATAATTGGTTTTCTTTCCAGATCCATTCTTACCATTTCGTATTGAGATAATTTTCTCTCAGTAACTGATGTCCTGAGTTATTGATTTTGTTGAGATTTTCACCTTCCCTTAGAGTCACCATACTAAACTTAAACTTATGCTTGAAAGACATAGGTAAATAGACAGACCATAAATAATTTTTCTATACTCTAAAACAGCAAACGAGGTCCGCTCTTGCTTATCTATAGCTCTGGAGGTTAATCTCAGGCCTTAGGTCTCACGTCCTTCTGGTCCATTTCTGTTTTTTTTTTTTTTAAGTCCCCATAATACTATTTCCTTATGTATCGTTGTCCCAAAGTGCTGATATCAGATTCCAGAAAAGCTGGCATTACAGTTTCCTTGTAGCACTTCACCATCAACCCTGCCCTAAAATATAGATCTAGCTGCCAAGCCTCACTGCAGGGTACAAAACAGAAAAAGTGGGGGCTGCGGAGTGCTGCCATGAGGAATCGCAAATGAAAATATCAGCCAGTTTTAAGGGCTTCAGATTATCTCTCTAGTTTAAATTGCCAGCCTCTGTCAAGGAGTGACATGGTGTTTCCTGATGTGTTGAAAGCAGCCCTGCGATGAAAGGAAGATAATGCCCTTATCCAGCTGAAATTCTGAACTGGATACCCTGGGGGAGTTATGTATACAGTCTTTGACTCATCACAATAGAGACTGGCTGCTGACAGCTCATCAACTTTGACTCCTGGCCAAGGCTGCAAAAGTGAGCTTTTCCCCCCTTTCCCCTAAACACTTTCATCTCTCCTTTTAAAACTTCTTCTATCCACCATTTAAAAATTGATGGTTTCCCTGGGTCTGAAGGCAGCCCTAATCCTAAAGCAGCATTAGCCTATTGGCTCACTTGCCAGAGTTTGTTGAGTGTTTTTGGTCCTAATGTTTCCAGTGCAACTAATGTTCGTTGAACACTCTGCTAGATGCTGGGGATGCAGAAATAAACAAACATAGTTGCTGTCCTCATGGAGGACATCTCAAAGTGTGTTCCTATGGTCATCTATATTAGGATTACTTGGGGAGTCTAGCTAAAATTGCATATTTCTTGATTCCCAATTAGATTTACTCAGGAGAAATATCTGAAGTTAGGTGCAAAAATCTACTTTTTAATGAGCTTCCCAAGTGGTTTTTAAACATAGTGAAGTTTGAAAACCACTTGTAAACACACACACATATGGAATGAAAATTTCTAATAAAAATCCTCGAATATAATAGGATGACATGGGGAAGGTGAAATTTAAATTGGGACACATTGGTTATAAAGGGCTTAAGGAAGCAAATTTGAGACTTGAGCAATAAGTGATATTGTTCAGATGGAGAGCGGAGAATAAACACTTTTCAAGCAGAGGGAAAACTTCATGCAAAAGTCCTGAGGTAAGAATGTTGATGTTTTCCCAACACATATACATGTGTGGTGTCTTGCCTAAAGGAACTATCACCATTTAAAACCATGTATCCTCTAATCTGGGTTTAATCCCAGTTCTCTGCCTTTTCCCTAGCTTAAAAAGTTCTTTACTAGAATCTGACTCAAATTAGGAAATTTTATCAAATTTAAGCCTTACCCAAACAAAACTAGGGAAATTGAATTTATAAAGTTTTACATAGGCCTAAATTCAACAAGATAATTTTTTACTTTCAAAGAATGTCCCTCACCTCATTCCTTTATCACCTTTCTCAGTAATCAACCTGGTATATGAGCATGTAGAGTATAAGAAATGATCAATGTGCTGTGTGGTTTACAGGGACCAATGTGTATTCACATATCAGTATTGCCAATAGCAACTTTGTGGTTACATGTGAGAGGAATATTTTATATAAAAATCTCTGCTAATGAATTTCTAGACAAATCCATTTGAGGTTGAAATGTACATGGTATGAATCCTGTCTTATCTATGTGTCTATCTTAAAAACAGAAAACTATCTTTTAAGAAGAGATTTTGGAAATTCTTACCAAAATTCAATGAGCTATTGAACTAAATACTTGAGAAGAAAAATCAGCAATCTGAAAAATAAATAGTGATCATTATTACTAATCTTGTGATTCATGAAAGAGATCAGGCTATTTGAACCTATAGAGCAAGCTTGTCCAACCTGTGGCCTGTGGACCACATGTGGCCCAGGATGGCTTTGAATGTGGCCAGCACAAATTCATAAACTTTCTTAAAACATTATGAGATTTTTTTTTGCAGTGCTTTTTTTAGCTCATCAGCTGTCGTTAGTGTATTTTATGCATGGCCCAAGACAATTTTTCTTCTTCCAATATTACTCAGGGAAGCCAAAAGATTGGATACCGTGGCATAGATAAAGTATTATTCACACCCTACTGTGCAGAGGAAGAAGAGATTCTAGCAATTTGCTGATGGCACATGGGCTTCTGTATGCACCTATATTTTAAAAGAATAAATCACACTGTTATTTGTAGATGATATGCTTCTGTACTTAGAAAATCCAGAGGAATCTATATGTAAATTATTAGAATAAATGAGTTTGATAAGGTTGCTGGATCCAAGGGCAATATTTAAAACTCAATTTATATGTCCATGTATAATACTAGCAAAAAGCAGTTGGAAAATGATGGTAATATCAAAAATTTAAATAAGGACTATATTTAATAAAACATGTGAAAGAATATTGAAAACTATAAAATATTTTTGAGAGGAATCAAAGGAAATTTAACAGATGGATATACTCTATTTTTGGATTGGAATCTTTATTTTTTCAGAATTAATGGCAGTTATGGTTCTTTAGTTGGAAAAAGCACAACATATTACAAAAAGGATTTATCAGAACATCAATTCCTAGATATATCACAGTGATGCAGCAGCGCACAGACAAACAGATGATCTTAAAGTACCAGATAGGAAAACAGGTTTCTTATAAGGCAATGACAACTAGGCCTAAGAATGACTTCCTAAGAGGAACAGTGGAATTTAAGGGACTATGGGACAATATCTAGAAAGGTGAAATAACTACTAACCTGGAAAAATATTCCCAGAAACCATCTTTTAAGAAGAGCAAACAATAAAGACATTTTTCAAATAACAAATAAGTGAGAGCACTTACCAGTAAAGGAACCTTTAAAGGTTGTTATTCATGAAGAAGAAAGATGATCACAAGTCTAATGTCTGAGATATAACAAGAAACTGATGAAAAAATTGCTAAACATGCATAAATACAAGTAAATAACAAACACATAAAAAACTAAAAAATGAAAATTATAATATGAAGGCTAAAACACAAGATAGGACTAAAATACTGTTTTCCAGTGATTAAATTGTACTATGGCATTTATGTTGCTTGGGGAGGAGGTAAGTATACTGATGAATTTTTTACTTTGATAAGTTTAGTCCGTATGTTCAAATTTCAAGAATAACCTCTAATATAATAGAAAAAGTAAATAATTTCCAAACAAAAACAGAGGGAGACTAGAATTAAAAAACAAAGTTTAAGCTAAAAAAAACCCCATGAACACAGGAGTAAAGCATAAAACATTAAAAAAGAAATAAAGAGCACAGAATGATTTGATAAAATAAAGTTACATATGTCAAAATAAATGGTAATAGCTAAAATCTTTAGTTAAAACAAAAATAACAAAATTCATCTATATGCTTTTTTAAAGCAGACTCACTAAAGTATATAGAGAAAAAAATGTTGAGAGTAAAATTATGATTAAAAAACTATAGGATAAATACTAATTTCAATAGTCTGGCATAGCTATATTATTATAATATCAAACAAAACAGATTTTAAGGCAAAAATATTATTACACATAAAGAGAGTGCCTTCAAAATGCTAGGAGGTTCACGTTAAAAAGGTCCGTTCAAAAAAACTAATGGAAGATACAAACATTTCAAATTGGCTGTCTTAGTCCATTTTCATGCTGCTGATAAATACATACCCAAGACTGGGCAATTTACAAAAAAAAGATTTAATGGACTTACAGTTCCACATGGCTGGGAAGGCCTCACAATCATGGCGGAAGGCAAGGAGGAGCAAGTCATGTCTTACATGGATGGCTGCAGGCTGAAAGAGAGCTTGTGCAGGGGAACTCCTCTTTTGAAAACCATCAGGTCTCATGAGACTTATTCACTATCAAGAGAATAGCACAGGAAAGACCTGCCCCCATGATTCAATTACCTCCCACCAGGTTCCTCCCACAACATGTGGAAATTCAGGATGAGATTTGGGTGGGGACACAGCCAAACTATATCACTGAGTAAATATAATAATATAACCAAAAAATAGATCAAGCTGTAAGAGAAATAAATAAAAGGAGAAACATCTACTGCCTCTCTGAGCTACAACAACAAAACATTGAGAAAACAAATAAGTTAGACAAGGAACAACAGAGCAAACACAAAGAAAGATTAAAATGTAAATAATGATGAAAAAATAAATAAGACATATGGAGATGTATGAAGACATATTAATTAATGAAAACATATTAATTAATAATGGTAAATGTTTCTTTGAGAAAACCAATAAAGAAGATGCATCTCTGTCAAGACTGGAGAATAAAAATTAAGATAAAGCACATATGGCTAATTTCAACATGGGTAAAATTCACAAATATAATGTTGAATAGAAAAAAGAAATCACAGAAGAATACAAAGAAGTACAACAAGGGGAAAAACTTAGTACAGTTGATCCTTGAGCAACATGGGAGTGAGTGGCATCAACCTCCTTTGTAGTAGAAAATCCATGTATAACTTTTAACTCCCCCAAAACTTTACTAGTAGCCTTACTGATAACATAAACAGTTGATTAATACATATATTGTATATACATTGTATGCCATATTTTCAACAAATCAAGCTAAAGAAAATGTTTTTAAGAAACTAATGAGAGAGAAAATATACTGAGTACTGTACTATATTTATGGATACTGTAAGTTTATGTCATCTGTTTATAAGATATGTAAAAAAAGATAGGTATAAAATTATTAATAGAAATGGGAGTCATTCAAGAGTCCTTATTTTCCACATGAAATCAAATAAATACGGTATATGTCTCAGAATCACCCTTTAAATTTCTAATTATTTTTACTTTTATGCCTTAGCTCATTGTTAGCCTGGACCACTGCAGTAGTCATCTAGTTCATTTCCCTGTCTCTTCTAATCCATCCTCCTTACTAAGGCTTGATTACTCTTTCTGTAAAAAAACAAATCTTATCAAGTGCCTTCCTTTTCTTCCTTGCGTAAAACTCTTCCCAACTTCCAATTGCCTAACCAAGAAATGTTAAAGTCCAAAGTATGTTCTGTTCCATTGATCTATATCTCTGTTTTGGTACAAGTACCATGCTGTTTTGGTTACTGTAGCCTTGTAGTATAGTTTGAAGTCAGGTAGTGTGATGCCTCCAGCTTTGTTCTTTTGGCTTAGGATTGACTTGGCCATGCGGGCTCTTTTTTGGTTCCATATGAACTTTAAAGTAGTTTTTTCCAATTCTGTGAAAAAAGTCATTGGTAGCTTGATGGGGATGGCATTGAATCTATAAATTACCCTGGGCAGTATGGCCATTTTCACGATATTGATTCTTCCTACCCATGAACATGGAATGTTCTTCCATTTGTTTGTATCCTCTTTTATTTCATTGAGCAGTGGTTTGTAGTTCTCCTTGAAGAGGTCCTTCA
The DNA here is from genome assembly GCF_000001405.40 of Homo sapiens. Lineage (NCBI taxonomy): Eukaryota > Metazoa > Chordata > Mammalia > Primates > Hominidae > Homo > Homo sapiens. Next base: position 118,654,793 of record NC_000001.11, on the reverse strand, counting down.
TGTCCCTTGTAAGCTGGATTCCTAAGTATTTTATTCTCTTTGAAGCAATTGTGAATGGGAGTTCACTCATGATTTGGCTCTATGTCTATTATTGGTGTATAAGAATGCTTGTGATTTTTGTACATTGATTTTGTATCCTGAGACTTTGCTGAAGTTGCTTATCAGTTTAAGGAGATTTTGGGCTGAGACAATGGGGTTTTCTAGATATACACTCATGTCATCTGCAAACAGGGACAATTTGACTTCCTCTTTTCCTAATTGAATGCCCTTTATTTCCTTCTCCTGCCTAATAGCCCTGGCCAGAACTTGCCCTCAGAAATAACGCCACATATCTACAACTATCTGATCTTTGACAAACCTGAGAAAAACAAGCAATGGGGAAATGATTCCCTATTTAATAAATGGTGCTAGGAAAACTGGCTAGCCATATGTAGAAAGCTGAAACTGGATCCCTTCCTTACACCTTAGACAAAAATTAATTCAAGATGGATTAAAGAATTAAAAGTTAGACCTAAAACCATAAAAACCCTAGAAGAAAACCTAGGCAATACCATTAAAGACATAGGCATGGGCAAAGACTTCATGTCTAAAACACCAAAAGCAATGGCAACAAAAGCCAAAGTTGACAAATGGGATCTAATTAAACTAAAGAGCTTCTGCACAGCAAAAGAAACTACCATCAGAGTGAACAGGCAACCTACAAAATGGGAGAAAATTTTCACAACCTACTCATCTGACAAAGGGCTAATATCCAGAATCTACCATGAATTCAAACAAATTTACAAGAAAAAAACAAACAACCCCATCAAAAAGTGGGCAAAAAATATGAACAGACAATTCTCAAAAGAAGACATTTATGCAGCCAAAAGACACATGAAAAAATGCTCATCATCACTGGCCATCAGAGAAATGCAAATCAAAACCACAATGAGATACCATCTCACATCAGTTAGAATGGCAATCATTAAAAAGTCAGGAAACAACAGGTGCTGGAGAGGATGTGGAGAAATAGGAACACTTTTACACTGTTGGTGGGACTGTAAACTAGTTCAACCATTGTGGAAGTCAGTGTGGCGATTCCTCAGGGATCTAGAGCTAGAAATACCATTTGACCCTGCCATCCCATTACTGGATATATACCCAAAGGATTATAAATCATGCTGCTATAAAGACACATGCACACGTATGTTTATTGTGGCACTATTCACAATAGCAAAGACTTGGAACCAACCCAAATGTCCAACAATGATAGACCGGATTAAGAAAATGTGGCACATATACACCATGGAATACTATGCAGCCATAGAAAATGATGAGTTCATGTCCTTTGTAGGGACATGGATGAAACTAGAAATCATCATTCTCAGTAAACTATCGCAAGGACAAAAAATCAAACACATGTTCTCACTCATAGATGGGAATTGAACAATGAGAACACACGTACACAAGAAGGGGAACATTACATACCAGGGACTGTTGTGGGGTGGGGGGAGGGGGGAGGGATAGCATTAGGAGATATACCTAATGCTAAACGACGAGTTAATGGATGCAGCACACCAGCATGGCACATGTATACACATGTAACTAACCTGCACATTGTGCACATGTACCCTGAAACTTAAAGTATAAAAAAAAGTCCAAAGTATGCATATCAGGTCCTGCATGATCTAGTTTCTATTTTTTCAGACTTATTTTTCACTCCTTTTCCCTTCCCTTCACCCCCTCACCAACTCACCAACTCTAGCACATTATTTGTCATTATTGTAAGTATACTAATATTTATTGAGCACTTATAGTATATTCCAGGCATGGTATATATCATTTTACATGTGTTATCTCCTGTGAATCCCAAATTAACTCCATGGGGAAGGAACTCCTATTTTACCCATTTTATGGATGAGGAAACTGAGCCATAATAGGCTAGTAAATGATAAAGTCAGAATTTGAACTCAGATGGTTCTACTGTATTAGTTACTGCTTCCCTAATTATCAGACTGTCTTTCACTTCAGGACCTCTTTCTCCCTTTACAGAAATTCTTTCCTTCTGAACCCTCAAAAACTTCAGGACTCAGTTTGCATGCCATCTTCTACATAAAGTTTTCACATTACCTTTCTAGAAGGTAGCACTGACTTTGGTTCTCCATCTGCATTCCTTACATCATAGCTTCCATAATATTTAATCGCATTTACTTTTTTGTTTTTCTGCCTCTTGAAGATTGTGAAGGTTAGTATTGATATCATTTGTGTTTGTTTGATGAGGACCTAATACAAGCACCTAGTACTTGACTGAAAATTAATATATATTGAATCAAATTGATGGATTTCTGCAACTGTATTTTGTCCCATTAGTTAACATCATGTAACTCCTGCTATACACTGTAATCTTACAATTATAACTTTAAAAATTTTTGCATACTATTTCCTTCTATCCCATTGCTTATTACAGTGCCTCAACTGTAATAAATAGTCAGTAAACATTGGCTAATTTAAGTATTGCATTTCTCCAACACATGGCTATTTTATCAATCTACTCCTAGGCTTTATTTTACCTTTAGCACAAAAAAATGAATAGAATCAGCATTACTTTTTGCTGAGGACCTATAATAAATTTTTAGCCCTAGTTTGTAGATATGAGGACATCTGCACAGCTGTTTTACCTTCACCTACTATTGTCTATTCCTGAACCCAAATAGTTGGAGTTCTTGTTGTGAATTTGCCATTTTAGCTAACGTTATATACTGCTTAATTTCTTTAGGGAGAGATTCGGCCTGAAGAGATCACTCTTGAGATCAATTTAAGAAGAAGAAAATGTAAGCCAAATGTTAGGACTTCCAAGCAATCACATATATTGGCGTGAGATACAAATTCTCAAAGAAGAAAGCTGATTACTTGAGACATTTTAAATGAAAAGGAGCAAAGCATCAAGCCCACTGGGCTAAAAAAAAAAGTCCCAATCTGTTTCATATAGATGTTTTGTCTTTATAGAAGTCAAATGTATATAAGTCCAAACACAAAATGCATGCCACAAGCAGATTAAGGATAATTATTTGCGTATTAAAAGTCTTATGACCTAATTTTCAATAAGATTTTATATGTTTTCTTAGGGACTTTATCAATGCACTTGAATATTAGTTTACAGTCTTTCTTTATTGGATAGAGAACAAATAGAAGCACTGTTTATCATAGCATTGTTTGTGGTGGCAGAAAGATTATGATAACAGTCTGGGATCTATCCCTGGAGGAGTATTAACACAAGGTGGATACATACAATTGAGTACCTGGCAGAAGTCAGAAACCACAAACTAGATATATGCATAGTTACAAGATTGTACCTTCAAAGCATATTTCTGGTGAAAAAGGTAAGAAAGCTGAGATCTATAGCACAATAACAGTAGTGCAAATTAAATGGCATGTACACTATCATTCCCATTCTTAAAGGATATGTAGAAATAAAAGGTTTAAAATCAAGCATATGAGGGTAAAAGTGAGAATGGGACTGAAGAATAGGAATGAAAATGGAATAAGTTAATAAATAAACAAGAGGGGTTCCTTGTGCAGACCAATGATGATATGTCACCGTATGAGCATGGTTAACTCTCTGTAATTGAGATCTTTGTAAAACTAAAACTAAAATTAAAAAGAGAAGTTACTGTCATTTGATAAGATATTCTTGAAATTGCACTGTAAGGGGAACTGTGTTGTACAAAATTTGATTTACACATTGTTTCTGAATATGCCCACGATTAACATGAGGCACACTGCCTCGCATATTAAAGTATTGTCCTCTATTCTTTTGTGAAGCAGAGAATATATGTTCATTAGTCACAGAAGACACACACTGTTATTCCACTTTATTATGTTGTCTAGACTTGTACTCTAGTGTTAATCTTAACAATGCATAAAATTTTCTATTTAATAGCTAACTGACCATCAGTCAGCTCTATGAAAATTCTTTAGGTCAGGATACAAAGATGGAACAGAACCAGAGAGGTCCTTCTTGCCCTTGCTTATCATAGGAGAAGGGTTAAATAACCTCCTGGTACAAATACATATAAACTGTCTTTGTGTGTAAAGGTTCTCTTCCTCAGATCTTTGAACACGAATACATTAGCTGACAATAGTATCAGTGGTAACTATATTTATGGTACAGCAATAAAAACAATCATAACCCCAACGACAGACTGGGGAGTCGACTAACCTCAGACCCCCAAGGTCTGACAATCCTACAATAAATCCTCAGGTAGATCTGTCAGCATAATGATGACAGGGGCTTATATAAGACTGAGCTAAGGTTTCTTCTGGGCTTGCTTCCAATAGCAAGGAATTGCGGAGAAACTTTGCCCTTGGTAATTAACTCCTAATTTAATAATTATTTGAGTAAAAAAAGGTTAAAATATTTGTATATTGTAATTTTCTATTTTCAGAATCTATCAACTTGAGTGAAAAAAAAGAAGTAACAATACACAATTCTAATGCTCTTAGCAGATGGATCTGTGTTATTGCAGAACAGGGACCTGGAAAGTCTCCACATACCAAGCTATAAATATTCCTCTGACATTTATTATCCTCACTTGAGTTCAGGTGCTTAAATACTTGGACTGAAGTCATGTTTGTAGCGGGAAAAAAAGTTGATCTTTAAGCATACCTTGTCGCTGGCTAAATTATTAGCAACGGACAAAGATGGAGGGAAAGTACACCAGAGCAAGGGAGTCTCCCACTTAAGAGAGGTCACAGAACCTTTAAGTCAAATTAGTTAAAGTTTAGATTCACTTGTAGTACAAATTCCCAAACACCTCACTTCAGACAATTTGATGGATCACATCCCAGGAACTCCCCACCAAACTCGAATTTTCCAAGTATGTATCTACTAGTGCGGTGTTCTGTGGTCTTGAATTTGAGTCCCAGCTCCACCAGCTGCATAGGATTGTAAATTCAAACTTCTCTGAATCTCACTTCATATTGCATCGAGGAACTGTAGGATTATGTAAACCAGGAGATAATAACCCATATAACATTTTTCCAATAAAATAAAATCAAGCTGAAGGTGTCAGCATAGATTAACAGCCTTTCTTCATTGAGGGGTGTAGATTCCTTGAGTATGGTTGTTTCGTGGTTCAGGCTAGGATTTACTAGTGTTGTTCTTAATTAGGGACTATTTAATTCCCTTGGGGATGATTACTTGGAGCCTGGGATAGGTTTCATTCTGAGAGGAAAAGAATCCATGCATGACTTTGCCTGGGATATTGCATAACAAAAGTCTTGCAGATATATCCATCCCAAAAGCTGTTTCTAACCCTTGCCCAGAGGACCCAGAACAGTGTGAAGCTGAAGAAGACCCATAGGCCTCTTCTTTCATCCTGTCCTTTTCTCCCAGCATGAATAACCCCTTTGTGGCTATCAAAAAAAGGCTGATCCAGTATGATGCTATACCAGTACATTTACGGTGTCTGGAATTGGCAGCACATTTTAAAGGAACATTGTCAAACTACATTGTCTAGAGAAGAATGAGGGGCCTGGAGGTTATGAAATATAAATACAGTCAAAGAAGTTAAACTTCTCTCTTCCAAGTTAAATATCAATTAAGTATAGTGCTAAGTGCATAGGCTCAGGGGCCAGATTGTCTATTTTGAAACCTTGGTTCTTCCATTTAGTAGCTATGTGAATTGGACAAGTTATTTAACCCTTTTGTACTTCAGTTTCCTCATTTGGAAAAGGGAAAAAAAATAGTATCTATCTTACAGTGTTGCTATGACGATTAAATGAGTTAATAATAAACTGCCAAACATGCCATTTGAACATGCTAAGGGCTTTATCACTGTTTGAAAAAGATAAAATATGAAAGCTGTTTTTAAATATTTGAAGGGCTATAAATTAAAGTATAAGTAGGCCTTTATTAGAGTTGCTATAGGCCAAGGGTTCTTAACTTGGGGATCTATGGAAAGACTCCAGAGAGTCTTCCAAGCCTGTGAAATTGCACATGAGTTTTCGTATGTATGTGTACAATATATTTCCAAAGGATATCATGACCTTCAAAAAGACTAACCACTGAGAAAGATAAAACCAATGAATGAAAGTTTCAGGGAGACTCACTTTGACTTTTAAGATAGGACACTATTCTTAGGCTTTAATTATCAAAACCCAGAGCATCAACAGCCTTATCTCAAACACTGTTTCATATGATACTAGATGAACACATCTTGGGGTTGGAGGGGACTAAATGGGCTGTCATTATTAGAGGTCTAAGAGGGAAGACAGGTCTCAGCTTCCCTGCCTCACACTCCTCTTTTCCTCTTCCTATAGCACCCTTTTCCTATAGTTAAAGAGTATGTGAGTCTCCCGGAGCTTGACATTCTCAAGCTGTAAGGTTATACAGTCCAGCCACCGCAACATTTACTCAATGGCAAAGCCAGTTATATGACCCCCACTGCTGAAAATTTTCTGGTAACACTCCAATGCCAAGATAACTTGTTAACAAATAACATAAGTCCAATTATAATGTGATGGCATCCTACCTTTCCAGTCACATTGTGTCCGGAATTGGTTCCTTCTGGTGGGTTCTTGGTCTTGCTGACTACAAGGAGCTGCGAACCTCCAGGTGAGTGTTACAGCTCTTAAAGGTGGAGCATCCGGAGTTTGTTCCTTCTGGTAGGTTCGTGGTCTCACTGACTTCAAGAATGAAGCGGCAGACCTTCACAGTGAGTGTTACAGCTATTAAAAGTGGTGTGGACTCAAATAGTGAGCAGCAGCTAGATTTATTGTGAAGAGCGAAAGAACAAAGCTCCCACAGTGTGGAAGGGGAGCCCAGCGGGTTGCCGCTGCTGGCTCCGATGGCCAGCTCTTATTCCCTTATTTGGCCCTGCCCACGTCCTGCTGATTGGTCCATTTTACAGAGTGCTGATTGGCCCATTTTACAGAGGGCTGTTTGGTCCATTTACAATCCTTTAGCTAGACACAGAGCGCTGATAGGTGCGTTTTTACAGAGTGCTGATTGTTGCATTTACAATCCTTTAGCTAGACACAGAGCACTGATTGGTGCATTTACAATCCTCTAGCTAGACAGAAAAGTTCTCCAAGCCCCCACTCGACCCAGGAAGTCCAGTTGGCTTCACCTTGCAACATTTCTTACCTAACACGCTCCAAATCTTTCATTAATATCCAACTAAAATGTTATATTCTCTGTGATGCCCCCTTTAAATTCTTTAGAAAGAGTGAGCTGCTCTGTGTTGTGAAATCTTATAGTATTTTATTGAAATCTCTGCTACAGCACTCACAATGTAGCATTTCTCTCACATTGTAACATAAGCACATAGAAGGCTGAAACTATACATTGTTCAGTATTATATCCCTGAGGTAAATATTGCTAGTTACCTACCAAATATCTTTTTGCCCTGACTAGAAGAATACTTTCTGGATTCCCTTCAGCTCAAAGTAATAATGTGACCAATTAGATGTGAAAGACCAGGTGATTGGGTTCTGACTAAAGGTATATGGGTGCAAATGTTGTACCATGCTTCCACTCTTGGTCCTAAAACCTCCTTATGTGATTTCCCACATGGTCTTTTCCTCTTCTGTGATGATCTTGGCTGTATATTAAGGATAAGATGTAAGGAAACTTGTTTCCTGCTTGACTACACCATCCGTACTGACCACATTTTTTTGTGTGTTAAGATTCTAAGATGTTGGAATTTACTTGTACATCAGCATAGCCTAGCATATGCTAACTAATATACTAAGGTTGGCAAAGTGTAAAGCTGAAGAATGCTGGACCTTTGATAGGAATCTGAAACTCAAACAACTATACATGACTATCTCTGGACTTCTTTTTGTAAAATAAACTCCTATTTATAATAGTTTTTCAGTCACTACAGTTGGTAAGACATCTTAAATATTCACAGAATGGTAAGCACTCAGAAATGCTCATTGAAGAAATGAGATTCTAAGAAGCTGGATAGAAAGGTTTATAGTAATTTCATTTCTAAATTTTAAAAAGTATAGATTTAATTGAGAAAGAGTAATATTTTAAGTTCTTTCAAATAAATTCTACCAAAGAAATTGGACCTGAAGCTGTATCTGTGTTTATTTATCCTGTTAGCTAGCTAGCTATTTATCTATTATCTATCTACAAAACTGGCAAAAAGATGAATAAACATGTAGTAGAAAAACTGAAATATAAGTTTGGTACAAAATGGATTGGGGAAAAGGAATAATCAAAGGGAAAGAAAGCAGGGTGGGTATCACCACGTTAAGTTTCAAAAGTTGGACTAAGTTCCAAGATGAAGAATTTTCATTGAATAAAGAAAAGAAAAGCTGTTCAGAGAGATGATTCTCTTCTGAATATTTCAAATCTTCACACTTAAAGCAGGCCATTTCCAGTGTAGCATCACTGCAAGTGATAATTGCAAGATCTAATGTCTAAAATGGGTATATTAGGGCTTTCAGTTTTCTTCTACATAAGTTCAGGGATTTTTGCACAGAACTTCAAAGATCATTGGTAAAAGTCCTTGCAAGACTTTAAGCATCAAAGCAACCATAAATCTGCTATGAATAAAGTTAAATATAATTTCTTTAGACAATGAAACCCTGAGTCCTGAAATACAACTGTGAGGCTTTTTCTCTGAAGGCAGATGAGTATATAACATTCATTTAAGTTTGGGAGTCTTCAGAAGACACTGAAGGAGAGAAGAGGCTCTATTTTGGGCTTAAAGCTTATTGTTCTCAAATTTGCTAAATCACATCTTATTTTCTGTGAATTTATTATAAAATATAAGTAAATAAAACATGCACTTATGTTACAAAGTTTATCTCATAATTTTGGTTTACTTTAAAGCTCCAACACATTTATGAAGTCTGACTTGTTTGCACCATAAATAGCAACATCTGTTGAGAGAGATGGTTGCTTCCTCAATTGGAGAAGTCAGACCTTATGGACAATCCAAGTCTAATTTAAAGAAGGATGTTACTGTTTTCTACATGTTGTCAGTGGTGAAAAATCCCACAAGTGATATTAGTTACTTATGGTGCCAATTAATAACTCAGGTTTCCACAAGCAACTACTTAAATTCATGTTCTCCAGGTAAACTGGTCTCAGCCCTGCTAAACTAAAAAGCACCTGGAGGAGCACAATTCTTCATTGACTCATCCTCTCCCTCCTCACTGAGGAATGATGGGCAGCATGCATGTGAATTGCAAGGTGCAGCTATACATCCCGTCCAAAACCTGAGAGCAGTAAAATGAGAGTCATGTGATGCTAGTATGTAGTGCCATCTAATATTCTGAAATTAACAAAAGCATGGCAAAGTGCTGTTTACTTGGAATATGTGATTTATTATATTTATTTTACTTGAGGAAATTTAAACATCTTTATATGTCTACCAAAGAGTTGTCTGATTATGACTAGTGCAGAAAGATTGAACAGATCACAAAAACTGAAAAAAAGTAAAAACCAAGATTTTTTAAAAAGTCAGAATGTGTAGCTTGCTTTGACAAGTAGAAGTGAATTAGTGAATATATTTCTATTTCTCCTATTTTGTTAGAAATTTTTTTGAATTTGAAGTGAAAGATTAAAAAAATCCAATCTTTGCCATGTCATAAAATTACTTTAGATTTTGTTACTGAAAGTTGATTAATTGAAATAATTCTTTTTGTAGAACTGAACTATGGTATCTACCAGCAAAATAATATTTGACTAATTGCTGACATTACTATAATCTTGCTAGGTGGCCTGTTCCACTTAATTTGGCAATATGAAAGCAAATTATATTGCAAGGGATATATATATATATAAAATGAACAGTGAGTTTATCCTCAAGATTCTAATTATAACTGATTATTTGTTTCAAATGTTATAGGAAAAGTGCTAAGTAATTGTATTTGTAAATCTGGTTTGTGGTTTAAGGACAGTTTTGCATAGCTCATTAAGATGAATTTACCTACAATCTTGTACAGATTCTAGATGGATTCTAGATGGATAAAACAAGCATTGCCATTTAAATAAATTTCCATAGCAATTTTGTTTTACCTTAAAACTCTATCACATATGTAAAGAAAGA